>NC_000019.10:46937843-47240874 GCF_000001405.40 Homo sapiens | reverse complement strand
AGGGGCTGGGTCGCTTGGCCAGGTGTCTGGGGAATCAGAGACACGGGGCTTGGACTTCTGGGGTCCTTGGCACTATGAGGCCTGGGACCCTGGCGCAAGGTGGGGGGTCGGTGCCAACAGGTAAGGAAAGCGGCTCTGAAGTCAGATGCCCACGTCCTGGGAGATCAACCACCTGGACCCTGGGGAAAAGGGCTCAGAGGGGTGGGAAGTGGGCAGGTCTGCACCTTGGAGCTGGGCAGGTGGTCCCACCTAGGTAAACTGGACACCTGAGGGTCTGGTGACTGTTAGGGACAGGAGTGTCTCCCAGCATCAATGTGGTGAGGGCCAAGATGCCCAGGAGCTCTGTAACATCTCAGGGTCGGGAGCCCAAAGGCCTGAGTCCGTGTTTCTTGTGGGAGTGGGATGTTCAGCCCTAGTTTTCCTGGGATCAGACATGACTGTGTCCCCTTCTGGGGGGACCCTGAGTTCTTGTGTCCCGGGGCTGGGACATCTGCATCTCCTAAGAGGAGGGGGCTCATCTCCTTGTTTTCACGGGGCCAGGCATGCCTGGGTCCTTTGGGGGTGCAGTGACACCCTATTTTTATAAGGCCAGGACGCCTGGGTTGTTTTCTGGGAGGGAACTTCAACCGTTATGTTCCAGAGCCACGATACCTGCGGGGCGGGGAGCGGGGGAGCGGGAAACAACCAGTCCCTGTCTTCACGGAGTCAGGATGCTCAGGTCTCCTTGTGGGAGGGGGACCCTTGGTGGCACAAGGCCAACTCCAGGGTGCCATTCTGGGGGTAGGAACAGAATGCACAACCCCGTTTCCAGCCCATCCCAACTGCCCATCCTCACCCGAGAGTGCGGGACAGGGGAGCAGGGAGGTGGATGGTGCACAGCCCGGGTATCACCCCAGCCGGTCGCAGGTTTGCAGGCCGCGCGCCCGGCAGCTCCCCGGGGCCCGGTTCCCCGCCCCCCGCGCCGAGGGCTCCCCCAGATCCGGGCGGACGCGGCGGTGGCCAATGAGCGCGCTCGCCGTCTCCGGGAGCTGGGCCGGCTCTGCCCGCCTGGCATTGGGCACGCGGTGGGCAGCGGCGGGCGGGGCCTGGGGGGTCCTCGCGCCTGGTTGGGCCAGGCTTGTTGCTGGGTAACGGGGCGGCGAGTTTCCCCTGGCAACGGCGGCGGGTACCGCTCACTGGCTGGCCGGGAAGGAGGGGGGGCGCGGGCGCAGGCAGGCCCCGCAGACCCCAGCAACAGCGCGCGGCCCCCGCCCCGCCGGGAAGCGGTAACCTTCACACGCGCGCCGGCCGCTCGGACCCTGCGGACGCCCGCGCCCCCGCCCAGCCCCCACCCGGCCCCGGTCCAGCCTCCCGGCCTGCAGGGCCGGCCACACCGAGGGGACCCGGGAGACCCCTTCCCCACCGCGGAAAGCCAGGACTCAGGCCCTGCGGTGAAAAGTTAAGTCCTTCCCAACTCCCTCTCCCCAGGCTGCGAAATCTGCTTGCCCAGAATGGCAGACAAGATCTTGGAGACGAGACGGTTTTAGGTCTGCAGTCAACCAGCTCTATTTTGTCTCACCAGCACTTCACATCCGGCTTACTACCTCCGGGCACTATTCTAAGTATGTTACAAATACGAACTCATTTTATCTTCACAATATTTTTGGTCCTGCCTGTGCAGATCCCTTTTGGACAGTGAGGGAAACTGAGGCACAGAGCGGAGAAGCTGCTTGCTCAAGGTCATCATTTGAACCCATGTCGGAGTTATCGTTCCTCTGTGCTGTGCGCCCGTGGGAGAGGCATTAACACTCAAAATACGAAACTGCACAGAGTCAAGAAAACGCACTCGTGGACGGCCTGCGGACCACTAGTTTGAGACCCCAGCCTCAACATGAGCATCTGTGCAAATAGACACGAACTGTCCTCCTCCCAGAAGTAGACCTGGGCATCCTGACCCCATGAACACAGGGACTTGCTGTCTCTCCCCAAACTGGATTCAGGCATCATGGCTTTTGAACACAGGGCTGATGATCCTTCCCAGAAGAGAATGCAGGCATCTTGGCCCCATAAAAATAGGGGTCCTGGGCCGGGCTCAGTAGCTCACGGCCTGTAATCCCAGAACTTTGGGAGGCCTAGGCCGGTGGATCACCTGGGGTCAGGAGTTCAAGACCAGCCTGGCCAACATGGCTAAACCCTGTCTCTATTAAAAATACAAAAATTAGCCGGGCGTGGTGGTGCACACCTGTAGTCCCAGCTACTCAGGAGGCTGAGGGAGGAGAATCGCTTGAACCTGGGAGGCATAGGTTGCAGTGAGCCAAGATCGCACCACTGCACTCAAGCATGGGTGACAGGGCAAGCAAGACTCCATCTCAAAAAAAAAAAAAAAGTAAAAAAAAAAAAAATTAGCCAGGCATGGTGGCACATGCCTGTAGTCCCAGCTACTCGGGAGGCTGAGGCAGGAGAATCGCTTGAACTGGGAGGAGGCTGAGGCAGGAGAATCGCTTGAACTGGAAGGAGGCTGAGGCAGGAGAATTGGGAGGCATAGGTCGCAGTAAGCTGAGATCATGCCACTCTGCACTCCAGCCTGGGTGACAGAGTGAGACTGCGTCTCAAAAAAAAAAAAAAAAAATAGGGGTCCAGGCCGGGTCCAGTGGTTCATGCCTGTAATCCCAGTACTTTGGGAGGCTGAGGTGGGAGGATCATTTGAGCCCAGGAGTTTAAGACCAGCCTGGGCAAAATGGTGAAACCTCATTTTTACTAAAAATACAAAAATTAGCTGGGCGTGGTGGCACAGGCCTGTAGTCCCAGCTAATCAGGAGGCTGAGGCAGGAGGATCACCAGAGCCTGGGAAGCGGAGGTTGCAGTGAGCCAAGATCACACCGCTGCATTCAAGCGTGGGTGATAGAGTGAGACCCTGTTCTCATAAAAGAGGCGGAGGGGTCCTTAGCTAGAGGTTTCCTTGCTTGGATTCTCAGAGAGTCAACGGACTCCCACACTGGTAATAGTAATGACAAGTAACATATATTAAACATCCATCATGCCCCAGTACTTTTATTGTTTAATTTTTTTTTGTTTATTTATTTATAAAACAGGGTCTTTTTATTTTATTTATTTATTTTTTTGAGACAGAGTCTCGCTCTGTCGCCCAGGCTGGAGTGCAGTGATGGGATCACAGCTGTCTGTGGTCTTGTCCTCCTGGGCTCCAGCCATTCTCCTTCCTCAGCCTCCCAAGTAACTGGGTCCACAGGTGCACACCACCACGCCTGATTATTTTTTAAATTTTTTGTAGAGACAGGGGTCTCACTATGTTGCCTAGGTTGGTCTGGAACTCCTGGGCTCAAGCAATCCTCCTGCCTCAGTTTCTCAGAATGCTGGGATTACAGGCATGAGCCACTGTGTGCCTAGCCCAATGTTTTATTGTTATTCACATTCTGACTGCACATCCTATGAGGTAGGGACCTGTGCTGTCTCAACTCACAGATGAGGAAACTGAGGCACAGAGCTGTGACCACTTCCCCAACATCACCCACAGGTGGCAGAGGGGATTCTAAGTCAGGCCATCTGGACTCACAGCCCACAGTCTTTCATGAGGGCTGCATGCGGGCTTAGGAAACCAAGGCAGGCGAATGGGTTCAGGCCAGGAGTTGGAAACATGCCTGGGTAGGCAACACAGTGAGACCTCATCTCTACAGAAAATTTAAAAATTAGCCAGGTGTGGTGGTGTGCACCTGTAGTCCCAGCTACTCGGGAAACTGAGGTGGGAGAATTGCTTGAGCCTAGGAGGTGGAAGCTGCAGTGAGCTGTGATCATCAGCTGTGATCATGCCACTGCACTCCAGCCTGGGCAACAGAGCAAGACCCTGTCAAAAAAAAAAAAAAAAAAAGAGGCAGCCCTTGACCCACCCACAAACTTCTTTTTCTTTGCCCACAAGGGTTTTGTGTTGTTGTTGTTTTGGGGGTGGGGGTCGGTTTTTTATTTTTGAGGCGGAGTCTTGCTCTGTTGCCCAGGCTGCAGTGCAGTAGCGCGATCTCGGCTCACTACAACCTCCGCCTCCCGGGTTCAATCGATTCTTCTGCCTCAGCCTCCAGAGTAGCTGGGATTACAGGCATGTGCCACCACACCCAGCTAATTTTTGTATTTTTAGTAGAGACGAGGCTTTGCCATGTTGGCCAGGCTGGTGTTTTGTTTTGCTTTTGAGAAAGGGTCTCGCTCTGTCGCCCAAGCTGGAGTGCAATGGTGCGATCACAGCCTACTGCAGCCTCGACCTCACAGGCTCAAGCGTTCCTCCCACCCCAGCCTCCCCAGTTAGGTTTCCGCATGTTGCCCAGGCTGGTCTGGAACTCCTGGGCTCAGGTGATCCACCCATCTCGGCCTTCCGTGATACTGGGATTACAGACGTGAGCCACCACGCCCAGCTGTGGGGAGGATTTTGACTAGTGATAACGCTTATGGCCAAATAGACTCTTGGCCTCTCCCCATCTTTTCTACCTCCAGCCACCAAGCCAGATTCCCACTATCCTTCACACTCATTTTCTTCTCAAAAGAACATTATAGGCCGGTGTGGTGGCTCACACCTGTAATCCCAGCATTTTGGGAGGTCAAGGAGGAACGATTGCTTGAGGTCTGGAATTTGAGACCAGCCTGGGCAACATAGTGAGACCCTGTCTCTACAAACAAACAAACAAATAAAGAACATTCCGGGGCTGGGCATGGTGCCTCATGACCATAATCCAGGCACTTTGGGAGGCCAAGGAGGGAGGATCACTTGAGCCCAGGAGTTTGAGACCAACCTGGGCAACATAATGAGACCCCATCTTTACTAAAAAAAGAAAAGAAAAGAAAAAAGAAGGAGAAGAAGGAGGAGGAGGAGGAGGAGGAAGAAGAAAAAAGAAGAAGGAGGAGGAGGAGGAGAAGAAGAGAACATTCCAGGCTGGGCATAGTGGCTCATACCTGTAATTCCAGCACTTTGGGAGGCTGAGGCAGGTGGATCACCTGAGATCAGTAGTTCGAAACCAGCCTGGTCAACATGGTGAAACCCCGTCTCTACTAAAAATACAAAAAAAATTAGCCAGGCGTGGTGGTAGGTGCCTGTAATCCCAGCTACTCAGGAGGCTGAGGCAGGAGAATCACTTGAACGCAGGAGGTGGTGGTTGCATTGAGCAGACATTGGGCCACCACATTCCATCCTGGGTGACAGAGCGAGACTCCGTCTTAAAAAAAAAAAAAAAAAGAACATTCCAGTACATCTGGCCTCCGAGTATCTACCCTGCAATGGGCAGTCTGGACATTGATCAGTGAGTGAGAGGTGTGAGGTACAGGTGGGACCATGAGCTAGCAGAGGGCTAGAGACTGCCCCTCTCTCAACTTCATCAGTGTCAAGCAACAGGAAATACTGACAATAATTAGTTATACAAGTGATAATAGCTAACACTTATTAGGCACTTACTATATGTCCAATACTGCACTAAATGACTTCCAGTGTGATCTCATTTAATAAGTGTCTAAAGCAGCATTTCTCAAACGTCTTTGAACTCGATCTATGGCCAGAAAAATACCTTCCTTGTAACCTAATATGTATTCACTATACATCAATAAAATTTCCACAAAATATTACTTTCCGTTGACTTCATAATTTTTTAAAATTATATTTTGTTTTGTTTTTTTAAGAGGGAGTCTGGCTCAGCACCCAGGCTGGAGTGCAGTGGTGCAATCTCGGCTCACTGCAACCACCGTCTCCCGGGTTCAAGTGATTCTCCCATCTCAGCCTCCTGAGTAGCTGGGATTACAGGCACCGCAATCATGCCCGGCTAATTTTTGTATTTTTAGTAGAGACGGGGTTTCACCATGTTGGCCAGGCTGGTCTCGAACTCCTGACCTTAGGTGATCCACCCACCTCGACCTCCCAAAGTGCTAGGATTACAGGCGTGAGCCCCTATGCCCGGCCTCAAAATTGTATTTTGTAGTGTGTTTTTTTTTTTGACAGAGTCTTGCTCCGTTGCCCTGTTTGGAGTGCAGTGGCACGATATCTGCTCATTGCAACCTCTGCCTCCTGAGTTCAAGTGATTCTCCCGTCTCAGCCTCCCGAGTAGCTGGGACTACAGGTGTGCGCCACCAATTTTTGGCTAACTTTTATATTTTTGGTAAAGACGGGGCTTCACCCTGTTGGCCAGGCTGGTGTCGAACTCCGGACCTTAAGTGATCCACTCGCCTCGGCCTCTCAAAGTGTTAGGATTACAGGCATGAGCCACCGTGCCCAGCCTGTAGTGTATTTTTGTTGTTGGCGTTTTGAGACGGAGTTTTGCCCTTGTCGCCCAGGCTGGAATGGAATGGCGCGATCTCGGCTCACCGAAACCTCCTTCCCTTGGGTTCAAGCAATTCTTCTGCCTCAAGCTCCCGAGTAGCTGGGATTACAGGCACCCACCACCATGCCCAGCTAATTTCTGTATTTTTAGTAGAGATGGGGTTTTACCATGATGGCCAGGCTAGTCTCAAACTCCTGACCTCAGGTGATCCACGTCCCCCGGCCTCCCAAAGTGCTAGGATTACAGGTGTGAGCCACCATGCCCGGCCTGTGGTGTATTTTTTTTTAACTCTGGTCAAAGCAGTCATGCACACCTATAATCCCAGCTACTAGGGAGGCTGAGGTGGGAGGATCGCTTGAGCGCAGGAGTTTGAAACCAGCCTGGGTAACACAGCCAGAATCTGTCTCAATTAAAACAACAACAAAACCTCTTGTCTAGGTCAGTAAAATTGCAGGTAGAAGTTGTGGTAATACAAAATTGTGTACTTTTATCACCACTTACACACCATACACCTAAAAAGAGTGAATATTCTTGTGTCTAAATACATCTCAGTAAAGCGCAAGTTGGTTGGGATGTGAATGCATCTTACTGAGTAAAATGCATTAAGTCAGCCGGGCATGGTGGTTCACACCTGTAATCCCAGCACTGAGGGAGGCGGAGGCAGGAGGTTTGCTTGAGCCCATAAGGTCAAGACCAGACTGGGCAACATAGCGAGACCGCCCATCTCTACAAAAAAATAAAAATTAGCTGGGCGTGGTGGTTTACACCTGTAGTCCCAGTTACTTGGGAGGCTGAGGCAGGAGGATCTCTGGAGCCCAGGAGTTTGAAGCTGCAAGGCTATTGTACCACAAGGCTATCCATTGTGCCACTACACTCCAATCTGGGCGACAGAGTGAATCTTTTATCTAAAAAAAAAAAAGGCTGGGCCAGGTGCAGTGGCTCACGCCATAATCCCAGCACTTTGGGAGGCCGAGGAGGGCAGATCACGAGGTCAGGAGATCGAGACCATCCTGGCTAACATGGTGAAACACTGTCTCTACTAAAAAATACAAAAAATTAGCCGGGTGTGGTGGCAGACGCCTGTACTCCCTGCTACTGGGGAGGCTGAGGCAGAAAGGCCTGAACCTGGGAGGCGGAGCTTGCAGTTTGCTGAGATCGTGCCACTGCACTCCAGTCTGGGCAACAGAGTGACATTCCGTCTCAAAAAAAAAAAAAAAAAAAAGCTGAGTGCAGTGGCTCACACCTGTAATCCCAGCACTTTGGGAGGCCAAGACAGGCGGATCCCGAGGTCAGGAGTTTGAGACCAGCCTGGCCAATATGGTGAAACCGCATCTCTACCAATAATACAAAAATTAGCTGGGCATAGTGGCGCACACCTGTAGTCCCAGCTACTAGGGAGGCTGAGGCAGAAGACTTGCTTGAACCCAGGAGGCGGAGGTGGCAATGAGCCGAGATCATGCCACTGAACTCCAGCCTGGGCGACAGCGCGAGACTCTGTCTCAAAAAAAAAAAAAAAAGTAAGATCCATGTAAGTGATGTCATATGTCATAATCCATGGTTTACTCATGACCCACAGTTTGGAAAACACCAGGAAGAAGGAAGGGACAATGAATAATCGGGGAAAGCGAAAGAGGAGGGAAAGTGAAAGAGGGAGGAAAGCTGAGGAGTTCCCAATGTTGCAAATGGGGAGATTTCACGTGAGATATAGATTACCTGCATCTCTTGGGGGAGCTAAGAGTGTGTACTTGGAGGCAGTCAAGTTTGAGAAGTCTGACATCCTTACTCAGCCAGCCCCACACTAGGCACTGGAAGGTGAGTCACTCTGGTGAGGCGATTGCGATTGGGTGAGACCCAGTAAGGATGGAAAGTGTAGAGGAGACAGGAATCCACGGCTTTGGAAAAAGGAAGGACAAAACTCACCAAACCAGAGCAGGGCAGGAAGTAACAATGAGAAACTGAAAAAGAAACGGAATGGAAAGCTATGAGACAGGATGAAATTTGGCATGGGGTCTGCCCAGGCATGTCCATGCCAGGTGCCCAGGGCTGCTTCCACGACGTGGGTCCCCTGCCAGATTTGTGGTGAGTGTGGCCAGGTGTGCATGCTCCGACGTGTGTGCAGTGGGCCAGTTAGCAAGAAGCTGTCACAGGTGTGACTTTGTGACATGTGTGGGTGGTCAGTTTCTTCTATGTCTGATTTGGTTTGTGTCTCTGAATGTCAGTTTCTTTCCTTTATTTTTATTTTTAAGACGGAGTTTGCTCTTGTTGCCCAGGCTAGAGTGCAATGGCACTATCTCGGCTCACTGCAACCTCCGCCTCCCGGGTTCAAGCAGTTCTCCTGCCTCAGCCTCCCAAGTAGCTGGGATTACAGGCATGCGCCACAACGCCCGGCTAATTTTGTATTTTTAGTAGAGATGGGGTTTCATCATGTTGGTCAGGCTGGTCTCGAATTCCTGACCTCAGGCAGTCCACGCACCTTGGCCTCCCAAAGTGCTGGGATTACAGGCATGAGCCACCGTGTCGGGCGAATGTCACTTTCTGATAGTTTTAATGTGTTAGCTGTGAAATTGTGTGAGTGCATTTGTGTATGTCCCTGTGGGAGTGTGATTTGGATTTGGCCGTGTATCCAGGTATCCCTGTAACAGGTGTCTGTGTGTATGTGTGTGTCCCCTGTGCCTATCAGCAAGTTTGTGTTTCCTGATAAGCACTCCGCCTATGTCTGTGTGGTTGCACCACCGTGTGTGTGGTGTGGGTGCCTGTTCGGTAGGGTTGTTTGTGAACACAGTTTGTGGGCCCAGGTGTGATCATCAGTGTGGGTGTTTCTGCAACTGTGTGTGGCCCTGTCATTGTGTCCGTCTGCTTGTCCAGGGGACCCTGTTAGTGAGTCTGTGCATTTCCGTCTGGGTGTGTGTAAGTGTGAGCCCCATCAGTATGTGAGTGTGTGTGCTCATGCCCCTGTCCATGGTGTGGATTTGCGAGACTGTGGCCTTGTGTCTGTGAGTACATCCTCTGGGCTCTGCCTGCACGTGACTTTGTGGACCCTGGAACGCCCGTCGGTCGGTCTGTGTACGCATCGCTGGGGGTGTGGATCTGTGGGTCCCAGTCAGTGTGTGTGTCCGACTGTCCCGGTGTCTGGGCGATCTCCCCACACCCCGCCGCACAGCGCCTGGGTCCTCCTTGCCTTGGGCTAGGCCCTGCCCCGTCCCCCGCTGCAGGGAAACCCCCGGCGCGGAGGTAGGGGGGGGCGCGGCGCGCGCCTGCAAGTCCTGACTTGTCCGCGGCGGGCGGGCGGGGCCGTAGCGTCACGCGGGGGCGGGGCGTGGGACCCGCCGGGCGGGGGCGGGGCGGGGCGGGGCGGGGCGGCTTTGGAGCGGGCCCGGGATCCGCCGGGCGGCCTGAGACGCGGCGCGAGCCACATGCGAGCGGGCGCCTGGCGGCGGCGGCGGCGGCACCAGCGATCCCAGCAGCGGCCACGACGCGGACGCGCCTGCGGCCCGGGGAGCAGCAGCAGCCACAGCCACAGCAGCCGCCACTGCAGTTAGAGCGGCAGCAGCAGCGACAGCCACAGCAGCAGCCGCCGCGGAGAGCGGCGCTCGGCGGGCGCGCCCTCCTGAAGGAAGCCGCCCGCCCCCCACCGCCGCCCCCTCCGGCGTGTTCATGCCCCCGGGGTGAGTGTGCGCGCCCCGAATCCTCTCCGGCGGCGATCGGCCAGGCCGGGTGGACTCCCTGGAGGAGGTGACAGGAGTGCAGGCGGAGAGCAGTGTGGGCGCCCTGCCTCCCCACACCGCGCCTCTCCAAACCCCGCGAGGGACCCTGGGCCAGGGTCGCCGGGTGAGAGGCGGCTCGGCGTTGGGGCGCCGGTCTGGGCGCACAGGTGCCTCGGCGGTCTGGCGGGTTTGTTTACAAACAATGGGGTGCGGGCTCGGCAGCGCCCCCTGGCGGCCAGTGCGGCCCCGGGGAAGAGGGTCGACCCCAGGGGTGCCCCAGCCCCCAAAGTCCGGGAGGGGCGGGGGGGCGGCACGGAGGGGCGGCCACACCCAGGGCGCGCGCCCGCTGGGGGCGGCGACGGGGGGCGGCTCGCGGGCCGTGGAGTCTGCGGCTCCTGCGGGCGGGGGCTGCGCCCCAGCAACAGCCGGTTATTGGCCCCGCGCTCGCCTGGCGGGCGGGGCGGGCGCACGTGGCGGCGGTGGGGGGGGCTGTGACAGCGGAGGGGGGTGTCTGGGACCGCCGTGGGAGCGCGCGTGTGCGGGGTTGTGGATCTGCAGGTGTCTCGCCTGGGTGTGTGCGCGTGTCTGGCTCCGAGTTTGTGCTGGGTTCTGCAGGGAGTGGTGGTGTCGATCCAGAGGAATGTTGGGGTTTCTGACCCGTCGGGGTGTCTGCGTGAGTCCCCGCGCCTGTTTGTGTGGGGTTCTGTCTGTGGGTGCCCTGCTTGTGGGGTGGGTGGACCTGCGTGTGTTGTCGGTGAGAGTTGTCTGTGTGTGCTGTTCCGGGATGATACTGGGGGTCTGTGGTGCCTGCGTGTGCTGGGGTGTGGAGGTTGTAGTGTGTGTGTGTTGCTGGAGTGAGCTGTTTGTGTGTTTATGTGTGTGTCTTGCCCGAGCGTGCGATATGTGTGCTTGTGTCTTGCCTGTGTGTTTCTGTCTTGGCTGAGGCCGTCTCTGTATCTCCGGGGCATGTGTCTTTTGCCCAGCGTTTGTGATGCTGCGCCTGCTAAATGCAAATGTCTGTTTTCTGTCCAGGTGTCTGTGTGAGTTGTCAGGTGTGAGTGTGTGTGTGTATGTATGTGTGTGGTGGGGGGTTGTTTCAGTCTGGGTTTGGCTTGTGTGTCTGGCATCAGCGTCTGGGATTTGAGGACCCAGGATCTGTGGGGTCTATGCAGTGTAGACGGTGGGTGTTGCTGGCAGCCTCTGGATGGGGTTGTGTCTGAGCCTGTGTGTGTGTGTGTGTGTTGGGTCTGAGGGGCTTGTCACTGTGATCGGCTGGCTCATGTGTGTCATGTGGGCTGCGTGTGTGTAGTGTTTATGTCAGTCACGTGAGACCAGTGTTTTCTGTGGGTGCGCTAGGTGTGTGTGCTGCTGGGCTGTGTGGGATTAGAGTTAGCTGTAGGGTGTGTGTGTGTGTGTGTTGCTGACAGTTGGTGATGATGTTTGAGGGTTGCGTGAGGAGGGTGGGTTGGTGTCTGGTGGTGTGTTGAGGTCTGATGGCATGTGTCTGTGTGTGCCTGATCTACGTGTGTCCTGAGAGTTGGTGACATGTGGGTGTGTTTTGGGGGTGTTGATGTATGTGTGTCCGTGGGTGTCTGTTTTGTGTTGATATGTGAGTCCAGAGGTGTGCAGGTCTTATCTCTGGAGTGAGTGTGTGTGTGTGGAGAGGGGCATGTTTGGGAACTGAGGCAGTGCCTAGCTTGTGTGTGTGTGTTTGTGTTTGCAAAGGCTGCATTGTGTTTGCATGTGCCCCTGGGCATATCAACAGTGGGTCAGTGTGTGAGACTTTGACAGTTTGGATGTGTGGGGATGGATTGTGCCAGCCAGTGTGCGCAGTATGTAGAGTGCTTGTGATGGTCTGTCTGGATGCTCCTGCTTTGGTCGGGGGTGTGTGTGTATTGTGTGTACTGAGTAGTGATGTCCGAGACTGGGGCCATCTCAGTGTTTGTGTGCAAGTGGGAGGTGGGGTGGGCGGTCAGGCTGGCCAGTCCCGTGTGAGTCCTTGTGTGTGTGCTGTGGGGGCCTCGCTGTGCCTCACTGCCCTCCCTGTGTGCCCGTCGCTGTGTTGGGAAAGTTGTCCCCACCAGCCCATGCTGTGAGTCCCAAGTGGAGTGAGTTTGTGTTGTGGGACTGTCACAGCCCTCATACACACACCTGCTAGACCCCTCCATCCGTCCTGTGTGAGCCCTGTCCTTGCTGTGAGAGCCGTCCTGTGCCCCCTGTCCCTCCTGTGTGCCCATCACCGTATGCACGGGAGGCTCTCCAGGCCAGCCAGGACCCGGTGGTGTCATCCCCCGGCTGGGCGTGTCTCTGTGGGGCCGTCACCCCCTCCGCATGCACACACACCTCCACTCTTCTCCATCTGGGTCCTAACCCCGGGTAGGCTGGAGGTACAGTGGGCCCTGGTACTTCCCTGCTGACCTGCTCCTCCTCCCGTGTCCCGCAGGCCCCAGGGAGCGCCATGGCCCGCGCACGCCAGGAGGGCAGCTCCCCGGAGCCCGTAGAGGGCCTGGCCCGCGACGGCCCGCGCCCCTTCCCGCTCGGCCGCCTGGTGCCCTCGGCAGTGTCCTGCGGCCTCTGCGAGCCCGGCCTGGCTGCCGCCCCCGCCGCCCCCACCCTGCTGCCCGCTGCCTACCTCTGCGCCCCCACCGCCCCACCCGCCGTCACCGCCGCCCTGGGGGGTTCCCGCTGGCCTGGGGGTCCCCGCAGCCGGCCCCGAGGCCCGCGCCCGGACGGTGAGTGCCCGCCCCGCCCCCGGGGTGATAGGAGCCGGGAAGAGAGAGGGCTGGAGACTCGGAGGAACTGGAGAAGTGGGAGAGGACGGGGGGAGGTGGCGGGCCCAGCCGGGCCACTGGGAGGGTGTGGCCAATGTGGTCTTTGTGTTGCAAGAAGCAGGAAGACGGAGGCTGGGGGTGGAGGGGGAGGTCAAGTGGGAAGTCCCTCCTGGAATCTGACTGCAGTCCCCGAATTGCAGCCCACTGTCTCTTCCGGGCCTGGGGCAACAGCTGCATCCCAGCTCCCCTCCCCCAGTCTGGGTCCTCTAGACCCCCTGGAGGATTCCTGTTGCAGGGAGAGTGGGCCGAGCGGGAGGACTGTCAACTCTGGCCTCTGGGGAGGGGTCGAGAGGCCTTTTGCTTTTATTTGCATCTCTTTGGCCAGGGGCTGTCCTCAGCAGTCCCGGCGGAGGAAGGAGAGGGGGAGGGGCCATTGTGTTGGGAAGTCCCCTCGGGGAGGTGGGGGAGTCTTGGGGAGGGAAGGGTTAAAGGTCCCCTGCCTGATGGGCTGTTAACCCTGTGGTGCCCGTGGAGCCCCATCCCTGCCGGCAGGCGCTCTAGGGAAAGTGTGTCCTGGTTTCCCATCCCCCATCTTGTCCCGGCAGCCCAAGGGGAGCGAGGAAAGAGAAAACTTCCCTAACTCAGTTCCTGGAAGCCCTGGAAGGGGACACCGATTTCAAGGCCAAGGTCACAGATGTGGAAACTGAGGCCCTGGCTGTAGGCCTTAGGGAACCCTCAGGCCAGGACCTGGTGGGACGGGAGGGCAGGAGCCTCCTAGGGCGCTCAGAAGTGGGGGGGGGGGGGGGGCAGGAAGGCATCTCCCGCGTCCCAGCCCCCCAGGCCCGCGCTCTGAAGCTGCCACAGTCTCTGGCCTTCTGGTCTCTAGGCCTCTGCCACATCCGGAGGTGTGGCTTCCCTGTGGTTGGACACGAGAGGGCAGGAGACCTGAGGCTTGTGATCTGGGTGGGGTCAGTCACTGTATCCCTGTGTGACCTTGGGATACTCCCTAAGGGCGGGCCTCAGTTTCCCTGCCTGTCACATGGAAAAGGCAAAATGTGGCCCCTTTGGAAAATAGAGGTCGTTAAGCCTGACCACCCCCGGGGTCACCTCTCTGGCCGTCTACCTTCCACACTGACAAGGGCCGTGGGGACGTAGCTGGCCAGACAGGTGACCCCAGAGCGGCGTCCCCAGGTACTTCTTGCTTTCTGGTGCCTGTGGAGGAGAAGCTGAGAAATTGACTCACTAGCGATGGGATCACTAGAAATGAGGCGGGGAGCAGTGGCTGGGAAAGAGGGGAGCAGGCCGAGACACCTCGAGGCCTGGAGGGGTGGTGGGTGCTGACCGCGCCCCTCTGCCTCTCCAAGGTCCTCAGCCCTCGCTCTCGCTGGCGGAGCAGCACCTGGAGTCGCCCGTGCCCAGCGCCCCGGGGGCTCTGGCGGGCGGTCCCACCCAGGCGGCCCCGGGAGTCCGCGGGGAGGAGGAACAGTGGGCCCGGGAGATCGGGGCCCAGCTGCGGCGGATGGCGGACGACCTCAACGCACAGTACGAGCGGCGGGTGAGTGCTGGGGGTGGGGTAGACGGCAGGTGGGACTTCCGCCGGAGGAGGGGGCGGCAGGCGGCCCCCGCCAGATGTGCGGCAGCTGCTGCCCTGCGCGGCTGGGTCGCTCCGCGGACAGGCAGGTGGGGGGTAAGTGGGTGGGGGGGAATCGCGCGCCCGCAGAGCCGCCCAAGGACTCCGCGCCGCGGCTGGCATAGCCGGAGCCCGAGCCAGGGCCAGGGCCAGGGCCAGGGACTAGGCCGCCGAGGAGTGGAGCTGCGCGCCCGTGGCCCGCGGCCGCGGGGACTGAGGGCGGCGCTGGGCGGCGCGGCTCATATATCCCGGGCTATTTATAGCCGGTGAGTCAGCAGCCGCGCCGCGCCCGCCCCCTGCCGTCCCTCTCGCGCGGCCCGCAGCGCCACACAGTTTCCCGGGCGCCGGGGCGGGCCGGGGACCGCAGGGGTGGGCTCGCAGCCCCGCCCCGCGGGAGGCCCCGCCCCCCAGCCCCTGGCACGGCCTCGATTTTTTAAAACAAATATTCGAAGCCCACAGCAGAGAATGGGAAATCACAAACATCATGCGCCCACCAGGCAGCTCTGTTCAGTTTGAACATTACACCCGCATTGCTTGCTTATTAAGAAACCAAACAAAACCGCAGAAACGCATGTGGTGAAGCTCCTTACTCTCCCCATCCCTTCCCCCTCCTTGCATCCAAAGGAAATCTCTCGAGTTGGCCTCTCTCAACCCCTGCAGGTGTTGCTTTTACTCCGTATTTACCAGGCCAGAACCAGGGCTTAGAATCATGGAGCATTCTTAGCTTAGCGTATATGACATAGTTTTTGTTTCTCCCCAGAATTCCTTTTTCCCTCAATATTAGGCTTCAGATTCACCATATGGGCAAAAGAGCTTCCATTCATCTATGTTCAGCCAGGCACGGTGGCTCACTCCTGTAATCCCAGCACTTTGGGAGGCGGAGATAGAAGGACGCTTGAGCCCAGGAGTTCCAGACCAGCCTGGGCCACATAATGAGATCCCCGTTGCTACAAAAAATACAAAAATTAGCCGGGTGTGGTGGCGCGGGCCTGTAGTCTCAGCTACTTGGGAGGCTGAGGTGAAAGGGTCCCTTGAGCCAAGGAAGTCGAGGCTGCACTGAGCCATGAAGGGTCACTGAACTCCAGCCTGGGGGACAGAGCAAGACCATCTCAAAAAAGAAACAACAAATACAGCCATTTTCGGCCTGGTGCAGTGGCCCACGCCTGTAATCCCAGCCCTTTGGGAGGCGGAGGCAAGTGGCTCACTTGAGGTTGGGAGTTTGAGACCAGTCTGGCCAACATGGTGAAACCTCGTCTCTACTAAAAATACAAAAATTAAGGCCGGGCGTGGTGGCTCATGCCTGTAATCCCAGCACTTTGGGAGGCTGAGGAGGGCGGATCACCTGAGGTCGGGAGTTCGAGACAAGCCTGACCAACATGAACAAACCCCGTCTCTACTAAAAATACAAAATTAGCCAGGCGTGGTGGCACATGCCTGTAATCTCAGCTACTCGGGAGGCTGAGGCAGGATAATTGCTTGAAACCGGGAGGCAGAGGTTGCGGTGAGCCGAGATCGTGCCATTGCACTCCAGCCTGGGCAACAACAGCGAAAATCTGTCTCAAAAAAAAAAAAAGAAACAAAAAGTAGCTGAGCATGGTGGCACACGCCAGTAATCCCAGCTACTTGGGAGACTGAGGCAGGAGAATCTCTTGAACCCAGGAGGTGGAGGTTGCAGTGAGCCGAGATCAGGAGATCATGCCACTGCACTCCAGCCTGGAGGACAGAATGAAACTCTGTCTCAAAAAAAAAAAAAAAAAAAGTCATTTTCACTGCTACATAGTATTCTGTTGGATAAACATAGTATCCTTATTCATTTTCTCATTGATGGATATTTAGGATAGATATGTATTTTTATTTTATGTTTAGAGACAGGGTCTCACTGTCTCCCAGGCTGGAGTGCCGTGGTTCAATCACAGCTCCCTGCAGCCTCCAACTCCTGGGTTTAAGGGATCCTCCCGCCTCAGCCTCCCAAGTAGCTGGGACCACAGGCAGATCCACCATGCCTGGCTAATTTTTATTTTATTTTTTTGTAGAGATCAGGTCTTTCTGTGTTACCCAGGCTGGTCTCAAACTCCTGGCCTCAAGTGATCCTCCTGCCTTGGCCTCCCAAATTGCTGGAATTATGGGTCTGAGCTACCTCACCCAGACTATTTTTAAATGTATTTCAGATTTTATTTTATTTATTTATTTTTTGAGACAGAGTTTCGCTCTTGTTGCCCAGGTTGGAGTGCAATGGTGCAATCTCGGCCCATTGCAACCTTCACCTCCCGGGTTCAAGTGATTCTCCTGCCTCAGCCTCCCAAGTAGCTGAGATTACAGATGCCTGCCACCATGCCCAGCTAATTTTTGTATTTTTAGTAGAGACGGGGTTTCACTATGTTGACCAGGCTGATCTTGAATTCCCGACCTCAGGTGATCCACCCACCTCGGCCTCCCAAAGTGCTGGGATTACAGGTGTAAGCCACTGCGCCCGGCCATTATTTATTGCCTTTTTTCCTCTCCCAATCATGCATATTTCCGGGTGCGCTCTTGTGTTTCTAGAGTAGGTACCTGGGTGGTCTGCCCACCATCCACCTTACTAGGTGATTGCTAGCTTTCTCACCAGGTGGCACCCACAGCAGTGTGACAGTGGTGGGTTTTGTAACTTACACCAATCCGATGTGCCCCCTTTGCCACCATCTCCTGGCCCCAAGAGTTGCTAGGGAGTGTTGAGGAGGCTGGGCTGGTACCAGGCGACTCACTACCAGGTAGCATGAGGACGATGAGGATCATTTAACCTTCTGTAAAGTGAGTTTCTCCTTCCCCTGCACCTGAAGGGAAGGAGGTTAGGTGGTCCCCACTTAGCACAGAGCCTGCCTGTGGAGCTACAGGGAGTGGCAGAGGATTGCAGCTCTCTGTACACTTAAAAAAAATTTTTTTTTTGACACGGAGTCTTGCTCTGTTGCCCAGGCTGGAGTGCAGTGGTGCAATCTCGGCTCACTGCAACCTCCGCCTCCCGGGTTCAAGCGATTCTCCTGCCTTGGCCTCCCTAGTAGCTGGGAATACAGGTGTGTGCCACCAGGCCCAGCTAATTTTTGTTGTTTTAGTAGAGACGGGGTTTCCCCATGGTGGCCAGGCTGGTCTTGAACTCCTGACCTCAGGTGATCCACCTGCCTTGGCCTCCCAAAGTGCTGGGATTACAGGCGTGAGCCACCTTGCCCAGCCATTTTTTTTTTTTTGAGATGGAGTCTCGCTCTGTCACCCAGGCTGGAGTGCAGTGGCGCCATCTCGGCTCACTGCAAGCTCCACCTACCGGGTTCACGCCATTCTCCTGCCTCAGCCTCCGGAGTAGCTGGGACTACAGGCGCCCGCCACCACACCCGGCTAATTTTTTTGTATTTTTAGTAGAGATGGGGTTTCACTGTGTTAGCCAGGATGATCTCGATCTCCTGACCTCATAATCCGCCCGCCTCGGCCTCCCAAGGTGCTGGGATTACAGGCGTGAGCCACCGCACCCGGCCTGTATTTTTTTTTTTTTTTTTTTTTGAGACAGAGTTTTGCTCTTGCCCAGGCTGGAGTGCAATGGCACGATCTCGGCTCACCGCAACCTCCACTTCCCAGGTTCAAGCGATTCTCCTGCCTCAGCCTTCCCAAGTAGCTGGGATTACAGACATGTGCCACCAAGTCCGGCTAATTTTGTATTTTTAGTAGAGATGGGGTTTCTCCATGTAGGTCAGGCTGGTCTCAAACTCCCGACCTCAGGTGATCCGCCTACCTCGGCCTCCCAAAGTGCTGAGATTACAGGCGTGAGCCACCGCGCCCGGCCTGTATTTTTAATAGAGACGGGGTTCTACCATGTTGGCCACACTGGTCTCAAACTCCTGACCTCAGGTGATCCTCCCGCCTTGGCCTCTCAAAGTGCTGGGATTACAGCTATAAGTCACTGCGCCGGGCCTCTGTACTCTTTTTAGTATTGCCTTTAATTTTTACCAGTCGGGAGCCTTTCCTAGGACCTAGCCTCCTGCCTGCCCACTTCCTAGGATGTTGGAGCTGAGAGGGTCCTAGAGACCACCTTGTTTTCATCCTGCCACTGGAGAGGGGGCAGGGGTTTCACTCGGCGTTGCCTAGAGGTGCTTCTGTTGAAGCCTCTGCAATGGGGGGGGCTCTTCCCAGTTCTCCTCCTTCCACAGATTGTTCTAGAACTGCCAAGACTGTGGGCACCCTGCTCCTTTCTCCTCATCTTGCCAGCCCTGTAGGGAGGGGCAGGATAGGTTGCAGTCCATCCTTCAGCCCCTTGGGGGATGTCTTTCTCAAATGTACAACAGAGACGGGGCAGTCACAGCTAATGTGCCACGCACTCGCTTGGTGCCCAGCTCTCTGCTGAAGGCATTCCGTGTTTGTCCTCTGCCTCCAGGTCTCATGTCCTGGATGAGGATGTGACCTCCGAGACATGGACATTAGCCCAGGCGGGGGGAGGAGCTGGAATAGGGTGGGCGAGACTGTCGCCTCGCTGCCCCTGGAGCTGACCATCCCCACTCCCATCACCATACTCAGTCCCCTGCTAACTGCCCCTTCTCTCTCTTTTCCCCAGAGACAAGAGGAGCAGCAGCGGCACCGCCCCTCACCCTGGAGGGTCCTGTACAATCTCATCATGGGACTCCTGCCCTTACCCAGGGGCCACAGAGCCCCCGAGATGGAGCCCAATTAGGTGCCTGCACCCGCCCGGTGGACGTCAGGGACTCGGGGGGCAGGCCCCTCCCACCTCCTGACACCCTGGCCAGCGCGGGGGACTTTCTCTGCACCATGTAGCATACTGGACTCCCAGCCCTGCCTGTCCCGGGGGCGGGCCGGGGCAGCCACTCCAGCCCCAGCCCAGCCTGGGGTGCACTGACGGAGATGCGGACTCCTGGGTCCCTGGCCAAGAAGCCAGGAGAGGGACGGCTGATGGACTCAGCATCGGAAGGTGGCGGTGACCGAGGGGGTGGGGACTGAGCCGCCCGCCTCTGCCGCCCACCACCATCTCAGGAAAGGCTGTTGTGCTGGTGCCCGTTCCAGCTGCAGGGGTGACACTGGGAGGGGGGGGCTCTCCTCTCGGTGCTCCTTCACTCTGGGCCTGGCCTCAGGCCCCTGGTGCTTCCCCCCCTCCTCCTGGGAGGGGGCCCGTGAAGAGCAAATGAGCCAAACGTGACCACTAGCCTCCTGGAGCCAGAGAGTGGGGCTCGTTTGCCGGTTGCTCCAGCCCGGCGCCCAGCCATCTTCCCTGAGCCAGCCGGCGGGTGGTGGGCATGCCTGCCTCACCTTCATCAGGGGGTGGCCAGGAGGGGCCCAGACTGTGAATCCTGTGCTCTGCCCGTGACCGCCCCCCGCCCCATCAATCCCATTGCATAGGTTTAGAGAGAGCACGTGTGACCACTGGCATTCATTTGGGGGGTGGGAGATTTTGGCTGAAGCCGCCCCAGCCTTAGTCCCCAGGGCCAAGCGCTGGGGGGAAGACGGGGAGTCAGGGAGGGGGGGAAATCTCGGAAGAGGGAGGAGTCTGGGAGTGGGGAGGGATGGCCCAGCCTGTAAGATACTGTATATGCGCTGCTGTAGATACCGGAATGAATTTTCTGTACATGTTTGGTTAATTTTTTTTGTACATGATTTTTGTATGTTTCCTTTTCAATAAAATCAGATTGGAACAGTGGATACTCTTTCTGCTTGCCTTCCCTGCAGCCTGGCCTTGGAGAGGCTTCTGATCGGGGGCTCTGCTCTGTGAGCCCTGCTTGTGAGTGGGTGGGAGAGGTGGGCCCTGGCAGTTGTGGCTCCATCAGAAGAAAGGCTAAGGGGCCTGGGCTTCTCCAGACCGGGACGCTCCTAGCCTTCATCATCCCCATTCCCGGTAAAAGTGAAGCTTGGCCTGGTGCCATGGCTCATGCCTGTAATCCCAGCACTTTGAGAGGCCGAGGTGGGTAGATCTCTTGAACCCAGGAGTTCAAGACCATCCTGGGCAACACGATGAAACTCCGTCTCTACAAAAATAAAAAAATAAAAAAAATTAGCCAGGCATGGTGGTGTGTGTCTGTAGTCCCAGCTACTCAGGAGGCTGAGGCAGGAGGATCACTTGAGCCCAGGAATTGGAGGCTGCAGTGAGCGATGATCAAGCCACTGCACTCAAGCTTGGGTGACAGGGTGAGACCCTGTCTCAAAAACAAAATAAAAAGTGAAGTCCCCATGAGGTGTTGTAGGGGCGCTTGATATTTAATGGATGAGTGAATGACCCGTAACATATTCAGAGGCACCACTGTGACAAGTGCTTGGGATAGAGTCATGAGACAGACCTCGTTTCTGCCGTCACAGAGACAGAAAGGGACATCTGGCCTTGCACTGTGATCAGCCGTAGGCTGCCTCTCCAGCTGGAGGAGCACCTGGAGCTAAGATCACAGTGAGTCTCCGCACACTGCCCTGAGGCCTAACCAGGCTGGTCATAAGCGGCTGTGTTGAGTAAATGTAGAAAGGGTTGCTCCTACTGCCATCTTCTGCAAACAGGGCCATGGCCACACACTGCCCTTGAGCCCTTTCCCTGTGCTGATACCTGACTGGCAGAGACCTCAATGAGAAGCAGGGAGGTAGGCAGATCACCTGAGGTCAGGAGATCGAGACGAGCCTGACCAACATGGCGAAACCCCGTCTCTACTAAAAATACAAAAATTAGCTGAGCGTGGTAGCGAGTGTCTGTAATCCCAGCTACTGAAGAGGCTGAAGCAGGAGAATTGCTTGAACCTAGGAGATAAAGGTTACAGCGAGCCAAGATCCTGCCATTGCATTCTAGCCTAGGTGACAGAGCAAGACCCTGTCTGGAAGGAAGGAAGGAAGGGCATAATCCCAACACTTTGGGAGGCCAAGGTGGGCGAATCACCTGAGATCAGGAGTTCGAGACCAGCTTGGCCAACATGGTGAAACCCTGTCTCTACTAAAAATACAAAAATTAGCCAGGTGTGGCGATGCAAGCCTGTAGTCCCAACTACTCGAGAGGCTGAGACAGGAGAATCCCTTGAACCCGGGAGGCAGAGGTTGCAAGTGAGCCGAGATTGCACCACTGTACGCCAGCCTGGGCGACAGAGGGAGACTGTCTCCAGAAAAAAAAAAAAAAGGAAAGAAAGAGAAAGAAGCAAGGTATAGGCCAGGTGTGGTGGCTCACACCTGTAATCCCAGCACTTTGGGAGGCCGAGGCGGGTGGATCATGAGGTCAGGAGATCGAGACCATCATGGCTAACAAGGTGAAACCCCGTCTCTACTAAAAATACAAAAAATTAGCCGGGCGCGGTGGCGGGCGCCTGTAGTCCCAGCTACTCGGGAGGCTGAGGCAGGAGAATGGCGTGAACCTGGGAAGCGGAGCTTGCAGTGAGCCGAGATTGCGCCACTGCAGTCCGCAGTCCGGCCTGGGCGACAGAGCGAGACTCCGTCTCAAAAAAAAAAAAAAAGAACAGCCTAGAAACATAGCAAGACTCCATCTCCACACACACAAAAATAATTTTTTTAATTCGCTGGGCATGGTGGCACATGCCTATAGTACCCACTACTCAGGAGGATGAGGCAGGGGGATCATAGCTTGAGCCCAGGAGTTGGAAGCTACAGTGAACTATGATCATGCCACTGCACTCCAGGGCAACAGAGGGGGACTCTGAAGCAGGGTATATAATTATATAATATTTACAGACACAGGGTCAGTCCCAGCTCCACCCTTTCCCAACTGTCCTTGCTGCTAAAGGGACACTAGGGGAAATGGCCCATCTGGATGGCCAGGGTGTGGTAACTGGCAACAATCACTTTGGAGAAGCATTTGATAAAACCGTGTGTTGGGATACGAATGTGTCCCCCAAAGTTCTTGGGTTGGAAATTTAACCTGCAGTGCTACAGATTTTAGAAGTGAGACATTTAAGAGATAATTACGTCACCAGGGCTCTGCTCTCAGAAATGCACTAATGCCATGACCATGGAAGTGAGTGAGTTTTCACGGGAATGGATTCCTTATAAAGAATGAGTTCACCCCTCTGTCTCAGATGAGATGCCTTCCGCTATGTTACAAGGAAGCCGGAAGGCCCTCACCAAATACCAGCCCCACCATCTGGGACTTTTCAACCTTCAGATTTGTGAGCCCATAGATTTCTCTTTTTTTTTTTTTTTTTTTTTTTGAGAGGGAGTCTCGCTCTGTCTCCCACAGAATCTCACTCTGTCTCGCAAGCTGGAGTGCAGTGGCACAATCTCAGTTCACTGCATCCTCTGCATCCTGGGTTCAAGCGATTCTCCTGCCTCAGCTTCTCTAGTAGCTGGGATTACAAGCATGCCCCAACATGCCGGGCTAATTTTTTGTAGAAATGGGGTTTCACCATGTTGGCCAGGCTGGTCTTGAACTACTGATCTCAAGTGATCCACCTGCCTTGGCCTCTCAAAAGGCTGGGATTACAGGTGTGAGCCAGCGCGCCCAGACAGATTTCTGTTCATTACACGTTTCCTAGTCTGTGCAATTCCGTTACAGCAAGACAAAACAGACTAAGACATGGTGTCAAGATGAGAATGCACATACCTTGTGGCAGCAATAGCTTTTGTGGGCGTCCCCCTTAGAGGAACACGGGTGCATACAAGTATCCAAGTACTGGCAATGCACAAAACCATCTAAGTATCCAACAGCAGTTGGTAGGGTAAATAGTCCCATGTGGTGGCCAGGCCAGGTGGCTCACACCTGTAATCCCAAAATTTTGGGAGCCCGAGGTCAGGAGTTTGAGACCAGCCTGGCCAACATAGTGAAACCCCATCTCTACTAAAAATACAAAAATTAGCCAGGCGTGGTGGCATGCGCCTGTAGTCCCAGCTACTCAGGAGGCTGAGGCAGGAGAATCGCTTGAACCCGGCAGGTGGAGGTTGTAGTGAGCAGAGATTGTGCTACTGCACTCCAGCCTGGGCTACAGAGTGAGACTCCGTCTCAAAAAAAACAAAAAAACAAAAACAAAAAAAACAATAAAAATACGGCCGGGCAGCCAGGCGCAGTGGCTCATGCCTGTAATCCCAGTACTTTGGGAGGCCAAGGCAGGCGGATCATGAGGTCAGCAGTTCGAGACCAGCCTGACCAACACGGTGAAACCCCAGCTCTACTAAAAATACAAAAATTAACCAGGCATAGTGGCAGGCACCTGTAATCCCAGCTACTTGGGAGGCTTAGGGAGGAGAATCGCTGGAACCCAGGAGGTGGAGGTTGCAGTGAGCCGAGACCGTGCCATAGCACTCCAGCCTGGGTGACAGAGCGAGACTCCATCTCAAAAAAAAAAAAAAAAAAAAGAAGAAAGATCGGCCGGGCGCAGTGGCTCACGCCTATAATACCAGCACTTTGGGAGACCGAGGCACGTGGAACACTTGAGGTCAGGAGTTCAAGACCAGCCTGGCCAACATGGTGAAACCCCATCTCTATTAAAAATACAAAAATTACCCAGGAGTGGTGGCAAGCACCTGTAATCCTAGCTACTCGGGAGGCTGAGGCAGGAGAATCGCTTGAACCCAGGAGGCAGAGTCTGCAGTGAGCCGAGATCATGCCATTGCACTCCAGCCTGGGCAACAAGAGCAAAATTCCGTCTTAAAAATAAATAGGGCCAGGTGTGGTGGCTCCCGCCTGTAATTCCAGCACTTTGGGAGGCCGAGGCAGGCGGATCACGAGGTCAGGAGATTGAGACCGTCCTGGCTAACATGGTGAAACCCCATCTCCATTAAAAATACAAAAAATTACCTGGGGGTGGTGGCGGGCACCTGTAGTCCCAGCTACTTGGGAGGCTGAGGCAAGAGAATGGTGTGAACCCGGGAGGTGGAGCTTACAGTGAGCTGAGATTGTGCCACTGCGCTCCAGCCTGGGCGACAGAGTGAGACGCAAAAAGAATAAAAAATAAATAAATAATAAATAAATACAACAATTGGCCGGTGTGGTAGTGGGCACCTGTAACCCCAGCTACTTGGGAGGGTAAAGCAGGAGAATTGCTTGAACCCGGGAGGTGGAGGTTGCAGTGAGCCAAGACCACGCCACTGCACTCCAGCTTGGGCAACAGAGCAAGACTCTGTCTCAAAAAAAAAACAAAAAACTTTTTTTGTCCGATGTAATCACACAACAGAATAGTATACATCCATTAGCGGGAATGAACTAGAGCTTTACCAACATGAAGAAAAATGACAGATAATGATGAATAAAAACTGCAAGTGGCAAAATAGTGGGTACATGGGTATTTATTAGAACATTTAGCTGAGTGAGGTGGCTCCCGCCTGTAATCCCAGCACTTTGGGAGGCTGAGGTGGGTGGATCACTTAAGGTCAGGAGTTCAAGACCAGCCTGATCAACATGGTGAAACTTTGTCTCTACCAAAAATATAAAAATTCGCTGGCATGGTGGTGGGAGCCTATAACCTCAGCTACTTGCTGGGAGGTGGAGGTTGCAGTGAGCCGAGATCGCGCTACTGCACTCTAGCCTGGGTGACAGAGTGAGACTCTGTCTCAAAAAAAAAAAAAAAAAAAAAAATTAATCAAATACTTCAAGAGAAGGCAGGAAAGGAGAAACAGGGGAACAAAAGTGGGACAAATGGAAAGCAAATGGTAGACCTAAATTCAACCATGTTAATAATTCTAAGACATATTATGAGAAAGGGGAGCCAGTTATGGGAAGGTGTCTCATCCTCTACCAAAGGGATGGCATGCACTGCAGTGAAGGCGAAGCAGGGCGTTGGTCTGGGTGTGAACACTCTCTGCATGGCCTTTGCCCTGCTCACAAGTATTTAAGCATGGAGATGGAGGTTCTTTTTTTTTTTTTTGAGACAGAATTTCGCTCTTTTTGCCCAGGATGGAGTGCAGTGGCACGATCTTGGCTCACCACAACCTCCGCCTCCTGGGTTCAAGTGATTCTCCTGCCTCAACCTCCCAAGTAGCTGGGATTACAGGCATGTGCCACCTTGCCCGGCTAATTTTGTATTTTTAGTAGAGACAGGGCTTCTCCATGTTAGTCAAGATGGGGCTTCTCCATGTTAGTCAGGCTAGTCTCAAACTCCCAACTTCAGGCCTTGGCCTCCCAAAATGCTGGGATTACAGGCGTGAGCCACCACACCCGGCCTCCTTTTTTTTTTTTTTTTTTTTTGAGACTGAGTCTCGCTGTGTCGCCCAGGCTGGAGTGCAGTGACATGATTCTCACTGCAACTTCTGCCTCCTGGGTTCAAGCAGTTCTCCTGCCTCAGCCTCTTGAGCAGCTGGGATTACAGACATGAGCCACTGCACCCGGCCACCTAGATGTTTTTTCTAAACATGATATTCTTCATGTTTATCCCGTTTGGGATTCACTGAGCCTTTAACATCTGTAAATTTCTGGCCGGTAGTGTTGGCTCACACCTGTAATCCCAGCACTTTGGGAAGCTGAGGCGGGTGGATCACTTGAGGTCAGGAGTTTGTGACCAGCCTGGTCAACATGGTGAAACCCTGTCTCTACTAAAAATACAAAAATTAGTTGGGTGTGGTGGTGGGCACCTGTAATCCCAGCTACTCAGGAGGCTGAGGCAGGAGAATTGCTTGAACCCAGGAGGTGGAAGTTGTAGTGAGCCAAGATCACATCATCGCACTCCAGCCTGGGTGACAAGAGTGAAACTCTGTCTCAAAATAAATAAATAAAAAGTAAAAAAATTACAAATTAAAAAATTAGCTGGGCGGCGTGCACCTATAATCCCAGCTACTTGGGAGGCTGAGGTTGGAGAATTGCTTGATCCCGGGAGGCGGAGGTTGCAGTCAGCCGAGATTGTGCCACTGCACTACAGCCTGGGCGATAGAGTGAGACTTCATCTCAAAAAAAAAAAAAAGAAAGAAAAGAAAGAAAAGTACCAGCCAGACGTAGTAGCTTACATCTGTAATCACAGTACTTTAGGAGGCTGAGGTAAGAGGATCACTTGAGGCCAGAGTTTAAGCCTGGGCAACATAGTGAGACCTCATGGCTACTAAAAATATGTATATATATTTTTTGAGATGGAGTTTCGCTCTTGTTGCCTAGGCTGGAGTGCAACTGCTCGATCTCGGCTCACTGCAACCTCCACCTCCTGGGTTCAAGCGATTTTCCTGCCTCGGCCTTCAGAGTAGCTGGGATTACAGGCATGTGGACAACACCTAGCTAATTTTTGTATTTTCAGTAGAGACGGGGTTTCACCATGTTGGTCAGGCTGGTCTGGTGACTCCTGACCTCAGGTGATCCAGCCACCTCGACCTCCCAAAATGTTGGGATTACAGGCATGAGCCACCGCACCCAGCCAATAATTTTAAAAACATTAGCCAGGGGGAACATGGTGAAACTCCGTCTCTACTAAAAATACAAAAAAAAAAAAAGGCCGGGCGTGGTAGCTCACGCCTGTAATCCCAGCACTTTGAGAGGCCGAGGCGGGTGGATCACGAGGTCAGGAGATCGAGACCATCCTGGCTAACATGCTGAAACCCTGTCTCTACTAAAAATACAAAGAATTAGCCGGGCGTGGTGGCGGGCGCCTGTAGTCCCAGCTACTCGGGAGGCTGCGGCAAGAGAATGGCGTGAACCCGGGAGGTGGAGCTTGCAGTGAGCTGAGAGCATGCCACTACACTCCAGCCTAGGCAAATGAGCAACACTCCAACTCAAAAAAAAAAAAGAAAAAGAAAAGAAAAAAAAAATTAGCCGGGGGAAAAAATTAGCCAGGTATGGTGGTGCCTGCCTGTGGTCCCAGCTACTCAAGAGACTGAGGTGGGAGACTCACTTTGAGCCCTCAAAATCAAGATTTCAGTGAGCCATGATTGCACACCACTGCACTCCAGCCTGGGTGGCAGAGTAAGACCCTATCACTAAAAAAACAAAACAGGCTGGGCACGGTGGCTCATGCCTGTAATCCCAGCACTTTGGGAGGCTGAGGTGGGCAGATCATCAGGTTGGGAGTTCGAGACCAGACTGGCCAATATGGTGAAACCCCGTCTCTACTAAAAATAGAAAAATTAGCCAGGCGTGGTGGTGGGCGCCTGTGGTCCCAGCTGCTCAGGAGGCTGAGGCAGAGGAGTTGCTTGAATCCGGGAGGCAGAGGTTGCAGTGAGCCGAGATCACGCCACTGCACTCCAGCCTGTGCAACAGAGCATGACTCTGTCTCAAAAAACAAAACAAAATAAAAAACAAGAACCAACTCCTAAAATGCATTTTTATACTTGCTAACCCTGGAACTTGGCTTTGGGAAGTCTTTCCTAAGTGTGCACAATGTCACACAGCAGCAGACTGATTCAATAGTTAATGGTTCACCTGTTTTGGTTATGGAATTTGATGCATGAAATACTGACAAGGATCTCCAAGACATATTGAGAAAAAAGCACATTGGAGAAAAAGTTATTTATGAATATGTAAAATAGCAGCTAACATTGAGCAATATTGATTCAAAGACTGATTTTTTAATCCCCACATATCTGAGGAATGTGCCACTATTCTACCCATTTTAGGGATGGGGTAACAGAAAGTAGTGTAGCGAGGGTCACATGGCTGAGTGGTAGAGTCTAGGTTTGAACATGGCAGTCTGGAAGGATTCACTCTCAACAGTTAACAGGGGTGACCTCCGGGGAGTGGATATGAAAGTGGATAAAGCTAGGCTGGGCGCTGTGGCTTACACCTATAATCCCAGCATTTTGGGTGCTGAGGCAGGTGGATTACTTCAGGTCAGGAGTTCGAGAGCAGCCAGGCCAACATGGTGAAACCCTGTCTACTAAAAGTACAAAAATTAGCTGGGCATGGTGGCCGGGGCCTGTAATCCCAGCTACTTGGGAGGCTGAGGCAGGAGAATTGCTTGAAACCAGGAGGTGGAGGTTGCAGTGAGCCGAGATCACACCACTGCACTCTAGCCTGGGTGACAGAGCAAGACTCCGTCTATTAAAAAAAAAAAAAAGAAAAAAGAAAAAGAAAAAAAGAAAGTGGATACAGCTAACATGTCCAAAAAGCATCTCATATTTCTCTCCAAAATGCAGTTTAGCTGTGAAGTCAGCTGCTCTTATTATGTGGCCAACATTGTGCTGACAGGCTGTGCCCTGCAGCGGAGAGGAATCTTCTCTTTATGCTTGTATATTGCTTGAATATCGTACAAGCTTAGGAACCAAATCCACCCACCCTTTTGGACCTAGTTGAAGGCCCTCTTTTATGAAGGCCGACATGATGTTTTCCAGTGACTACTGGGTCTCAGGGACTTGTGAAGGGAAGCCCAAAATCTTGTTCTCACTGAGCGAACAAGCCGTGCCACTACATGAATCTCTACTGAGTGCCCCGCACCGCAGCTTTCCCAGTCAGCGCCATTTCCATCTCTCCCTTGCTTGTGAGGTGAGCCTGTTTCCTTATCTCCAGTATGGGTAGGAGAACAGCATCTATCCCCATGGGGTTGCTGTGGGGATTCCAACTCAAAGAACAAGGATTCTGAAAAGTACCAGGCAGGTTGCATGGGTATAATGACCATTGGTTGTTATCATTAAACTTACCACCTGCAACCTAAGCCATCTCTTCCACACCTGTAATGAGCTAATAGAACATACGTCAAGATAACTTTTTTTTTTTTTTTTGAGATGGAGTCTCGCTCTGTTGCCCAGGCTGGACTGCAGTGGCACGATCTCGGCTCACTGCAACCTCCGCCTCCCAGGTGCAAGCGATTCTCCTGCCTCAGCCTCCTGAGTAGCTGGATTACAGCCACGCGCCACCATGCCCAGCTAGTTTTTGTATTTTTTTTTTTTAGTAGAGACGGGGTTTCACTATGTTGGTCAGGCTGGTGTTGAACTCCTGACCTCGCGATCCGCCCGCCTCGGCCTCCCAAAGTGCTGGGATTTTTTTTTCGAGACAGTGTCTCACTCTTTCACCCAGGCTTCAGTGCAGTGGTGAAATCCAGGTCATTTCAGCCTCAAACTCCTGGGCTCAAGTGATCCTCCTGCCCCAGTCTCCCAAGCAGCTGTGACCACAGGCACAAGCCACTATGCTCAGCTATTTCTTTTTTTGTGGAGATGGGGTCTTGCTTTGTTTCCCAAGTTGGTCACGAACTCTTGGGCTGAAGTGCTTCTCCCGCCACAGCCTCCCACCATGCCTGACTGACTGCAGATTTTGAGATGGAGTGTCACACTGTTACCCGGGCTGGAGTGCAGTGGTGCGACCTCAGCTCATTGCGACCTCCGCCTCCCAGGTTCAAGTGATTCTCCTGTCTCAGCCTCCCCCAGTAGCTGAGATTACAGGCACCCGCCACCATGCCCGGCTAATTTTTGTAATTTTAGTAGACAGGGTTTCACCACGTTGGCCTGGCTGCTCTCAAACTCCTGACCTCGTGATTCGTCCGCCTCAGCCTCCCAAAATGTTGGGATTACAGGCGTGAGCCACCACGCCTGGCCTTTTTTTCTTCATTTTTATGATTAATACAAACATCATGTGGCAGTTTATGAAATTTGTAGAAACTAGACATTTCTTGCCTGGGGCTGGCAGCTTTCCCCTCGATTCCTGAGGGGTCCTCTGGGTGACTTAATCTCTGCCGTTAGAGGTACAGGGTGGAAAAGTTTGAAGCTTCCGGGACGATTCTACAATTTTGTTTTTATCAATCCAGACCCACCTGCTCCCCCTTGTGACCAAGGCTGCACATTACAGTCAAGAGTATAATTAGCTCAGAATTTAAAGACCACGTGAAATTCATGCAGCAATGTAACTGCTGACCCTGACGCCACTGACTTGCACTAAAGGTGGCGAGACACGGATCCTTTCCGAAATGCAGCCCCTGTCTCACCTCCGGCGGGAGCAGGTGATGCAGGGTTGAGGAACAGAGGCCCTTCTGTAGTGAAGACCACTTTTCTCCCCGACTAACTGCTGCAGGATCAGAATAGGAAAGAGACTGATTTATTGAAACATCACACAATTTACATAAAGAAGAAACACAAGCAAGAGTGGGGTGAACTGGAACGCACTTTGGCTGCATCAAGGCAAACCTGGTCTTCCAATAAAAGCTCTGACCCGTAGCGGCTGTGGCACTTGGGGCATATGAAGCATCACTTTTGACTTCCCTTTATTATTATAATTCTTGCCACTGAAAATAGCCACTATTTAGCTGAATTATCCATTAGACAACTGGAGCCAGAAGCTTCTACACATTCTAGAATGTGAACAATTTAACTCTTGCTGCATCACCCAGAAAAAATGGTGGCAGGAATGGTGAGGGAGAGGAGGAATCTCTTGAGTTAGAGCCTCAGGTCTGAAAAGGCAACTGGTAGGATCATCCCATTCCCTCTCAGAAGCTTCTGAAGTGGAAGAAAAACAAGCAAATCCTAAAGCAAGTAACTTTATTATCATTCCTTTAAAAAGAACCAAGGAAAATTCACAACATATGTGAAACACAAACAGCTGTGGTTTAGGAGGTAAACAAAGGACCAACATAGCCCTGAAATGCAACAGCCTCTGAGTGACTTGAGCCGCATGTGACTGGGGTTCTGTTAAAAGGGCAGGCTCCTCCCTCCTAGCCCTGAAGCCCCAGGAACCTGCCTTGAAAGACAAGCTCTCTAATACTCAACTTGCAGGGTCTCGCCCTAACATCCAAGACTTGGTAGCATCTCCTTTCTCCCAAAACCCAGCTGGAACTCAACTAATCCTAAACGAAAACTCAAGAACAGCACACCAGATGCCACCTGTTGTTTGTCAGGGTCTCAAACTCCAGAGGAAATGCATTTGCCTGTCATGGTTTTCCTCTCTAAGGGCACCTGTCTGAACTTGGAGCTGTGCTTCCACTGGTGCCTCATGGGGCCTGGGCCTACTCTCCACCTGAATTCACACTTTTCTCTATAAGGTATCAGGTGGGGAATAAGTCCAAGAAGGTGACAAGAGGCTCCCGAGCAACAGAGCTTGCTCATTCCTGGCAGGCATCTCCCACAATGCCCCAGAGGGCTGGCGAGGCCGGGACAGCATAAGGACAGAGAAAGGGCAGAGGGGTGCTTGGAAGTGCTCATCACTCAGGGGAGCTGGCAGGCCCGGGATGACAGGCAGCCTGAACAGTGCTGGAACAAAGACAGCCACCCTGCGCCCCTTGTCGAGCAGCTGCTGGTGATGGGAAGCAGCACGTCGGCACCACCTCCTTCGTTGCAGGAAATGTTTTGTATCGGGCCAATGACTTCAGTTTTCCTTGCCTGGAGATGCCTTCATGAAGGAAGGGGACAGGGAATACAGGTGGGCATGCTGCAGTTGGCATCTCTGGGGCTGCCAAATCTTGAGTTCACTTGGGGCCAAGGCACTCCACAATCCCATTCCCCTTCATGCCATCGAAGAAGAAGAAGTTGTTGTGAGGAGGGTCCCGCTGAGACAGGGCCTGGGGAGAAAAATGAAAAGAGGGTTTAGCTCAAGTGCTTTAAGAGGAATAGAGGGAAAAAAAAATTCTAAAAGCAGTCTAGGGCAGTGGTTCTTAACTGGGGTCGATTTTGCTCCCAAAGGGCTATTTGGCAATGTCTGGAGACAATTTTGATTGTCCTATCTCCTTGCTCTGTCCCTTACAAGCTGTGTGTCCATGGGGAGATTATTTAACCTCTCCAAACATTACCTTATTTTCCTAACATGAGATTAAGAAATGTATTTGCCTGGGTTAAACTATGTATCTCAAAAATGTAAAACAGGCCAGGGCCAGGCACATTCACACCTGTAATCCCAGCACTTTGGGAGGCTGAGGTGGGAGAATCACTTGAGCCCAGGAATTCAAGACCAGTCTGTGCAACATGGTGAGATCCCGTCTATATGAAAACTAAAATAGGTGGGGCGCAGTGGCTCACGCCTGTAATCCCAGCACTCTGGGAGGCTGAAGTGGGCGGATCACCTGAGGTTGGGAGTTGGAGACCAGCCTGGCCAACACGGTGAAACCTGTCTCTACTAAAAATACAGAAATTAGCCGAGTATGGTGGCATGCTACTCGGGAGGCTGAGGCAGGAGAATTGCTTGAACCCAGGAGGCAGAGGTTGCAGTAAACTGAGATTGCGCCACCGCACTCCAGCCTGGGCGACACAGTGAGACTCTGTCTCAAAAAAAAAGAGAAAAAGAAAAATGACATAAATTAGCCAGGTATGGTGATGCATGCCCAAGGTGCCAGCTACTCGGGAGGCTGAGGTGGGAGGATCGCTTGAGCCTGGGACATTGAGGCTGCAGTGAGCTGTAATAGTGCCACTATACTCCAGCCTGGGGAACAGAGTGAGACCCTGTCTCAAAACAAAAAACAAACAAACAAAAAAACACCTTAAAACTAAAACAATGACTAACACTGTGTTGCACCACCATTGGGCAAACAGCAGAAATAATTATTCATGACTATTCAACTGAGAAAGGTGGCAGTTCTTAGGCTGTGGCCTTTATCACCTAAGGGGACACATTTAATCAAGGAACACACTGATGCAGAAGCGGGGGCTATTCCATGAGGACATAGAGTCGCTAGGCTTCCACAGGGGGTCAGGGCTGGGATCCAGAGGGCCTGGACAATGCTATTTAGCAATGGCAATGGTGATTATCTTGTGGGGTTACCAGACAGAGCACTTTAAAATACAAGAACAGGGCTGGGCTTAATGTCTCACATCTGTAATCCCAGCACTTAGGGAGGCCGAGGCGGGAGAATCACTTGAGCCCAGGAGTTCGAGACCAGCCTGGGCAACATGGCAAAACCCCATATCTACAAAAAATAAAAAAAATTAGTTGGATGTGGTGGCGTGTGCTTATAGTCTCAGTGCCTCAGGAAGCTGAGGTGGGAGGATCACTTAAGTCCAGGGAAATCAAGTCTGCAGTGAGCTGTGATGGCACCACTGTACTCCAGCCTGGGCAACAGAGAGCGAGAGAGAGGGGTGGGAAGGAGAGTGAGCACGTGGCCCTGTCTTTTGAGGCAGGGTCAGCCCCCGAAACAACATACTGAGTCTTGTATGCACATACATCTTTCTGAGAAAGGGTTCACAATTGTCACAAATTTTCAAACAGGTCCTTAACCCAGAAAGGATTGAAATTTCACCACAAGCTACCATTTAAAGAGGAAGACATCACCTAGGCAAGCTGCCAGGGCAGGGTTTAACGGTTCCCAGGAGCACCGTCCCATCATTCATGAGGAAGGTGGGGCTACACATCCTGAACTGCTCCTCTTCAAACTCAGCACCAAACCCTTTTCCTCATCCATAAAACAGGGACAATCACATCTACCATATACAAATAGTGTTAGTCAGCCATTTTTCCAGGGAAATTTTATTTATTTGTAAATGTTTTTAATTTTTTGAGATAGGATCTTGTTCTGCTACCCAGGTGGGAGGCACATTCTCGGCTTACTGCAACCTCCGTCTCCCCAGCTCCAGATATCCTCCCATACCCTCTTGAGTAGCTGGGACTTTTGTAGAGATGAGGTCTCCTCATGTTGCCCAAGCTAGTCTTGAACTTCTAGGTTCAAGCAATCCTCCCAAAGTGCTGGAATTACAGGCATGAGCTACTGCACCCAGTCAAGGGAACATTTATTAAGCATCTACTCTATGCCAGGTATTCAGCTAGACATTAAGGATTCTGAGGTCTCTGTCCACATGGAGCTTGGATCAGAAAGAAGTTTGCTTCTCTGGGCAAATAGGCAAATAAAAAGCACCTGCCTGCTAGAGTTTTGGTGAGAATGAAATGTGACTAGGCTTGTAAAGTGCCGAGCACGTAGTAAATTCTTAGTAAGTAGGAGCTGCTATTAATAATAATAGGGCCAGGAGTCCTTTACCAATACTGGGGATGCCACCAACCTAGCCAGGTGGAAGGGTCCAACAGTACACAGGTGGAACTCTTAGACCCTCAAACCCAAGATACAGGAGATGGTATGTGTTTTACCATGAACCTGGGATGGCTGCTGCTTTCACTATCACCTCTCTTACCATAGACAGGGAGACCTGCCGTGGACGGTGGGGATGGAGAGAAAGGAAAACTGCTTTAAACCCAAGGAAGTAGACATGGATATAAAATAGGGTATCTAGAAGGACGTAAGAAAGGAAAGACGCAAAAGATGATTCCAAAGGAGCAGACTTGCGCTTGACCCATCTCCTAGTGTAAGCTTTCCATAGGCGCTCAGACAGTGCCTCAGGAGAGAAAGGTGAGTCTGAGGCCCTTGGACTGCAGGCCCCGCCTGCCAGCTGGCTGAAGGCTGACCAGTAATAAGTATGAAGGAGTACTGGGGATGAGAGCAGGGCATGGGGTGACATGGGGCAAAAGGTAAAGTGCTTCCCAAGCAAGATGGGGTAGGAGGAGATTCCAAACACACCCAGCAACGAAGAATGCAGAGTACTCTGGCTATCTGGGATAAACAGAAACAAGATGCTGGGCACCAGCTGTCTCCAGCAGGCAGGAAGGAGGGGGCTGTGTGAGGATGGGGATGTGAGAAACTACCACCAACAATGGGGTCAAGGCTACCTGCCCCAACCTCCAGTCTCCATCCCACATGAAAAATTTAGGGGGAGCCCCTCAATGGGATGTGCAGAAGTAAGGCTGACAATGCAAGGGCAGCGGCCCTGGGGTCCATGCAGTCTCTACATGATGGTGCCATTGAAGGCAACACCTGATGCATGACTGCCCCGTGGTGAAGAGGACAGGCTCAGAAACCAGACTGCCTGGGCCCACATCCTGGCACCACACTCACTAGCCTGGGCAAGCATCTTCTTTCCTGCACCTTAGTCTCTCTTTTATAAACCAGGGATCACAGGAGTTCCTACCTCATAGGGCCGGTGGGAGATGAAATGAGTATCCACGTAAAAAACACTGTCTTTGTGTGGCAGACAGTGGGCTTTCAGTAAGTCTTGTCTATTATTGGTGGTGTCGTCATTTTAGGCTACAAAAATATGTACATTCCCATTCCCCACTTAGAACATTCCCATTGCTGCACTCTTTCCTGCAGTTTGTCTACAGGGAGCCTCAGAATCCTGCTCGAACAGTCCTCTGGGTGGCCATTACCCTCTTCTCAGATTGGGCATATAAACTGTAATTTTCACATCACTCTGGGCTATGTATAAAATGTGAGCAAGGAAAGAGGTATGGCCATTGCACACTTTTCTTCCCCCTCCAAATATCTCCTCGGTGCCCATTACATAGAAGAAAGTTAGATTTGATCAAAGGAAGAATTTAGACCAGAGAGAAGGATCAGAAAAAATAGACAAAAAAAAAAAAAAAAAGTAGCCTTAGGAAAACGGTGTGACTAACAAATTGAGCCAAACGCCTCCAGAATGTACAGACCCCAAGACAAAGTGTTAAGGGCTGGCCTCCAAACTGTCCTCCCAAGCTCAAACTTGACATGTACATGGACATGGCCAATCATTTAACCAGGCACGACTCTGCTCCATAAGAAAGAAGGAAAAAGCCTCACCGGAGTCCACGAAGGCAGCCAAGAACCTGCAAAAGGCAAATTTAACATCTTCGGGCAAATAGCAAAGTCTGCAAAGAATGTACAATATATTTGGGGGTATGGTATAGTTTTAGCAACCCAAATGTTCCAGAAGACCCTCAAAAGGCTGTGCTAGTTACTGGTTATGTGACCCTGTATAAGATGCTTCCCTTCTGAGAGACACACTAACACCTACCTAACAGGGTCACGGGTCATCCTGTACAGAGCCTTGAGGGGCTCCTGGTGTGTTCATGGGGACACAGAAACTGATTTCTCTACAAATACCTACAGTGTGTGGTTAAAAAGACGGGGGCTTGGCCGGGTGCGGTGGCTCACACCTATAATCCCAGCACTTTGGGAGGCTGAGGTGGGAGGATCACAAGGTCAGGAGTTCGAGACCAGCCTGGCCAATATGGTGAACTACTAAAAATACAAAAATTAGCCTGGTGTGGTGGTGGGAACCTGTACTCTCAGCTGCTCGGGAGGCTGAGGCAGGAGAATCGCTTGAACCCAGGAGGCGGAGGTTGCAGTGAGTCAAGATCATGCCACTGCACTCCAGTCTGAGAGACAAAGTGAGATTCTGTCTCAAAAAAAAAAAAAAAGGGGGGGGGTGCGGCTGGGTACAGTGGCTCATGCCTGTAATCCCAGCACTTTGAGAGGCTGAGGTGGGCAGATCACGATGTCAGGAGATCCAGACCATCCTGGCTAACACAGTGAAACCCTGTCTCTACTAAAAATACAAAAAAATTAGCTGGGCGTGGTGGCAGGCGCCTGTAGTCCCAGCTACTTGGAAGGCTAAGGTAGGAGAATGGCGTGAACCCGGGAGGTGGAGCTTGCAGTGATCTGAGATCGTGCTACTGCACTCCAGCCTGGGGGACAGAGCGAGACTCCATCTCAAAAAAAAAAAAAAAAAAAAAAAAAAAAGGGAGGGCTTTGATGTCATGGTGATGAATAGAGATAAACTGTACAGAGGTTAAGAGCACAGGTTCTGGAGTCCCTTTCATGGGCCCAAGTGTCTTCCTCTTAAGTGGGGATCATGATAGTACTCACTTATAGAGCTATGAGAAGCAGAATCCCTGACCAATACAACAGGCACTGGATAACTAATACAGTTAGGGGAGAGCAGATCACACCTTCGAGGCACTATGGCCAACTGTGAGCTAAGCACAGAGCAGGCACTCCAAGGTCATTTGCTGAATGGCACCTGGATGGGCCAGAGAAAATGGGATGAGGTGGAAATGGGGAGGGCATGAAACAAAGATGAATGGGGTGAGAGAAAGCAGGCAGCTGTCTAAGACAGTTTCCATTCTCTCTGTCAGCACATATACAAAGTCATGGTTAACAATTTTCTGCTCCACAGTGATGTTTTACCTTCACAATTTCCTGTGCCAAAATCCCTCCAACCACCGCACACACTGGGGCCATCTCGGAGAAGCAGTACCTAAAAGAGAGGAAGACAAGGAAAATGGAGCACTGGGAACAGAACTGTGACCATGACATCTGGAGAAATTCAGTAGTAGGCTCTCCTGAATAAAAACAACTTCTAGCAGGAGGGCCCGATTCAGATAGCAGTGTTAATGCTGGCATCTAGGCGTGAAAATGAAATCTGAGCAAGGGATTCATAAGTGGTTGGAAAAGACCTTTGAACTTTGGCAAGCAGAAATTCTTTCACAATACTTTTATTTTTACCTTTATAAGTTAAAGGAAAGACTATATCTGTGCTTCCTATATCTGTCCTAGAGATATCAGATGTTTCAGTGCCCTGGTCACATTCTCGCAATTCTCTTCTTACCCATAATGGCCAGTGGGTTCTATATGCTATTCCCAGACAAATGTCAGGGAGCAGGCCTGTGTTAACATGTAGGAAGCAAGGGAAATTTGAGGCGTGAAATTAAAGTATGAGGGCAGAAAAAGTCTTCACAACCCACATAGAAACCAGCCCTTCTGGGCCAGGATGGGGCATCTAGAGGACAAATTTTAGATGACACAGTCACCTGCCCCTCCAAGTTACCCATCCTAGTAAGCAAATCACTTAATTCCACCACTTCCCCAAAGGAAGTGTGCTCTGCCAGCTCCTACTCCTGAACACAATGCTGTGTGCTCACCAAGCAAACTGGAACACAGACAAGTGAAAGGGAAAGCCTCCCTACAGAACTACCTCCAATCTCCCCAGTGTGGTGCACATCCTTCTAGACTTTTTTTGAGACGGAGTCTCGCTCTGTCACCCAGGCTGGAGTGCAGTGGCGCGATCTTGGCTTACTGCAAGCTCCGCCTCCCGGATTCATGTCATTTTCCTGCCTCAGCCTCCTGAGTAGCTGAGACTACAGGCACCCGCCACCACGCCCGGCTACTCTGAATTTTTAGTAGAGACGGGGTTTCACCATGTTGGCCAGGATGGTCTCAATCTCTTGACCTCGTGATCCGCCCGCCTCGGCCTCCCAAAGCGCTGGGATTACAGGTGTGAGCCACTGCGCCCAGCCCCTTCTAGACATTTTTAAAAGTGCACAATCTAAACGGGTATAATTAGGGCGGGCTCAGTGGCTGATGCCTGTAATCCCAGCACTTTGGGAGGTCGAGGTGGGCGGATCACAAAGTCAAGAGATCGAGATCATCCTGGCCCACATGGTGAAACCCCGTTTCTACTAAAAATACAAAAATTAGCTTGGTGTGGTGGGGTGAGCCTGTAGTCCCAGCTACTCAGGAGGTTGAGGCAGGAGAATCGCTTGAACCTGGGAGGCATAGGTTGCAGTGAGCTGAGATCGCACAACTACACTCCAGCCTGGTGACAGGGCAAGACTGTCTCAAAAAATAAATAAATAAATAAATAGGTATAATTTTAAACCCAAATATTATCAACTATTACTCTTCTGTTCTATAACCTATTGAGGGACATTTAAGCTGTTCAACACTGTAATCATACATCTTGACAAAGACACAGGCGTCGAAATAATTCCTTAAGACAAATTTCTAAATATAGCAATGCTAGTTTTTCATATGTATTGCCAAAATGCCCTCCCAAAAGGCTGTATCCATTCCAATCCCAAGAGCTGTGTCCAAAGGCACCTCCGGCTCCTTACGCCCTGGCCAGGACCAGCACATTCCCATTTTGTTCATCCAGGGGTAACATCTTCCTGCTTATCAAGGTCCACTACAGAGCTCTAAAATACATGGAGAACTAGGGCTGGGTGCGGTGGCTCACATCTGTAATCCCAGCACTTTGGGAGGCCAAGGCGGGTGGATCATTTGAGGTCAGGAGTTCAAGACCAGCTTGACCTACATAGTGAAACCCCGTCTCTACTAAAATACAAAAGTTAGCCGGGTGTGGTGGCGGGCAGCTGTAATGCCAGATACTCGGGAGGCTGAGGTGGAAGAATTGCATGAACCCAGGAGGTGGAGGTTGCAGTGAGCCGAGATGGTGCCACTGCACTCCAGCCTGGGTGAGAGAGAGACTCCCAATAATAATAATTAAAAAAACTCCTCCCATTGCTGGTAGAATCTCATTTTGGCCGTATTGGAGGAATAGTTCAGTCTGGCCAATATGGTGAAACCCCGTCTCTACTAAAAATACAGAAATTAGCTGGGCGTGGTGGCACGTGCCTATAGTCCCAGCTACTCCAGAGGCTGAGGCAAAAGAATCACTTAAAGCTGGGAGGCAGAGGTTGCAATAAGCCGAGATCACGCCACTGCACTCCAGCCTGGGTGACACAGCAAGACTCTGATTCAAAAAAAAAAAAAAAAAAAAAAAAAAAAAGGAACCAGATAACAGGCCAGGTGCAGTGGCTCATGCCTGTAATCCCAGCACTTTCGGAGGCCAAGCTGGGTGGATCATGAGGTCAGGAGTTTGAGATCAGTCTGGCCAATATGGTGAAACCCCATCTCTACTAAAAATACAAAAATTAGCCGGGCGTGGTGGCACGCGCCTGTAGTCCCAGCTACTCAGGAGGTTGAGACAGAAGAATCACTTGAACCACAGAGCACAGAGGCGGAGGTTGCAGTGAGCCAAGATCGGGCCATTGCACTCTAGCTTGGGTGACAGAGTAAGACTCCATCTCAAAAAAAAATAAAAAAAATAAAAAAATAAAAAAAAATAGCTGGGCATGGTGGCGTATGCCCGTAATCCCAGCTACTCAGGAGGCTGAGGCAGGAGATTCACTTGAACCCGGGAGGTGGAGGTTGCAGTGAGCCGAGATCATGCCACTGCACTCTAGCCTAGGTGACAAAGTGAAACTTTGTCTCAAAAACAAACAAACAAACAAAAGAACCAGATAATAAAATATTTTCAGCTTTATGGGCCATATGGTCTTTGTTATAACTATTTAACCCTGCTGTGGCACAAAAGCTGCCACAGATAATATATAAATGAGTAAGTGTGCCAATAAAACTTTATTTACAAAAAGAGGTGGCAAGCCAGTTTGCCAAGGGCTATTCCAAATTAAAAGAGATACAAGTGGCTGACGCCTGTCTATCCCAGAAGTTTTGGAAAGCCAAGGCAGAAGGATGGCTTGAATCCAGGAGTCTGAGAACAGCCTGGGCAGCAGAGTGAGACCCCCGTCTCTACAACAAAAATAAATAAGTATTAATTATCATTTAACTCAGGCAGATGTGCTTTGTATACTCTCTTGTTATGCGGTTCATAACTTTAAAAAATAGGAAACAGCCTGGTGAACATAGTGAGACCCTGTCAATACAAAAAAAAAAAAAAAAAAAAAAAATTAGGCAGGCTTGGTAGTACACGCCTATAGTCCCAGCTACGCAAGAGGCCGAGATGAGAGTGTTGCCTGAGCCCAGGAGGTTGATGCTGCAGTGAGCTATGATGTGCCACTGCACTCTAGCCTAGGCAACAGAGAGAGACCCTATCTTAAAAAAAAAAAAAAAAAGAGGCTGGGCGTGGTGGCTCACACTTGTAATCCCAACACTTTGGGAGGCCGAGGCAGGTGGATCATGAGGTCAGGAGATCAAGACCATCCTGGCTAACACAGCGAAACCACATCTCTACTAAAAAATACAAAAAAAATTAGCTGGGCGTGGTGGCGGGCGCCTGTTATCCCAGCTACTGGGGAGGCTGAGGCAGGAGAATGGCGTGAACCCGGGAGGCGGAACTTGCAGTGAGCCAAGATCATGCCATCGCACTCCAGCCTGGGGGACAGAGCGAGACTCTGTCTCCAAAAAAAAAAAAAGCCATCATCTAAACATAGGCAGCAGTTTACAAGGTGCCTTTGTAACATCAGCACCGTGAGGTCAGCGGCTGATGACACTGTACAGGCTTGGATCTCATGGTAACTCACTGGGGCACTCATCTCTTGGTGGAGGAATGACCAGTTTGTGAGAAGCAAGTGTTTCCTCTGCTGTGCTTCGCAGCAGGAAGAAGGACTGGGTCATGCAGGGCTTCAGTTCCAATAATCCCAGCCAGTCAGCCAGTGGCAAGCGGCAGCCACTGAGCATACCTGGGGCTGTGTGCTGGGCCGTGAGTGTGCAGCCAAGTGACTACTTGGGCATTCAAAGTGATGAACGGTCTGGCTCTGCATCACCGGCCAGCAGAGTTGAAGGCCCTGCTTCCTAGAAGAGGAAAGCCACAGCCTAACGAGCTGCTGGCTGGTTTTCTCTCCAAAGTGGTTCCTTCCCTGCCCACCCTCTTTGGGGAAACCGCTTTTCCATGTCTCAGTCTCGTGTGCTCAGGCACTGCCACTCTATTGCTGCCTTTTTTTTTTTTTTTTTTTTTTTGAGAAGGAGTCTCCCTCTCGCTCTGTCGCCCAGGCTGGAGTGCAGTGGCGTGATCTCAGCTCACTGCAACCTCTGCCTCCCGGGTTCACGCCATTCTCCTGCCTCAGCCTCCCGAGTAGCTGGGACTTAGGCACCCACCACCACACCTGGCTAATTTTTTGTATTTTTAGTAGAGATGGGGTTTCACCATGTTAGCCACGATGGTCTCAATCTCCTGACCTCATGATCTGCCTGTCTCGGCCTCCCAAAGTGCTGGGATTACAGGCGTGAGCCACCGCGCCCAGCCTTACGCTATATGTATTGAGACACGGTCTCTCTCTGTCACCCAGGCTGGAATGCAGTGGTGCAATCTTGGTTCACTGCAACCTCTGCTTTCCTGGGCTCAAGCGATGCTCTAGCCTCAGCCTCCAGAGTAGCTGAGACTACAAGCACCAGTCATCGATGCCCAGTTAATTTTTCTATTTTTTGTAGAGACAGGGTTTCACCATGTTGTCAAGGTTGGCCTCAAACTCCTAAGCTCAAAGCAATCTGCCTGCCTCAACCTCCCAAAGTGCTGGGATTATAGGTGTGAGCCACTGTACCAGGACAATCATGGCTTTTTGGGTCAGGGCACCACAGGTGCTTCAAAGACCACTGCTGGCCCTAAATGGAGTGGGGTTTGCTGTTGCTCACCTGAAGTTCCCAGCAGGAAGTCAACAAAGAAAGGACTAGGGACTCTGGCAGACCTTACTGTTGATAAGAAACCAAGGTAGCATGCTGCTACTAGAGCAAGCACTGTAATGATACCTGGGGTGGGATCTGGGTTGGCTACTTACTACCTGATGCCTAGTACATAACAGCTGCTCAGTAAACTGCAGCCATCATTATCACTGCTACAAGCTGGAGGCACTGCAAAGCCGAGTTTAGGAAGCCTCTCAAGACATGGAAAGGGAATTAGGGTGTGTACATGATCCCAGAGCTGCTTGGAAGGAGATGTGGATGGAGCGCGTGGTGGCTCATGCCTGTAATCTCAGCACTTTGGGAGGCCAAGGTAGGCGGATCACCTGAGGTCAAGAGTTCAAGACCTGCCTGGCCAACATGGAAAACCCCATCTCTACTAAAAATACAAAAAAAATTAGCTGGGCGTGGTGGCAGGCACCTGTAATCCCAGCTACTCAAAAGGCTGAGTTAGGAGAATCGCTTGGACCCAGGCGGCAGAAGTTGCGGTGAGTTGAGATTGTGCCATTGCACTCCAGCCTGGGCAACAAGAGCAAAACTCTGTCTCAAAAAAAAAAAAGAGAGAGAGAGATTGTGACCTAGTCACTATGTGGTCTTCTCCAATCAAATCCTAAGCCTGTTTATGAGAGCAAAAAGGTAGTCACGTAAGGTGAAAGCATGGAGTGTCCAAGTGAGAGGATGCTGGGAACATGGGTGGTTTTGCTGCTGGGGGTATGAATTGATAGGATACCAATGGAGGCAAGGTGGCAATGCTGACCAAATGATAAATTACAACCTTCTGACCCAGCAACTCCCTTCCTCCTAATTATCCTGCAGTTGTACCTGCACACGTACGACACAAGGTCACACACTGCAGTGTTACGCAGTTAGAAAAGCCTGAACACAACTTGAGTGAGCAGGCAACTGGTTCAATAAACTCCATCGCTTCACACTCTAGAATACTAAGGAGCTGTGGAAAAGAGGGAGCAAACTATGTACTGATCTGGAGATGTCCCCAAGAGATAACAAGATCACATAAAGTGAAAAAAGGTAGAGAATAATGTTTACAGATCTTACATTGCCTTGAATTTTGAACCACGTGAATATAAGATACTTATTGTAAAAATCAGAATCTGTCCCCTCTTTATTTTTTATATATTGCTATTCTAGTGGAGAGGCAGAAGTCTACAGGAGCGAGCAGAATGTGGCAGGGTGCTCTCTGAAGGGTTTCTAATAAAAGAGCTTGTCAAATTAAGGCAAATCCTGAAAACAAACTTTATCTGTCCAGACTAAACAGTGATAAATACTGACACCAACCTGACAAAGTCCTCAGGAAGCAGGTCAGGACTAATACCCAGTGAGTCAAGCACATCATTTCGTATCTGGAGCAACAACTCAGAATCTTCCTCATATGTATCAGAACTGGGATCTCTTCCTTTATCTGTACGGAACTTTAAGAGCACTGGGAATAAGAAAAAGAAGGCAGGTTATAAAGCCACTTTTTTTTTTTTTTGGAGATGGAGGCTCACACTGTCGCCCAGGCTGGAGTGCAATGGCACAATCTTGGCTCACTGCAACCTCTGCCTCCCGGGTTCAAGTGATTCTTCTGCCTCAGCCTCCTGAGTAGCTAGGACTACAGGCACGAACCACCATGCCTGGCTAATTTTTGTATATTTAGTAGAGACGGGTTTTCACCATGTTGGTCAGGCTTGTCTCAAACTCCTGACCTCGTGATCCGCCCGCCTCGGCCTCCCAAAGTGCTGGGATTACAGGTGTGAGCCACGGCACCTGGCCACCTTTTTTTATTTATTCAACAAACATAGTCAGAGAGGCAATCCAATAATTATAAAAGCAATTTACCTTACTGTGAAAAGTGCTGTGACAGCATAATAGGGCGTCTGACACCCTCTGTAGGGTGGTATCAGGAAGGCTTCCCCGAGGAAACAATTCAATGAAGTATATATGAGTTTGAAGGGGGCAGAAAGCAGTGGAAGCTTTCAGTAGAGGAAAAAGGCTCTATTAAGACCTGGAAGAGCCGGGTGCGGTGGCTCACAGCTGTAACCCCAGCACTTTGGGAGGCCGAGGCAGGTGGATCACAAGGTCAGGAGTTCGAGACCAGCCTGGCCAACATAGTGAAACCCTGTCTCTACTAAAAATACAAAAATTAGCCAGGTGTGGTGACACGTGCCTGTAGTCCCAGCTACTTGGGAGACTGAAGCAGGAGAATCACTTGAATCCAGCAGGCGGAAGTTGCAGTGAACCAAGATTGTGCCACTGCAATCTAGCCTGGGTGACAGAGTGAGACTCCGTCTCAAAAAAGTAAAATTAAAAAAAAAAAAAAAAAAAAAAAAAAAAAAAAAAGCCAGGCGCGGTGGCTCACGCCTGTAATCCCAGCACTTTGGGAGGCCGAGGTGGGAGGATCACGAGGTCAGGAGTTTGAGACCAGCCTGACCAACATGGTGAAACCCCGTCTCTACTAAAAATATAAAAAAAATTAGCCAGGCACCTATAATCCCAGCTACTCGGAAGGCTGAGGCAGGAGAATCGCTTGAACCCAGGAGGCAGAGGTTGCAGTGAGCCAAGATCGTGCCACTGCACTCCAGCCTGGGCAACAGAGCGAGACTCCGTCTGGGAAAAAAAAAAAAAAAAAGACCCGGAAGAGGCAGAGTGTGATGGCACACATCTGCAATCCCAACACTTTGGGGGGCCAAGGCGTGAGGATCGCTTGAGCCCAGGAGTTTGAGATAATCCTGGGCAACATAGTGAGACCTCACTGCTACCAAAAAAAAAAAAAAAATTTAGCCAAGTATGGTGGTGCCTGTAGTCCCAGCTACTAAGGAGGCCAAGGCAGAAGATCACTTGAGCCCAGAAGGTCAAGGCTACATGAGCAGAGATCTCATCACTGCACTCCAGCCTGGGTGACAGAGTGAGACCCTGTCAAAAAAAAAAAAAAAAAAAGAAGAAAAAAAGGAAAGGAAAAGGAACAAAGGGAAGGAAGAAGCGAAGGGGAAGGGGAAGGGAAAGGGAAAGGGGAAGGGACCTAGAAGAGAGATGATAAGGAGTGGGAGGTACACATTCTAGGCAGGACCAGTTTAAAGCCTGCTTTAGCCAGAAGGGCCAGCCATATACTTAGACCCATCAAACAGGAAGGTCATTACAAACAAAACTTCCTTTACTATGAAAACTATCTCAATCCCCATAAATGGATGTTTAATTTTGGTTGTGAACCAGAGGAAAGGTTCAGATGATGGCTGTGAGTCAGAACTACTGTGTAAGAAGACCCCAACAAGGCTATAACTTTTATCCCAAATAAAGACAAATAGGAGCAAAAGACTAATTAGGCTGGGTGCAGTGGCTCACGCCTGTAATCCAAGCATTTTGGGAGGCCAAGGCGGGTGGATCATCTGAGGTCAGGAGTTCGAGACCAACCTGGCCAACATGGTGAAACCCGGTCTCTACTAAAAATACAAAAATTAGCCAGGCGTGGTGGCAGGCACCTGTAGTCCCACTTAGTCAGGAGGCTGAGGCAGGAGAATCGCTTGAACCCGGGAGGCAGAGGTTGCAGTGAGCCGAGATCGTGCCACTGAACTCCAGCCTGGGCAACAGAGTGAGACTTCATCTCAGAAAAAAAAAAAAAAAGACTGGCCAGGTGTGGTGGCTCACGTCTGTAACGTCTGTAATCCCAGCACTTTGGGAGGCCGAGGCAGGCAGATCACGAGGTCAGAAGTTAGAGACCAGCCTGGCCAACATGGTGAAACCCCGTCTCTACTAAAAAAATACATAAATTAGCCAGGCGTGGTGGCGCACGCCTGTAGTCCCAGGTACTTGGGAGGCTGAAGCAGAAGAATCACTTGAACCTGGGAGGTTGCAGTGAGCTGAGATCGCGCCACTGCACTTTGCCTGTGCGATAGAGCGTAACTCCATCTCAAAAAAAAAAAAAAAAAAAAGACTGATTAACATACCAACACCTTCTAACTGCCCACTACACCTTGTCCACAGGTAACCTGCCTGCGGGCGGGCAGGCATTCTTGTTCCCTACATACTGCCCAAGGAAAGGGCACAGCCAGTCTCGAGCCTTGTCTCTAAGGACAATACTCTTTCTCCCACATCACACAGGCTATTTCAGAACAGACACAGAGACATGGATCAGCTTCTAGGCCCAAGCCCTGAGTGCTTTACACCTGGAGAGGGGGCTTTACAGTTTGTCAGTTCTTTCATTGATATCTCTTCCGTATATGTTGATTGAAAAAGTAGACTTATTCAGCAAATTATACTCTCTACCAGGACAAGGGTTCCTACATAAAAATTAAGGTAAATTCAAGTTGCTGTGAGGCTCTTTAAAAAATACAAGTATTTGGTACCCACCCCAGACTGAAGCATCAGAGTCACACTTTTTAAAGACCAAATAGTTTTGGTAATGAGCAGCCTGTGTTGAGGGCCATTCTCTAAGTAGAATTCATTCACTCCACCAGCCTGGCACTTACTTTGTGCCAGACAGACCTGGGTGCTAAAGGTCCAATGGCGAGTGAGTGAATCTTGGTCTCTGCATCTGTGAAGGCAATGGGTGGGAGAACAACTGAGGAGGACACAGTTTTAGAAGCTACAACAGGTGGCTCCACTGAAGCCTGGGAGACGTTCAGAAATGGGTTATAAAGTGTTCCAAGAAGATCTCAAACCACAGATGCCCAGGTAAAAAAAAAAGACACACCCTGCTTCTGGGCTATGCTTTTCTCAGTGCCAATGTCAGACAAAGGCCCCTGGCCTGTATTTCTCTGGTAACTTCCACCTGTCCAGTATAGACGGGGCTCTGCATATCAGAGAAGAGGTAATTTCTTTTTCTTTTTCTTTTCTTTCTTTTTTTTTTTTTTTGAGACAATCTTGCTCTGTTGCCCAGGCTGGAGTGCAATGGCGTGATCTCGGCTCAATGCAACCTCCACCTCCCGGGTTCAAGCCATTCTCCTGCCTCAACCTGCCAAGTAACTGGGGATTACAGGTGCCTGCAGCCACACCCAGCTAATTTTTTGTATTTTTAGTAGAGATGGGGTTTCACTAAAAATAGAAAAATTCCTGGTCTCAAGTTCCTGACCTCAGGTGATCCTCCCACCTTGGCCCCCCAAAGTGCTGGAATTACAGGCGTGAGCCACAGCACCCAGCTGGTAATTTCTTTAAAAAAAAAAAGGAAAGAAAAGAAAAAAGCTCCAGAACACCCATTGACTCTTCTGAATACTGTTTGCTTTCTGAGAATGTTACTCTCTTCTCTTTTTCAAGAACACAGCTTCTGCAACCCTCAATGCTACCTCAACACTTGGCAGTCAACTCAAAGCTGTAACAATTGGCCAGGTGTGGTGGCTCATGCCTGTAATCCCAGCACTTTCAGAGGCTGAGGCAGGTGGATCACCTGAGGTCAGGAGTTCAAGACCAGCCTGGCCAACACAGCGAAACCCCATCTCTACTAAAAATACCAAAAAAATTAGCCGTGCATGGTGGTGGGTGCCTGTAATCTCAGCTACTCGGGAGGCTGAGGCAGGAGAATCTCTTGAACCCGGGAGGTGGAGGTTGCAGTGAGCCGAGATTGTGCCACTGCACTCCAGCCTGGGCGACAGAGCAAGACTCTGTCTCCAAAAAAAAAAAAAAAAAGGCTGTGACCATCTAGACGATCTGGATGCCAGAGAGCACTGATCTGCTACCACCCAATACTTCTACTTTTGTAGATGTCCTGCTGGTATTCCGATTGTAGTAAATAAATGCAACTGAGTAACCATTTTGGGGCAGGGTAGAGAAATGACTGCAGAAGTGGCAAGTACTGCCTGTTTGGACCAAGCCTCTTTTCAAAAAATGTCCCATAAAATAAAGGAGGCCAGGTGCAGTGGCTCACACCTGTAACCCCAGCACTTTGGGAGGCTAAGGTGGGCAGATCACTTGAGGTCAGGAGTTTGAGACCAGCCTGGCCAACATGGTGAAACCCCATCTCTACTAAAAATAGGAAAATTAGCCGAAAGTGTGGTGGGTGCCTATAATCAAGTACTTGGGAGGCTGAGGCAGTAGAATTGCTTGAACCCAGGATTCAGAGGTTGCGGTGAGCCGAAATCACACCGCTGCACTCCAGTCTGGGCTACAGAGAGAGGCTGTCTCAAAAAATAAATTAAGTAGCCGGGCATGGTGGCTGATGCCTGTAATCCCAGCACTTTGGGAGGCCAAGGCGGGTGGATCACGAGGTCAGGGGTTCAAGACCAGCCTGGCCAAGATGATAAAACCCCATCTCTATTAAAAATACAAAAATTAGCTGGGCATGGTGGCGGACGCTTTTAATCCCAGCTACTCGGGAGCCTGAGGCAGGAGTCGCTCAAACCCAGGAGGCAGAGGTTGCAGTGAGCCGGTATCGTGCCACTGCAATCTAGCCTGGGTGACAGAGCGAGACTCTGTCTCAAAACAACAACGACGACAACAACAACAACAACAAACCAGTAGGAAGGGTGATAATAATTACCCGCTCACCAGGTTATCGTGAAGATCACATGAGTGCTAAGCCATGTGAAATGTTTAGTATAGTGCCTGACACATAGTAGGCACTATAACGCTTTGGGCTTTGGTGCTCCCAAAGCTATATTTTCTTTCTCTCTCTTTTTTCTTTTTTTTTTTTTGAGACAGAGTCTCGCTCTGTTGCCCAGGCTGGAGTGCGGTGGCGCGATCTCGGCTCACTGCAAGCTCCGCCTCCCGGGTTCACGCCATTCTCCTGCCTCAGCCTCCCGAGTAGCTGGGACTACAGGCGGCCATCACCACGCCCGGCTAATTTTTGTATTTTTAGTATAGACGGGGTTTCACCGTGTTAGCCAGGATGGTCTCGATCTCCTGACCTTGTGATCGGCCCGCCTTGGCCTCCCAAAGTGCTGGGATTACAGGTGTGAGCCACCGCGCCCGGCCTATTCCCACAGCTATGTTTTCAAACCAAAAGATGAAAAGCTTTGTGGTAACAGCTGAAAAAAAAAATCACCTCCTCTTGTTGGTCCCTTGTGACAGTTGGTGCTTGTGTCCCAGTAACAAAGAAATAAGATCGCACAAGAGTCATCTAGCACAGGGTTCCTGCCACTGTCCATCACCTTGCACCTGGAAAGCAGGCAGCCTCAGTTTCCACGTGACTGCTGCAAGGCCTCAGACTGTGCCCTATAAGCAGCCCATGCACAGCTTTGCCTCCATCTGCTCAGGCAGTGTTGATACCCTTTCTGGGTCTTGTTGCCCTGTTCTCTCAGGAGTGACTGACAGGACTAGCGTTTAACATTTGATGCAATATCCTCTGCTTTGGCTATACTAACAGATGGCTGGATTCCTTTATTTTTATTCATTTATTTACTTGTTTTTGTTTTTCTTCTTTTTTTTTGAGATGGAGTCTCACTCTGTCACCCAGGCTGGAGACGCCCACAACCACGCCCAAATAACTTTTGTATTTTTACTAGTGACGGGGCTTCACTATGTTGGCCAGGCTGGTCTCGAACTTCTGACCTTAAGTGATCCTCCTGCCTCAGCCTCCCAAAGTGCTGGGATTATAGGCATGACCCACTACGCCCAACCTACCCATCCTACTTTACAGATCAGGAAACTGAAGTTCAGAAACATTAAATGACTTGGTCACTGTAACTCCCAAGTACTGGAGCAGAAATGTAAACTCAAATCTAGCTTCAGAATTTGTGCTTCTTAACCCTAATGGAATCCAAAAGAAACAGCAGGTCCATACAGGGACACAGCACCTAGGATTCCAAGTGGTCTGGTTCTTTGCCACCCACCTCAGGGGATCCCCCATTTGATCAAGTTTTTGTCAAATGCATTTTTCCAGATGGGCCTCGCCTCTGTTAATTTCAAGCTGTAAGTTCAGTGGGTGAGAAGTGGAGACCGTGGTCATATAAAACTTTGCCCATCAATCTTGAGAGAGTAAACCAGCTTCCTCTTAGGAAGAAATAGGACAGCATTAAGAGCAGGAGCAAAGGCGGCAGCAGCTGACCCCGCTGTTTCTCTGGGACCCTTGCCTGTTCCTGGTGCAGTTTGGCTGGACGAGGGCCGGCAGGCTGGCACCATCCACATACCTCGCTGACCACATCTGAAGTCCTTGCAGGGCCTCTGGGAAGGGGGCCAATCAGTCCAGCCACTTACTTGCAGCAAAACAAACAGAAGCTGTCTTTTTTCACTCTTTCTCGAAGGTCAGACTCCAGTTAGCAGCAGTGGAGGGGGGCAGGAAGAAAGCCATGTTCTTGACAGGCAGCAGCCTCAGAACTGACCCTAGCCCCTGACAAGTTCTCGCTTATTAAATTCTCCTTTGTTCTGCTTTCCGCCCCGCCCCAAGAGCCAAACACGCACACATACCACTGTTGACTGCATTTCTGAAGAGCACCTCCCACCAGTTTACACATTATAAAACTGTTCCGTTAAGATCAAACACTGTCAGGGATAGAGAGGTGCTCTACCAAAAGATGACTCATCAAATCGTATCAAAACACTGCACAAAATTAGAGTTCCAAACTTGATTAACTTCATCTGCACCTTTTAATTAACTCAGGATGCTGAAGTCTGGGGGGATGACATTCATTGCTGGAGATGATGGACTAGTGTCTCGGCTTAGGTTCAGGACTTGCCCATGTAATGGAAAAGGCAAACTTTGGAAAAGAGAAACCAAGCACGGTTTCACGTTATTTATAGAAAAAACTGTGGATATGTGAATATACAACCACCTTTACAAAATAATGTAAGCACTCAAATTCAAATTTAATCTCAGTTCATAACATCAGGTTAGCGCTATAACGGGAATCTGGACAGCAACATTATTAATCACTGTTTGTTACATAAACTTCTATTACATTTAACTATTATGCCTAAATCTAATCACCAAGGCCACCGAATAAACCAGTACTTTAGTAGGAAGAAAATAAAGTCACTGTCACAAATTAGCCCCTAATTGCTGGCCCCCAAAAACAGTTCAATTGTGGGGGGCAGGGGAGTTGAATCTATATCAAAACTTCATTTACCTGAGACAGGCCCAAAGCTTTTCTGTGCCAGACACCTCGGCCCCAATTCCCTGGCTCCCTGCAGCTGAACGTAGACTCCTCCCCAGGGTTGGCTCACTTTTGTTTTTTTTGTTTGTTCGTTTTAAGACAGAGTCTCGCTCTGTCACCCAGGCTGGAGTGCAGTGGCGCGATCTTTGCTCACTGCAACCTCCGCCTCCCAGGTGCAAGCGATTCTACTGCCTCAGCCTCCTGAGTAGCTGGGATTACAGGCACGCACCACTACGCCCGGCTCATTTATATACATATTTTTTAGTAGAGATGGGGTTTCACCATGTTGGTCAGGCTGGTCTCAAATTCCTGACCTCGTGATCCGCCTGCCTCAGCCTCCCAAAGCGCTGGGGTTACAGGCGTGAGCCACTGCGCCCAGCCCCCAGGTTGGCTCACTTTATGGAGAGTCGCTATCTCTGGAAACAGCCTGGTAATCTGCTCCACTCCCAGGTGACATAAATTTCCAGAAAAATTGCAAAGTATGGTAGTACTACCTCTTATCCAACAGCCTGTTTCCTAAGGCAAAGCCCTGGGCCTGACATTCAGTCAATTGTTCATTCAATAAATATACACTGAGCAATGACTGTGCCAGGTGCTGGGCTGGGCAGGCGAGGGCAGAATGGATGGTCTACCCTCTCACAGCATTTCAGAGGGCAATCAACAAAAACTACACAGGAGATAACAATGTCCTAACTCGAAAAGGGGCTTTGAGAGAGCCTCAGGGGGGTGCAATGAGGTGCCTTGTCAAGTGACCAGGCCCTCCACAGTTGGCAGAACCACCTCAGTCCTCATAGTCTCTGAATATTTGCCTGTCCCGTCCTCTGTACCTTCTCTCTGCAAAGCCTGTCCCTGGCCTGGACAGCTTTCCAACTGGAGGGCAGCAGCGAAGAGCACAGCTCTAGACTCCCTATTCTTCCACTTACTGTGACCTTGGGCAAGTGACAAGGACCCTGAGCCTCCTCTGCAAAATGGGAATCCCAAGGGCACTTGTGGGGTTTAAAGATTAAATGAACCAATACATGTAAAGCACCCAAGAGTGCCTGGGGCAGTATCTTCCAGGTCTGTCACTGCTCTTAAGCAAAGTCCAGAAACCCAGCTCACACTCGCCCTAGAAAAGCCGATACACTTGCTGTGGTAACCTGTGTCACACAGTAGCTCATTTACCTGCATTACCATTAATTCAGCTGTGGGCTCTGGACACGATACTGCCTCAGATCTCCCTGTCTCCTGACATTCACTCCCAGCACAGTTTTTTCCCTTAGATACCTTACTCACAGTTTGTGATTATTTTTTTCTTTTTTTTTTTTGAGACATGGCCTCAGTCTGTCACCCAGGCTGGAATGAGCAGCACAATCTCAGCTCATTGCTGCCTGGACCTCCTGAACTCAAGTGATCCTCCTGCCTCAGCCTCCCAAATAGCTGGGACTACAGGCATGCACCACCATGCCTGGTGGTTCATTTTTTATTTTTTGTAGAGACGAGGTCTCACCATGTTGCCCAGGCTGGTCTCAAACTCCTGAGCTCAAGTTGTCCACCTGCCTTGTCCTCTGAAAGTGCTGGGATTACAGGCGTGAGCCACCATGCCCTGCCCAGTTTGTGGTTTTATATTCACCTGTGGAAATGAACTAGCACAAGGACTGGCTTGTCTCCTCCATTAGATTTTTATGCTCTGTGGGGCAAAGGCGATGTCACTACTCTATACTGAACACCTGGCACAGGGCTTGCCCCATAGCAGGCACTCAAAAAATATGTCACACAGGAAGCCTGTTTGAAGAATAAAGGATAACTAGGGGAGAAGGGCTCATGACAAAGTGACACAGGCCGGGCAATCCAGAGGCCGGGTGCAGTGGCTCACGCCTGTAATCCCAGCACTTTGAGAGGCCAAGGCAAGCAGATCAACTGAGGTCAGGAGTTTGAGACCAGCCTGGCCAACATGGTGAAACCCCGTCTCTGCTAAAAACACAAAAATGAGCCGGGTGTTGTGGCAGGCACCTGTAGTCCCAGCTACTTGGGAGGCTGAGGTACGAGAATTGCTTGAACCCAGGAGGCAGAGGCTGTGGTGAGCTGACATTGCACCACTGCACTCCAGCTGGGTGACAAAGCGAGACCCTGGCTCAGAAAAAAAATAAAGTGACACAAGCTCCTGGAAATCCAAAGCAGACCTGGTCTGTTACTGACTGAATTGAAAAGTGTTCAAGCTATCTGGGATGGTTCTGTTTCTTATCAAGTGTTACAAACATGCTACACATGGAATACTCAGCAAGAAAAAAAGAAAAAAGCAGCAGCAGATACACAGGGCACCATGTCTGTCCTCAACAGGGAAACCCAATAGGAGTCCCACTTTCACCGTTGCATCTGAGGGCTAGGGTGCAGAACAGTCCATAGGTGTGAAGCTCAGAGGAGTGACATAGCTGGGCTGGGGGAGGAGGTAGGGACACTTCACGGAAGCCACTCTGATTCTGGCTCTCCTGGCCTCTAACCATTCACGGCATCTTGCCATCTGCTCAGTTCACCTCCACATTACTTTCCTTTGTTTACCTCATTCTGTTTTCCTCTTTAACCCAGAAACTTAAAAGTATGTGTGTGCATGTATTCAGTCATCCACTCTTCAAAAATCACTTCCTGAGCACCCCCCCTCCACCCCTACCCTATGCTAGCTGTGGTGGGGACCCAGAAGCGACCCAGACAGCCCCAGGCCTTGCCCTCACACGCGGAGCTCACAGTCTCTAGAGGGCAGGCTCGTAAGCCTCTGTCTGTCGCCACAGCCACACAGTACTTTCATGTCTTTCTCTAGAAAACTTCACCTCTGGAGTGGCCGCCCATGAAGACTACTCTGAAATGCCCCTTTTTGTGCTCCAAAAGTCCTGCCCACGCTTTCGTCTTTGCAATGAAACCCAGTCTATGACCTCACCAGGCATCAGCTCAGAAGAGGGAAAGAAGCTGTGCCTCGCTATTTGCATCTCACTCTCTACTGAAGAGGTTCCGAGGCGCCGGATGAAAGTTGTTGATGGGGAAAAGGAGCATGCACTTTCTCAGAAACGAGCTCAAAAACAAGATGCCATTTTTTGCTTACCAAATTAAAGACCAGGATGACTCAACCCAAGCAAGAAGGCTGAGGGACCTGCACCCTCACCCACAGCAGAGGGGAGCACGAATGCTCAATGAACCATGTAAAAATGTGGTATTAAGGATCCCTATAAAAGGTCCTGACCCTTACCCGCTGAATGAATTACCTATAAATGTTCACTGCAGTGTTGTTTACACAGGATGTCAGGGAGCAGAAGTGTTTGAATTTTGGGTATTTTCAGATTTTGAAATATTTGCATTGTACTTACCAATAGAGCACCCCAAATCTAAGAATCCCAAATCCAAAATGCTCCAATGAGCTTTTATTATTTTTTTTTTATTTTTATTTTTGAGACAGAGTCTCTCTCTGTTGCCCAGGCTGGAATGCAGTGGCGGGATCTCGGCTCACCGCAAGCTGTGCCTCCTGGGTTCAAGTGATTCTCCTGCTTCAGCCTCCCTAGTAGCTGGGACTACAGGCACCCACCACTACACCTGGTCAATTTTTGTATTTTTAGTAGAGACGGGGTTTCACCATGTTAGCCAGGCTGGTCTTGAACTCCTGACCTCAGGTGATCCACCCACCTAGGCCTCCCAAAGTGCTGGGATTACAGGCATGAGCCACCACGCCCGGGGCCAATAAGCATTTTTTTGAGTGTTATGTCGGCACTCAAAACATTTCAGATTTTGGGGGCTTGGTGCGGTGGCTCATGCCTGTAATCCCAGCACTTTGGGAGGCTGAGATGGGTGGATCACTTGAGGTCAGTAGTTCAAGATCAGGCTGGCCAACATAGTGAAACCCTGTCTCTACTAAAAATACAAAAATTAGCCGGGTGTGGTGGCACACGTCTGTAATCCCAGGTACTCAGGAGACTAAGGCAGGAGAATCACTTGAACCCAGGAGGCGGAGGTTGCAGTGAGCAGAGATGGGGCTACTGTACTCTAGCCTGGGAGACACAGTGAGACTCTGTCTCAAAAAAACAAAAATAGGCTGGGCGCAGTAGCTCAGCCTGTAATCCCAGCACTTTGGTAGACAGAGGTGGGAGGATTACTTGAGGTCAGGAGTTCAGGATCAGCCTGGCCAACACGGTGAAACCTCGTGTCCACTAAAAATACAAAAAATTAGCCAGGCATGGTGGCGGGCACCTGTAATCCCAGCTACTTGGGAAGCTGAGGCAGGAAAATCACTTGAACCTGGGAGGTGGAGGTCGCAGTGAGCCGACACACCACCGCACTCCAACCTGGGTGACAGAGCAAGACTCTGTCTCAAAAATAAGTAAACAAATAAAAATGAAAAATAAAAAAAAATTCAGATTTTGGGTTCTTGGATTTAGACACTCAGTCTGTACCACATATAAAGACATATTGACAGAATGGAATATTACATGGCTATTAAAAAACTATGTTGAAACAGAGATTTTAGACACATGTTTTTTGCAACATTTAGGTTTTTTTAAAAAGCATATAATGGCCGGGCATGGTACCTTCCAAGTACGCCTATAATCCCAGTACTTGGAAGGCCGAGGCGGGTGGATCACCCGAGGTCAGGAGTTCGAGAGCAGCCTGGCCAACATGGTGAAACCTCATCTCTACTAAAACTACAAAAATTAGCTGGGCATGGTGGTGGGCACCTGTAATTCCAGCTACTTGGGGGCTGAGGCAGGAGAATCGCTTGAACTTGGGAGGTAGAGGTTTCAGTGAGCTATCACACCACTGCACTCCAGCCTGGGGGACAGAGTGAGACTGTCTCAAAAACAAAACAAAACAAAACAAAACAAAACAAAACAAAACAAAAACAAAACAAAAACAAAAAAAACCCCACAACCATGTCATATCCTACATTCAGACTGAGCTCTCCTACGTAAAAAAATACGACAGAACGAGGCCGGCAGTGGTGGCTCACGCCTGTAATCCCAGCACTTTGGGAGGCTGAGGTGGGTGGATCACCTGAGGTCAGGAGTTCAAGAGTAGCCTGGCCAACGTGGTGAAACCCCATCTCTACTAAAAATACAAAAACTAAATGGGCATGGTGGCGGGTGCCTGTCATCCCAGCTACTCGGGAAGTTGAGGCAGGAGAATCGCTTGAACCCAGGAGGTGGAGGTTGCAATGAGCCAAAATCACACCATTGCACTCCAGCCTGGGCGACAAGAGCAAGACTCCATCTAAAAAACAAACAAACAAGCAAAAAACAAAAAAGACAGAATGAGGTAGGTACAACTGTTACCACCCCCATTTTAGTGGTAGGAAAACTGGGGCTTAGGAGAGGCTTATGGTCACGACGGATTTAAAAGTCACCACATTCTTAACCTCTACGTTATAGTGTCACCTTTGGAAAAGAGAAGAAACAGAAGACATGCCAATTTTTACAAAAATCACTTTAAAATGGATTTGGCTCCCCTAACCCAGAGCCCATCAATTTAAAATAATACAAACCACCATTTCAGACTAGCCCCAGCCCAATATTCTATTCCTTTCCTTAAAAATGTCAGGCGATTCCAGAGCTTGACTCTCACCTTTAAGGTGAAACATTCTAACTAGTATGAAAAAACTAATTTACAAAAAGGAAAAAAAAATCTAAAAGTCACAGGGAAATAATGTGGACAACAAGAATAAACTTCCATGGGCCCCTAATGCATTGCTTTGCCAACCACACCCTCTGGTCACAGAACTGTTCTGACAGAGCCCTCTACATTCAGAGCCACCCTGCCTGGTCACAAGCAGCAGGGAGAGAGGGTCTTGTCTCCAGCCCAGCACTTGAGCAGCACATGACCTTGACTCTAGGCATCTGCTGCTCTCTGCCAACCCCTCTTGCCGAGGGAAGATGGCACAGGACATTCCCGTGACTGTTGTCTGACAGTCAGAGAAAAGATGTGAGGCTTTAAACAAGAATTGCAGCTGGGCCTTGGGGCCTGTGAGCAGCTCAAACACAGGCTACTGCCAAGTGGGTGGGGGAGTGGGGGAGATGTGGGCCTGCTAAGAAAAAAAGCAAGGCAGGTTGCTGACAATGTTGCCCATTATTGTAATCTGATCTTGGTGGGCCTCAGTTTCCCATCTGCAAAAGTGGAATAAGAAAATGTCACGAGGTGCCTGTGAAGTTTAGACAAAATAATCATCATAATGGTATTATTAGTAATGCTAATAATTAAAGTCTGACTGAGCACTTTGTTGGGCGATGCTTAAACACAAGGCCCTGGGGATGACAGTGTGACAGCTCTGGCTCGTTTAGACTCTAACACTTACTGCGTGTGATGACCCTGGACAAATGACTTAGCCCTTCCAAGATTCAATTTCCTCATGTGAAAACAGGACAAGACCTGATCTAGTAAGGCTGTCATGAAGATTTAATATGATCACAATGCATGTAAAGTACGTGAACCGGTCAGGCACAGTGGCTCACGCCTGTAATCCCAGCACTTTGGGAGGCCAAGGTGGGTGGATCACCTGAGGTCAAGAGTTTGAGACCAGCCTGGCCAACATGGTGAAAGCCCATCTCCACTAAAAATACAAAAATTAGCCGGACGTGGTGGTAGGCACCTGTAATCCCAGCTACTCGGGAGGCAGAGGCAGGAGAATTGCTTGAACCTGGGAGGCAGAGGTTGCAGTGAGCCAAGATTGTGCCACTGCACTCCAGCCTGGCTGACAGAACGAGACTGTTTCAAAAAAACAGTCAAAAAAAGAGACAGGGTGTTGCTATGTTGCCCATGTTGGTCTTGGACTATTGGCCTCAAGCAATCCTCCCACTTTGGCCTCCCAAAGGGCTGGGATTACAAGCCTGAGCCACCACACCCCGCCTGTAACCAGTAACTATTAATTCACAATGTGTGCCAGGCCTTCATCTAATCCTTCCAGTACTGTGTAGTATAGACTTGGTGCTGAACCTCTCTTGCAGACCGAGGAGCAGAGTCGGTGACTAACCAGTTCTGTTCTCTCATGAGCTCTCTGCTGTAAGGCACTGAGCCGCATTTGTGGGTCACCTCTGCCCTTCTCCTCACCTCTCCTGTTTCCATGGTGGTGCCTTCTTCCTTTCTGAATGACTGTGGTCTGCATTCTCTACCACTGATAAGGCAGTGGTGTGCGCGCGCGCGTGCGTGCGCGCACACACACACACACACACACACACACACACACTACGCTTTTTTCTTTTTCCTTACAAATTATTTTTAAACATCTGTGGTCATGACAGCAGCAAATCAACAAGCACTCAGCTGCTGCCCCATTATCGGAACCCATTTCCCTGTGGCTGTCTCTTTCTCAGCAGTTTTTGTCATTACTGGACACCAAAAACCCACTGGGGAATGTCATACCCAAATAGCGATGGCTGCCTATGGCCTGCTTTGCAAAGGTTACAAGTTCTAAAATAAGAAGTTTCTTCTGAAGAGAACTAATCACCAAATCCAGCCGGCATCCAAAGACAACGTCATTTAAAAATCACAAAACAGGAAAGTTGGGAGTGTGAATGAGGGGAAATTGAAGAATGAGGAAAGAAAATTTTCTAAATTATCTAACAGGCTGGGTGCAGTGGCTCACGTCTGTTATCCCAATGCTTTGGGAGGCAGAAGTGGGAGGATCACTTGAGCCCAGGAGTTCAAGACCAGCCTAGGCCATGGAGTGAGGCCTCTCTACAATAAAATTAAAAATTTAGCCTACAATAATCCCACCTACTCAGAAGGGTGATGTGGGAGGATCGCTTGAGTCCAGGAGGCTGAGGCTGCAGCAAGCTGTGATCATACCACTGCACTACAGCCTTAGAGCAAGACTCTGTCTTAAAAAAAAAAAAAATTCTGTAAAATTAAAAAAAAAAAAAAAAAAAAAGAGGCCAGGTGCACTGGCTCACACTTATAATCCCAGCACTTCAGGAGGCTGAGGTGGGAGGATCACCTGAGGCTAGGAGTTCGAGACCAGCCTGGCTAACATGGCGAAACCCCATCTCTACCAAAAATACAAAAATTAGCCAGGTGTGGTGGCGGGCACCTGTAGTCCCAGCTACCTGGGAGGGGGAGGCAGGAGAATGGCGTAAACCTATGAGGTGGAGCTTGCAGTGAGCCGAGATGATGCCACTGCACTCCAGCATGGGCGACAGAGTGAGACTCCATCTCAAAAAAAAAAAAAAAAAAAAGGAAAAGAAAAAACAAGAAAAACAAAACAAAAACCATTCTCTTAAATAACCATGAGACAATTATCATAACTGTAAAAATAAATAACATGGAAACAGTACTGCTATCTAACCTACAGACCTTTTTATTTGTTTTTTATTTTATTATTATTATTACTATTTTGAGATAGAGTTTCGCTCTTGTTGCCCAAGCTGGAGTGCAATGGCGCGATCTCGGCTCACCACAACCTCCGCCTCCTGGGTTCAAGCGATTCTCCTGCCTCAGCTTCCCAAGTAGCTGGGATTACAGGCATGCACCACCACGCCTGGCTAATTTTGTATTTTTAGTAGAGATGGGGTTTCTCCATGTTGGGCAGGCTGGTCTCGAACTCCCGACCTCAGGTGATCCACCTGCCTCGGCTTCCCAAAGTGCTGGGATTATAGGCGTGAGCCACCACGCCGGGGCCTCTTTTTACCAATTGTTCCACTAACATCCTTTAGAGCAAAAGAAAAAAAACCTTCCTCTATTCTCAGATCCAACCCAGGGTTACATATTCCAAGAGGCATGAGGTCTAACTGTCCATCCCTAGATTGTTAATTTCATCACTCAGCTGAGGTACAACCTGCCAGGGTTCTCCAATGTCTCTCTATGTAATTCATTTAAAAGCATCTTCTTTTTCGGGGGAGACAAAGTCTTGCTCCCAGGCTGGAGTGCAGTGGTGCAATCACAACTCACTGCAGCTTCGACCTCCTGCGCTCAACCGATCCTCCCATCTCATCCTCCTGAGTAGCTAGGACTACATGCATGCACCACTGTATCTGGCTAACTTTTTTATTTTTTGTAGAGATGGGGTCTCGTTTTGTTGCCCAGGCTGGTCTCAAAACTCCTGGGTGCAAGTGATCAATTTGCCTCAGCCTCTTGGGATTTATAGGGGTGAGCCACCAGGCATAGCATAAAAGCATCTGATAAGGAAACATCTACACTGTTTCACCGCAAACTGTTCCCCATTGATTTTAGCACTTTGATTCTTGATTGAAACAATTGTTACTACTATGGTGATAGTCAAAGATAGACTTTGTTATCTTCATAATTCCTTGTTTACATTAATTGATTATTCTTCTTGTTCTTTTGACATGCCCCTATCATTCTTAGAGCACTTCCTTACTTTCTGGCATAGCAGGATATTCCAAGCTCACCTGTAATTTTCCTACCCCAGATCTGGAAACAGCCATTTCTCCAAGGAACCCTGGTTTCTCTTTAGTGAGGAAAGGTATTAACATCTTGGCATGAGTGCGTTCAGTGCTTCTGGGATGTCTCTGGGCATAAACCCTCTCAACAATTCTAGGAAACAATTCTAGGAAATAAACACGTGTAAAAGTGGATATGCATACACACATACATCTATTACTACATCTACGTATAAGAAACCATGAGTTCATCCAGATAACTTCAATTCCAATCCAATACCACATGGCTCCTTCTAGCCTTTCCCACTGTCCACATTCATAGGAACACCCTTTTCTGACAATAAGAAAACTTGATTCTCACTATTAACACTATACTTACCTATCTGCTCAATCTTAGAAGAACAGTAAGTAGTTTCAGAATTGCTAACCCCTATCACTGTGAAAAACAAACCTACTAGGCCAGGCAAAGTGGCTCACACCTGTAATCCCAACACTTTGGGCAGGAGGCTCACTTCAGCCCAGGAGACAGAGACTACCCTGGGCAACACAGTGAAACCCCGTCTCTACAAATAATACCAAAATCAGCTGGGTGTGGTATTGCATGCCTGTAATCCCTGCTACTTGCCTATAATCCCAGCTACTTGGGAGGCTGTGATGTGAGGATTGCTTGAGCTGGGAGGGAGAAGCTGCAGTAAGTTATGATCGTGACACTGCACTCCAGCCTGGGGTACAGAGCAAGACCTCATCTGAAAACAAAATCCCTACTAAGCAGAGTTCAATATTTATTTAGAGTTTTTCTTTTTTTTTTTTTCTTAAGATGCTCTGTCACCCAGGCTGGAGTGCAATGGAGCAACCTCGGCTCACTGCAACCTCTGCCTCCAGGGTTCAAGCAATTCTCCTGCCTCAGCCTCCCAAGTAGCTAGGATTATAGGAGTGTGCCACCATGTCTGGCTAATTTTTTTGTACTTTAGTAGAGACAGGGTTTCACCATGTTGCCCAGGCTGGTCTCAAACTTCTGAGCTCAGGCAATCCACCTGCTTCAGCCTCCCAAAGTGCTAGGATTACAGGCGTGAGCCATCGCGACCGGCTAGAGATTTTTCTTTCTTTTTTTTTTTTTTTTGGAGACAGAGCCTTGTTCTGTCGCCCATGCTGGAGTGCAGTGGTGAGATCTCGGCTCACTGCAAGCTCTGCCTCCCGGGTTCACACCATTCTCCTGCCTCAGCCTCCCAAGTAGCTGAGACTACAGACGCCCGCCACCACGCCCGGCTAATTTTTGTATTTTTAGTAGAGACGAGGTTTCACCGTGTCAGCCAGGATGGTCTCGATCTCCTGACCCTGTGAGCCACCCACCTCAGCCTCCCAAAGTGCTGGGATTACAGGCATAAGCCACCGCGCCAGGTGAGATTTTTCTTTACTTTGAGGGTATGCAGTCAAAATACTATATTGAACAGCTACTTGGGTTAGCTCCTTTTTCCTCCCTGCTTCAGTGCACAAATGTAATTTGAAATACAGTGCTTAACACATTTTAAAAGAAAAACGCAGGCTATGCACGATGGCTCATGCCTATAAACTCAGCACCTGGAAGGCCGAGGTGCATGGATCACTTGAGGTCAAGAGTTCGAGACCAGCCTGGCCAACATGGCGAAACCCTGTCTCCACTAAAAATACAAAAATTAGCCAGGCATGGTGGCGTGTGCCTGTGATCCCCACTACTTGGAGGCTGAGGCAGGAGAATTGCACGAATCCAAAAGGCGGAGGTTGCAATGAGCTGAGATTGCACCTGCAACTCCAGCCTGGGCAACAAAGCTAGACTCTGTCTCAAAAATAAAATAAACATAAACGAGTAAGCAAAGGCTTTGACCTGGGAAATGGGCTTCCCTTTCCTATGACAGTACTTTCCCCTAACTTGGCTGATTTGAGAAACCTGGGTGCTATAGAAAAATGCAGACATGCAAGTCACTCCTAGCTATCTGGATTCAGTAATGTGAGCTACAAGCAGGCACTCCGCATTTTTCAACGGTTTCCTCAGTGATTCTGACTGATAGATAGATAGATTTCTTTTTTTTTTTTGGAGATGGAGTCTTGCCCTGTCGTCAGGCTGGAGTGCAGTGGCGCGACCTCAGCTCACTGCAACCTCTGCCTTCCAGGTTTTCAAGCGATTCTCCTGCCTCCCCCTCCCGAGTAGCTGGGACTACAGGCGCACACCACCATGCCCAGCTAATTTTTGTATTTTTAGTAGAGATGGGGTTTCACTATGTTGGCCAGGATGGTCTCGATCTCTTGACCTCATGATCTGCCCACCTCAGTCTCTCAAAGTGCTGGGATTACAGGCGTGAGCCACCGCGCCTGGCCAGATTCTGATATTCTATCAATAGGGAAACCACTAGCCTGCTCTCTCCAAGCTCCAGTCCCCTCCGAGGCTCAGCCTCTATCCTGCTGGCCCTGTGCATGTGTTGCTCTGCAATATTCTTCCCTCTTTCCCACCTGGCAAATACCTGTTCCGAGAAATACAGCTCAGATCTCCCCTCCTCTGTCAAGACTTCACAACTCCCCAAAGATGGTCAGACCTTCAGTTTCCTAAGTTCCCATAATAAATTACTTTGATTATTATGGAATAATGCAAATGTATTTAAAAACAGAACAACGAGCCAGGCAGGGTGGTGCTTTCCTATAGTCCCTCTTTGGGAAACTGAGGTGAGAGGATTTCTTGAGGCCAGGAGTTCAAGGCCAGCCTGGGCAACATAGCAAGACCTCCCTGCCCCAATCTGTACAAACAGATTTTTTAAAATAGCTGGACATGGTGGCACACGCCTGTAGTCCCAGCTACTTTGCAGGTCGAGGTGAGAGGATAACTTGAGCCCAGGAGTTCAAGGCTATAGTGAGTTATGATTGTGCCACCACACTCCAGCCTGGAAAGCAGAGCAAGACCCTGTTTTGGGGGGGAAAAAAAACAAACAAAAACCAGGAACAACACATGATAGTTTCTATAGCCCTCTGTTATAGCTGTCCTCACAAGGAGTAGAATTATTTGTTTGTCTTTCACATTGGCAAGAACACTTATTCTATTCCTCTTCCTCTGATTAGTCCCAGCTATGAGATCTGGTACATAGCAGGTGCTCACAAAATGTTTGGTCTAAGAATATTTTCAGCTTCAATTCTGTGGCTCAAAGATGGTCTAAGTACTTTTCCATAACTCATCAGAACAGAGACTGAGCAAGTTAAGATTGCCAAGAATTCTCTGATAAGTATTCTCATCTTGAGATGAAGTCCATTTCTTCCTGCTCTAGGCTAAACCTGTATGTTATTGTTCATGCTGGTAAGTGAATGCTGTTTCCATACCAGACTCGGTATTTTTAGCACTCCTGTTATGATAAACTCACAGTAACCTCAAAAAGAACAAATCAAAGTCATTTTTTTGCCACAGGAAACCAGCTCACGCTTACTGTTTTGCAACATGCCATGGGAGAATAATAAAAAGAAGAGACCTTTTGCTCACAGATGGCGAGGCCAACTCTCAAGACAGTGGAAAAATGCAGCAGGAAGCGTACAGTCTGGCCACTAACTTATTAAGTAAACTGGAAAAACACCCAATATCTAAACATGGCAAGCACATGCATGCGGACAGCAGGTGGCTGAATTGTGAATGGGGCAATAAAAAACATCTACCTGTGAGTGAGAGCCCAGGGCAACATTGGAATCAAAAGCCTGATGGGTGCCACAGGGGTAGGCATGCAGGCAAAAGGACCCTGTGGGGACTCCAGTGGGCACACTACTCTCCCTCTACAATAGGGCAAATGACCAGACAAGCAAAAACCACTCATGCAAAAAATATTTATTTATTGAGCACCTACTATGTGCGCCATTAGGCAATAGTGAAACAAAATCAGGTTTCTTTGTGAGATATTCTTAGGTATGCATCCCAGCCAAGCACCTTGTCCCCACTAGGAATTCCTAAGGCATCGTCAGTCACATTAGTCATGTTCCTAGAAACAATTTTGGAAACAAATTCCAAGCACTGGGAAAAATGGAAAATAAGCATGCCTTTCAAGATGAGACTGGTCATAGATGACGGTACATCCAAAGGAATATAACATCATGCTGCCAAGAAAGCAAAAGAGGCCACTTTTGTATGTATGCTCTTCCCCTACCATTTACGCCATCAAGTGTACACAAGCAAGTTCCCAACCGGTGTTTCACAGTTTGATTACATAAACACAAATGATTATAATTGTTAACCATTGTTCAACAAGATACTAAAAAACTTAACAGTAGTTCTCCTAGAAATTTAGAAGACAAAAAAATGGGAAGGGTTTAACAAAGAAAACTTTTTCTGCCTTCAAAAACTTTGAAGACTTTTTACTATGATGCTTATCTAACAGAAATACAATTCAAATGTTTCTTGGGGAAAAAGAAGACAATTATCTGGGCCTGAATTCAGATAATCTTTGTGTCTAAAACTATCTGCACCAGAGTTTTTTCTACTATGGTGGTGATCCTGTTTCCCTAACTCACAGAACTCCAGATCTGAAATTTAATGAGATATATTAGTTTAGAGATATTTTATTTATTTTATTTTGAGACAGAGTCTCGTTCTGTTGCCCAGGCTGGAGTGCAGTGGCACGATCTCGGCTCACTGCAACCTTGCCTCCTAGGTTCAAGAGATTCTCTCACCTCAGCCTCCCAAGTAGCTGGGACTACAGGCATGTGCCACCATGCCTGGCTAATTTTTGTGTTTTTTAGTAGAGACGGGATTTCACCATCTTGGCCAGGCTGCCCTCGAACTCCTGACTTCAAATGATCTGCCCACCTCAGCCTCACAATGTGCTGGGATTACAGGCATAAGCCACCGCGCCCAGACTACAGATATATCTTAAATATGTTGAAAACTAAGTCCACAGGTAAAACAAACCTCATGGTCTAAATTCTGACTGTCTATAAAACCACGGATATGACTTTCGGCAATCACAACCATGCTCAACCTTGGTCTCCTTATAGGAAAATGGGATAACAACTATACTTCAAAGATTGTCACAAGACTGTGAGAAAATATATCAACTTAGGTGCCAGGAACATGGAAACAAGAGTAGTGCCTACAAAGTTTACCACTCAACTTGGATATCCCCCAAAGCCACCCTGCATCCTGAAATCAGAATGTTACTGAGGCTTGACTTTACAGTAGGCAAAAAAAAAAAAAAAAAAAAAAAATCAAGGCCACTTTTAAATTATTTCCACTTCTAATGTGCTAACTTTGATCTTAAAAATCCTTCCTGATGCTACACAATATGTGATTGTAAATGTTCTCACTGCCGGGCACGGTGCCTCACGCCTGTAATCTCAGCACTTTGGGAGACCGAGGCAGGAGGATCACCTGAGGTCAGGAGTTTGAGACCAGCCTGGCCAACATGGTGAAACCCCGTCTCTACTAAAAATACAAAAATGTGGCCAGGCGCGGTGGCTCACGCCTGTAATCCCAGCACTTTGGGAGGCTGAGGCAGGCGGATCACGAGGTCAGAACATCGAGACCATCCTGGCTAACATGGTGAAACCCCGTCTCTACTAAAAATACAAAAAAATTAGCCGGGCATGGTGGCGGGCACCTGTAGTCCCAGCTACTCGGGAGGCTGAGGCAGGAGAATGGCGTGAACCCGGGAGGCAGAGCTTGCAGTGAGCTGAGATCATGCCACTGCACTCCAGGCTGGGAGACAGAGCGAGACTCCGTCTCACAAAAAAAAAAAAAAAAAAAAAAAAATTTGCCAGGCGTGGTGACATATGCCTGTAATCCCAGCTACTCAGAAGGCTGAGGCAGGAGAATTGCTTAAACCTGGGAGGTGGAGGTTGTGGTGAACCGAGATCGCACCATTGCACTCCAGCCTGGTCAACAAGAGCGAAACTCCATCTCAGAAAAAAACAAAATAAAATAAAACATTGTATGATTATTACTGACCTATACGCTTAAGTTATAATGGTAAATTTTATGTTATGTGCTTTTCACCACACCAAAAAAAAAAAAAAAGAAAAAGAAAAAAGAAAAGAAATTTACTGCACATAGTTTTAATGTTTTGATTACCATATCCAAAGCCCTGGAACTCAAAACTGAAAAAGACAGATAATTAATGCCATCTGGGAGAGAGTGGTAAACATGATAGGATATATTATCCAGCAAAGGGTCATAGGCACTCATGAGACTGTTGCCATAATACCCACTGAGGGATGGAATTAAGGGTAAACAGGCTGGGCGAAGTGGCTCACGTCTGTAATCCCAGCACTTTGGGAGGCCGAGGCGGGTGGATCACGAGGTCAGGAGTTCGAGACCATCCTGGCTAACGCGGTGAAACCCCGTCTCTACTAAAAATACAAAAAATTAGCCAGGCATAGTGGCAGGCGCCTGTAGTCCCAGCTAGTCGGGAGGCTGAGGCAGGAGAATGGCGTGAACCCAGGAGGCTGAGCTTGCAGTGAGCTGAGATTGCACCACTGCACTCCAGCCTGGGTGACAGAGAGAGACTCCGTCTCAAAAAAAAAAAAAAAAGAAAAGAAAGAAAAGAAAGGAGTCAACTGGCCTTTGAGTTTAGCATAATCCAGTGGTTCTCAACTGGGGACATGTGGCAGTGGTGTCTGGAAACATTTTTTGATGTTAGAGCTGGGTGGGGAGATATTACTGGCATCTAGTGAGTAGAGGATAGGGGTGTTACTAAATATCCCACAGTGCACAGGACAGTCCCCCGTGACAGTGTTATCCAGCACAGAATGTCAGTAGTGTGCTGAAGTGAGGAAATCCTGATTTTATCCTCTGCAGTTTCCAGAGTATTTTCTCATCCATCTCAACATCACAGGGGTCATTGAACTGAGGGGACAAAACTGATATCTAGGAGCAAAGTGAATATTCAGTGCAGGTGCTACTGGACATCAGCATCAGAAGTTACGGGGTTGGAGGGGTGGACAGGTGGTTGAGGAAGAAACAGTAGCTATATGACTTCTGTGGCAGGCAGTGGTGCATGGTTGTTCCGAACAAGACTTTGGGCCGGGCGCGGTGGCTCACGCCTCTAATCCCAGCACTTTGGGAGGCCGAGGCAGGCGGTTCACGAGGTCAAGAGTTCGAGACCAGCCTGGCCAACACGGTGGAACCCTGCCTCTACTAAGAATACAAAAATTAGCTGGGTGTGGTGGTGCGTGCCTGTAGAATCGCTCGAACCCAGGAGGCAGAAGTTGCAGTGAGCCAAGATCGCCCCACTGCACTCCTACCTGGGTGATAGAGCAAGACTCTGTCTCTGGGGAAAAAGAAAAAGAACAAGACCTTTGGAATCAAAACAGACCTGGCTTCCAGTGGGCACTGCCATTTTGTTTTAGATGGGTGATCTTGAGCCACTGACTTTAAATTCCCTGAGCCTCAGATTCCCCTCTGTAGCTGGTGGTGTTAATAGCACTTGCCTGAGGGCCTTTGTGAGATGAAGGTGATATACATGGAAAACGCCCGGCACAGAGCAAGTCCTAGAGAACTCTGTCATCCGTGAAGATATGTGCTTTTTTTCTTTTCTCTTTTTTTTTTTTGGCGTGTACACTTTTCAACTCTGGAGTAGATGATCTGTGATTGACTCTGTTTCTCCCCCTTTTTTTTGGAGATGGAGTTCAGCTCTGTCACCCAGGCTGGAGTGCTTTGGCATGATCTCGGATTCTGCAACTTTTGCCTCCTAGGTTTAAGTGCTTCTGCCTCAGCCTCCCGAGTAGCTGGGATTACAGGCGCACACCACCTCATCCGGCTAATTTTTGTATTTTTAGTAGCCCAGCCCAGTTGACTCCTTTCATAAGCAGCAGTTAGAGATGCTCAAGTCAAACCCAAACCTTGGCAAATTAGCGCCATTGTTTCCTGAGGGCTTTCTATGTGCGAGGCAGTGAGCAACAAGCTTCTCCCAAAGGGCCCAGGCACTGTTCCCACATGGAAAAGACTCTGCTCTTACTGCTGGTGCCTCTTCCACACCTGATCCCACTATCAAGAGGAGGCATTTTCTGAGTGCAGCCCACTCACATGCAACACTCATTCCTGCTCAACCCATTTATTTCTACACAAATGGATATTCGGGACTTTCAAATAGTTCATCCAGCTGAGCGTGGTGGCTCACGCCTGTAATCCCAGCACTTCGGGAGGCCGAGGCAGGTGGATCATCTGAGGTTGGGAGTTTGAGGCCAGCCTGGCCAACATGGTGAAACCCCGTTTCTACTAAAAATACAAAAATTAGCTGGGTGTGCTGGTGGGCACCTGTAATCCCAGCTACTCGGGAGGCTGAGGCGGGGAAACTGTTTGAACCGGGAGGTGGAGGTTGCAGTGAGCCAAGATTGCACCACTGCACTCCAGCCTGGGTGACAGAGTGAGACTCCGTCTCAAAAAAATAAATGCATAAATAACATTAAAAAAAATACTTTTTAAAAAACTACCATGCCTGTAATCCCAGCACTTTGGGAGGCTGAGGTGGGCAGATCACCTGGGGTCAGGAGTTCAAGACCAGCCTGGCCAACATGGTGAAACCCTGTCTCTACTAAAATACAAAAATTAGCGCAGCCAGGTGCAGTGGCTCACGTCTGTAATCCCAACACTTTGGGAGACTGAGGTGGGCAGATCACCTGAGGTCAGGAGTTCGAGACCAGCCTGGCCAAGATGGTGAAAATACAAAAAAAATACAAAAATACTAAAAATACAAAAAATTAGCCAAGCGTGGTGGCAGGTGCCTGTGATCCCAGCTACTCAGGATGCTGAGGCAGGAGAATCGCTTGAACCTGGGAGGTGGAGGTTGCAGTGAGCCAAGATCACGCCACTGCTCTCCTGGGCAACAGAGTGAGACTCCATCTCAAAAAAAAAGAAAATTAGCTGGGCATGGTGGTGCCCGCCTGTATTTCAGCTACTCGGGAGGCTGAGGCAGGAGAATTGCTTGAGCCTGGGAGGCAGAGGTTGCAGTGTGCCAAGATCGTGCCACTGCACTCCAGCCTGGGCGACAGAGCTAGACTCCGTCTCCAAAAAAAAAATTAAAATAAAAATTAAAAGTGCCAGGTTTGCCAGGCGCGGTGGCTCACACCTGTAATCACAGCACTTTGGGGGGCTGAGGTGGGCGGATCACGAGGTCAAGAGAGTGAGCCCAACCTGGCCAACATGGTGAAACCCTGTCTCTACTAAAAATATAAAAATTAGCTGGGTGTGGTGGCACGCGCCTGCAGTCCCAGCTACTCGGGAGGCTGAGGCAGAAGAATCGCTTGAACCCAGGAGGCAGAGGTTACAGTGAGCCAAGATCACACCACTGCACTCCAGCCTGGGGACAGAGCGAGACTCCATCTCAAAAACAAACAAAAAAGTGCCAGGTACAGGAAGAACACTGAAAAGCCAACCAATACTTACTAACAGTCTCTTGACCACCAGCAAAGATGGACTGATAAGTAGTTCATTAATAGCAAGAGGAAAAACAACCCCACCTTTCATAAGCGTGAGGATGGTTTTGAGGCAGAGAAAGAATTCTGAAGAGGGGAACAAGCACTGGTGGCTTACGCCTTTAACTCCAGCACTTTGGAAGGCCAACGCGGGGATTTCACTAGAGCTCAGGAGTTCAAGTCCAGCCTGGCTACATGGAGAAACTTCGCTTCTACAAAAAAATACAAAAACTAGCTGGGCACAGTGGCGTGTGCTTGTAGTACCAGCTACTCAGGAGCCTGAGGCATGGGGAGCACTTAAGCCCAGGAAGTAGAGGCTACAGTGAACCATGATAGCGCTACTGCATTCCAGCCTGGGTGACAGAGCAAGACTCTGTCTCAAAAAAAAAAAAAAAAAAAAAGGCGGGGGGCGGTGAAGAGAAGTTGGTTGATCAGGCTTCACATGGTGGCTCATGCCTATAATCTCAGAACTTCAGGGCCTGGGCATCATGGTGAAACCCCATCTCTACTCAAAATACAAAAATTAGCCGGGCGCAGTGGTGCATGCCTGTCATCCCAGCTTCTGGGGACACTAAGACACCAGAATCGCTTCAACCCAGGAGGTGGAGGTTGCAGTGAGCCAAGATTGCACCCCACTGCACTCCAGTCTGGGTGACAGAGCAAGACTCTGTCTCAAAAAAAGAAAAAAGAAAAAAAAAGAGGTTTCTCAATCTGTGACCTGTAACACTATTACCATAAGGTCAACTTGACAGGGAGGTCATTTCAACAAGTAAAAAAAGGAGAAGTCATTAGAACCCAGAGCTCAATGGTAGACCTCACCCCCTTCAAGTGACCACCCCTTTCTCAAGTGATCACTGAGAACTAGCCAATGAAGAATGCCACCCAAGGCAAACATCACAAAACCATCTGGACCTTGCAACCACATTTGCAGAAATCAGAGCCAAAAGCTCTCCCGGGGTAAGTTGTGCTTTGAGACCTCACCTTGAAGGAGAAAGTAGTCGGAGGTCGTGCGCTTCAGAGCAGCCTTTGCTTTCTCACTGCTCCAGTCCACCTCCAGGGCTTCTTTAACAGGGCAGAAGACCACCTTCTGTGGAAAAAAGGCAGAACTGCTTAGGAATAACATATGCTGGCTTCCAATCACAAGGCAGTTGCTCTTCTCTATTGCAGAAAAATCTCATTATTTAAAGTTTACTGACCATTAAAAGAAGCAGGGGCCATTTGATCCAAGAAATGCTTATTGAACACTCACTGTGTGCTTCTGTAGAGGCTGGGGATGGACAACACAAACTCCCTGCACTGAAGGAAGACAGAGCCAAGCTTCCAAAGACCTGCTTCCACTCTGGCCCTTTAACTCTCACTGGGCCAGGCGCGGTGGGTCACACCTGTAATCCCAACACTTTGGAGACCGAGGCAGGCGGATCACATGAGGTCAGGAGTTCGAGACCAGCCTGGCCAACATGGTGAAACCCCCGTCTCTACAAATATACAAAAATTAGCTAGGCATGCTGGCGGCCGCCTGTAGTCCCAGATACTTGGGAGGCTGAGGCAGGAGAATCGCTTGAACCCAGGAGGTGGAGTTTGCAGCGAGCCAAGATCGCGTCACTGCACTCCAGCCTCTGGATGAAGGAGTAAGACTCCTCAAAAAAACCAAAACAAAACTAAAAAACCTCTGGCTGTATTCATACTACAGGAATACTTCCACAATGAGGGGCAAGAATGTAAGTCTAACAATATTCTATAAAACATTTTTGTAATAGTAAACAAAAACAAAAATTAAATGTTTCTTGGCAGAGGAATGGTATAATGATGATGGATGACATAATAAATAACAGCAAGAGAAACAATAAAAGGGATGGGACAATGCTCCAGGTTGTGGAAACAGGAACAGCATTTGCAAAAAGCCCAGTAATAGGCAGAAGGATGGCTAGGACCTACAAAGCTCAATCAAATTATCTTGATAAATGCAATGACATATATTTTACTTTGAAATACCATTTACAAGTCCAGGCACAGTGGCTCACGCCTGTGATCCTAGCACTTTGGGAGGCCGAGGCGGGTGGATCGCCTGAGGTCAGGAGTTCAAGACCAGCCTGACCAACATAGTGAAACCCCGTCTCTATTAAAAATACAAAAATTAGTTGGACGTGGTGGCAGGCACCTGTAATCCCAACTACCTGGGAGGCTGAGGCAGGAGAATCGCTTGAACCTAGGAGGGGGGAGGTTGCAGTGAGCTGAGATCGCGCCATTGCACTCCAGCCTCAGCAACAAGAGCGAAACTCTGTCTCAAAAACAACAACAACAACACATTTATGGCTGAGTGTGGTGGCTCACTTTTGTAATCTCAGCACTCTGGCAGGCCAAAGTGGCATGATCACCTGAGTCCAGGAGTCAAATAACAGCCTGGGCAACAAAGTGAGACCCCAATCTCTACAAGTTAGCTGGGTGCAGTGGCATGCACCTGTGGTACCAGCTTCACAGGAGGCTGAGGCAAGAGAACTGTTTTAGCACAGGAGGTCGAGGCTGCAGTGAGCCAGATCGTACCACTGCACTCCAGCCTGGGTGACAGAAAAAACAGAGAGAGAGAGAAAAAAATACAGACTGAAATATTTGGAAATGACACATGTGGCATCATGCTGGGACCACTTTCACAAATGGTTCGCATATAAACACACATACAAAAAAACAGTTTTTTGTTTTAAACATTTTTTTTTTCCAGACAGTCTCCCCCTCTGTCACCCAGGCTGGAGTGCAGTGCATGATCTCAGCTCGCTGCAACCTCCGTGTCCTGGGTTCAAGCAATTCTCGTGCCTCAGCGCCCCCAGTAGCTGGGATTACAGATGCATGCCACCACGCCCAGCTAATTTTTGTATTTTTAGTAGAGACAGGATTTCACTATATTGCCCAGGCTAGTCTCAAACTCCTGACCTTAGGTGATCTGCCTGCCTCGGTCTCCCAAAGTGTTGGGATTATAGGCGTGAGCCACTGTGCCTAGCCAGAAAAAAGCAGTTCTTAGAACTAGCTACCCTTAAGAAGTTTAAGATAGCCAAGCTGGGGGAACACTGTTAGATCCCGTCTCTAAAAAAAATTATTTTAGGCCAGGCGTGGTATAGACTCTGTGTCTCTATATTTTAAAAAGGTTGGTGGTGGGCGGTGGGGGGGATGCAAATAATTTCAAACTTACAGAGGTGTCTTTCTTCCTCCCTCTCTCTCCATACCCTCCCAACCAGATATTTAAAGAACAGAGAGACAAGATGATAACAGCATAATTTGGGAAGCTAAGTGAACCAAGATCTATCAGTTACCAGGCAGTTTACAAAGCTTGCTAAGGATGCATATAGATTTGACAGATAAAAGTTCAAATTGTTGGCTGGGCGCAGTGGCTCACACCTGTAATCCCAGCACTTTGGGAGGCCAAGGCGGGCAGATCACAAGGTCAGGAGATCGAGACCATCCTGGCTAACATGGCGAAACTCCGTCTCTACTAAAAATACAAAAAAATTAGCCAGGCGTGGTGGCAGGCACCTGCAGTCCCAGCTACTCGGGAGGCTGAGGCAGGAGAATGGCGTGAACCCATCGTGCCACTACACCCCAGCCTGGGGGACAGAGCGAGACTCTCAAAAAAAAAAAAAATACAAAAATTATCTGGGCGCAGGCCGGGTGTGGTGGCTCACACCTGTAATCCTAGCATTTTGGGAGGCCAAGGCGGGTGGATCACTAGAGGTCAGGAATTGGAGACCAGCCTGGCCAACACGGTGAAACCCTGTCTCTACTAAAAATACAAAAAAATTAGCTGGGTGTGGTGGCAGGCACCTGTAATCCCAGCTGCTCAGGAAGCTGAGGGAGCAGAATCACTTGGACCCAGGAGGTGGAGGTTGCAGCGAGCCAAGGTCACACCACTACACTCCAGCCTGGGCAACAAGGTGAGACGCCGTCTCAAAAAAAAAAAAGTTCAAATTGCTAGTGAAGATTAAACAGTCATGTTTAGGTGGCTTTCCTTTAGGAGTTAAATCCATTGTTAAAGATAGTATACAAGATGTTTTCACTGCCCTCAAATCTTTTGGTCAATGGGTCTGTTTGACCTCAAAAGATAAGTCATGAAGTCGGCCTGGTGACATTTTATGCCTGCTATATAGACCACCAGGCCCTTCTCAACAAGTCTGAAAATACACATCAAGTCATTTGCAATATGGTCTGGGAATGCCATCAGAATGAGGAAACACAGTATTACCAGGCAGGTTTCAAAAATTACCAAGAGCTCAATTCGGAGTCTTTGTTGTTTGCCTGACTATAAGCAACGAACCAACTAATATGTTAGGCTACTATATGATGAAACGGAGTTGGGGGTGGAGGTTGTGTTTTAGAATCTCAGTCCCAGGCAGGTCTTGCCTGTTAGCTAACACTTTCAGGGCCTGGGGCAAGAGTATGAATGAAGACCCATATATGATGTCTACATATTTAGTTATAAATCACACTAACAAGCTATTAAATGAAGTATATTGTATTATCCTGTCTTGACAAACTCGCCTTCTTCATAACCACCTGGAAGGCCTGGATCAAATTTGAAATTTTCACACTCCTTAGGAGTTCTGTGCCAGATTAAGGCACATCGGGAAAGCTGGCCCCCATCCGTGCCCACTTCTCTTCCCATGCCTGGCTCTGTCCCACAATACTGGTGGCTCTGCACTTGAGTGTAGCTACCCAGCTCATCCTTTCTCACCAAACCCCCACGTCTCTGGCCTAAGCATTCAGACATTGTGACAAGGCCTGCACTGCACAGGCAGAACAGGGAAGCAGCCCACAAAAAGTCCTGAGAAGCTTGGGGTTGTCTGGGCAGGAGATTTCAGGGGTCCCAGGTATCCAGAGTGTGGTCTACAACTGAGGGAAGAAAGCCACAGGTGACAGCCAGAAGTGGGCACAGGACCCCAACCAGGCCAATCAGATTCTCTCTCCTGGGAACTGAAAATGTGAAAGTTGGAATGCAGAGATGCAGATACACATAATGACAATGCTCTAAAGGGAAAGGCCACAAATTCCTAATGCCTCTGGGATTGCCCAGTGGCCCTGGTCTTTACTACTCCTCTCAGATAACAGTAGTTATTCAGTGCTTCTTACACTCCACTTAACAATCCTTTTGGTTCAAACTAACTCATAACAATTAAAAACAAAACAAAACTTAACCAAGCTGCCTAATCTGTAGCAGCAGATGCAAAAGGTGGTACCTGTCTTACCCACTCCACTGGCATTACGCTTATAAAGAAAAAATACACCCGACAATGCCTTCAGGGAATCAGGAGTCTTTCAGGTGAGGCACCCACAGTGTCTGCCAGGGAGTGGCATCCACTATCCACTGGAATGAACCCCTGAAAACAGGTAACTTACATACCTCCTCTCCTCCACTTCCTCAGCTCAAGAATACCTCTGCCTAGAATGCCTGAGCCACTCTTCTCCACCATCCTTCACATACATTTCTGGGCTTAAGGACTTCAATCAACAATCTAGTTAAGACTAATAACAAGGCCGGGTGCGGTGGCTCACACCTATAATCCCAGCACTTTGGGAGGCCAAGGTGGGTAGACCACCTGAGGTCAGGAGTTCGAGACCAGCCTGGCCAACATGGTGAAACCCCGTCTCCACTAAAAATATAAAAATTAGCCGGACATGGTGGCATGTGCCTGTAATCCCAGCTACTTGGGAGGCTGAGACAGGAGAATCGCTTGAACCCAGGAGGCTGAGGTTGCAGTGAGCCGAGATCACAATCAAACCACTGTACTCCAGCCTGGGCAAGAGAGCAAGACTCCGTCTCAAAAAAAAAAAAAAAAAAAAAAAAAGACTTGGCTCATGCCTGTAATCCCAGCACTTTGGGAGGCCAAGGTGAGTGGATCACAAGGTCTGGAGTTCGAGACCAGCCTGGCCAATATGGTGAAACTCCGTCTCTACTAAAAATACAAAAATTAGCCGGGCACTGTGGCTCACGCCTGTAATCCCAGCACTTTGGGAGGCTGAGGCAGGCGGATCACGAGGTCAGGAGATCGAGACCATCCTGGCTAACACGGTGAAACCCCCTCTCTACTAAAAATACAAAAATAAAATTAGCTGGGCGTGGTGGCAGGTGCCTGTAGTTCCATCTACTCAGGAGGCTGAGGCAGGAGAATCGCTTGAACCTGGGAGGCAGAGGTTGCAGTGAGCTGAGATCATGCCACTGCACTCCCGCCTGGGTGACAGAGAAAGACTCTGTCTCAAAAAAAAAAAAAAAAAAAAAAAAAAAGGTGAATTCTCCACATAGCCCATCAACCATCAAATTTGTTGTCAGGAGCCATTTAGCATAGTAGGAAACTGCAATAACCTCAATAACCTCAATACAATAGGTGACTGGTAAAATAGATTATGGCTAGGCAAGAAGAGGAAAAATGACACAGACATTTAAAATCACGCGCTCCAGGCCAGACGTGGTGGCTCATGCCTGTAATCCCAGCACTTTGGGAGGCCAAGGCGGGCGGATCACGAGGTCAGCAGATGGAGACCATCCTAGCTAACACGGTGAAACCCGTCTCTACTAAAAATACAAAAAATTAGCCGGGTGTGGTGGCGGGTGTCTGTAGTCCCAGCTACTCGGGAGGCTGAGGCAGGAGAATGGCGTGAACCCAGGAGGCAGAGCTTGCAGTGAGCCGAGATTGCGCCACTGCACTCCAGCCTGGGCGACAGATCGAGACTTCGTCTCAAAAAAATAAAAAAATAAAAATAAAATAAAATCATGTGCTCCAAAGCAGATTTGGGGAATGCTTATTGAGTGAAAAAAGCAAAAGACAAAACCATGTACATATATATACACATATACAAGCCAGGTGCAATGGCTCACGCCTGTAATCCCAAAACTTTGGGAGGCCGATGTGGGCGGATCACCTGAGGTCAGGAGTTCGAGACCAGCCTGGCGAACAAGGTGAAAACGCCCTCTACTTAAAATACAAAACTTAGCCGGGTGTGGTAGCACAAGCCTGTAATCCCAGCTACTCGGGAGGCTGAGGCCAGAGGATCACTTGAACCTGGGAGACGGAGATCACGCCACTGCGCTCCAGCCTGGGCAATAAAGCAAGACTCTGTCTCTAAATAAATAAATGGCACAGTACTTGCATATACTCTACGTGCATCCTCCCATATACTTTATTTATTTATTTATTTTTGAGATAGAGTCTTGCTCTGTCGCCCAGGCTGGAGTGCAACGGTGCGATCTTGGCTCACTGCAACCTCTGCCTCCCAAGTTCAAGTGATTCTCCTGCCTCAGCCTCCTGAGTAGCTGGGATTACAGGTGTGAGCCACCATGCCCAGCTAATTTTGTATTTCTGTTAGAGATGGGGTTTCACCATGTTGGCCAGGCTGGTCTCCAACTCCTGACCTCAAGTGATCCACCCGCCTTGGCCTCCCAAAGTGCTGGGATTTCAGGCGTGAGGCACTGCGCCTGGCCTCCCATATACTTTAAATCATCTCTAGATTACTTATAATACCTAATGGAATTGCTATGTAAACAGTTGTTATATTGTATTGCTTAGGGAATAATGACAAGAAAAAAAGTCTGTACATGTTTGGTACAGATAGACGCAATGTTTTTTCCCAAATATTTTATTATTAACATAATTTCAATTTTCTTTTTTTTTTTTTGGATGTACTCCAAGCACACTAAAGATTTTTGATCCACAGTTGGTTGAATCCATGAATGTGAAGCCCATTAATAAGGAGAGCTAACTATATATATTATCTGTATTAAACAGTGCCCCAATTTTGTTGTATATACATAGAAAAATACTGAAAGGAAGGTTATAGTTATCATTTGGTAGTAGGATTAACATTTCATTAACTTGTTCTGCATTTTCCACATTTGGAATTATGAACTTATTTTACTTAAAAAAAAATTTTTTTTTGAGACAGTGTGTTGCTCTGTCACCCAGGATGTACTACAGTGGCACAATCTCAGCTCACTGCTGCCTACACTTGCCAGGCTCAGGCAATCCTCCCGCCTCAGCTTCCCCAGTAGCTGAGACCACTGGCACGTGCTACCACGCCCAGCTAATTTTTGTATTTTTGGTAGAGAAGGGGTTTTAGCCACATTGCCCAGGCTGGTCTCAAACTCCTGGGCTCAAGTGATGTGCCCACTTTGGCTTCCCAAAGTGCTGGGATTACAGGCATGAGCCACTGCACCCAGCCTTATTTTACTTCTTAAATCAGGCCTAACAGTAACAAGTAATATAATTCTGCATATAAAGATGAATATAATCCCCAGGTCCTACCCAATCAAAATTCCTGGGGTAGGGGGTGGGGAGGGTAGAGGGACCAAGAATCTTTAAAAAGCTTTAACAAAGTATTCTAACAAATGACAACCATAATCAAAACACATTTTTCACACTCAGCAGAATGGAAAAAAAACGCCTGAAGTTACCAAATGTTACTGATACATAATGTTGGTTCTAGAATATAAATTGATAAAACCACTTGAGAGTAACTTAACGGGGTCTGGTAAAGCTGAAAATGCCCTTATCTTAATTTTACTCCCAGGTATATACCCAAGAGAAATTAACACAATTGCCCAAGGAGATCATCTATACACACACAAACAAAATGCTTATGCAGCACAATTTGTAACAGCAAATTATGAGCATACCCAAATGCTTATAAATAGAAAAATGGATATAAAATAGTAATGTATTTACACAACAAAGACTCTAGCAAAAAACAAAAATAAAAACAAAACAAAAACCAAAAAGAAATGCCCTGCAGGGCTGTCCAAGAGAACTAGCTGTGATGATGGAACAGAATGTAATCTGTGCTATGCAATACAGATGCCAATGGCCACATGTGCTTACTGGCCACTTGAAATGTGACCAGTGAGACTGAGGAACTAAATATTTGATTTGATTTGATTTTAATTAATTTAAACAGCCAGCTGTGGCTAGTGGCTACCAAAATGGACAGCAAAGCCCTAGAACAACATATAAACAGATGGCCTCACAAACGTGTTGCTTCTCCTTAAAAGCAGGTGGCACCATGCATACAATATAAAACCAATTTTTAAGAAGATAAAAAGCATGCAAAGCAATTCTATGTGTTGCTTGGAAATACATACATAAGTAGTAAGAAGAAATGCATAGGAATGAGAAACCCAACTGAGGAGGGTGGTAACTTCTGTTGGAGGGACAGCCAGAGGGCCTCACCATACCAGTAATGTTTGATGCTTCAAATTGAGTGGTAGGTCTATGATGGTGAGCGAAATCATTCTTAATTTATGCCTAAAATATTGTATAATAAGTTCCATGTCATTGTTTAGATTTATAAACACGTGATAAAACAGGAAGTCAAGCAGGGCTGTATCTGCCCCTTCCAGGTGTCTTTTTTAATCCACACAAATGTACCAGCAGCTCTGGGGTTACTTACCTGGTGAGGGTACAGGGAGAAGAAGTAGAAGATAGAGAAACAGCATACAGATTGGTACAAAAGTACCAAAAATATTTGTGTTTTTAAGGCGGATAGTGTTTGTTTTGTTCCATTATCTGCATTGATGCTGCATATCTTCTTTTGTGCATTAAATGTCACAATAAAAAAAATATAGGCTGGGTACGGTGGCTCATGCCTATAATCTCAGCACTTTGAGAGGCCAAGGCAAGAGGATCACTTGAGGCCAGGAGTTTGAGATCAGCCTGGGCAACACAGCAAGAGATCTCAAAAAAAAAAAAAAACCCGAAAAAATTAGCAGAGCATGGTGGCACATGCCTGTGGTCCCAGCTACCTTGGAGACTGAGGTGGGTGGGAGGATCCCTTTAGCCCAGGAGTTCAAGGCTGCAGTGAGCTGTGTTTGTGCCACTGCACTCCAGCCTGGGCTACAGAGTTACATCCCATCTCAAAAATAAATAACATATAAAATTAAATATATATACAGAGATAAGCTAACATTAGCATCCCCCACCCCAACTAACTCTCCTACCTGGAAAACTTGCTATCAGCATTCCACCTAACTGCAAATTTACACCCCTCGTTGCCCTATTTCCACTCCTTTGAACCAAGTAGTTCTGATATTAATAATTAGCAGGATTGGCCAGGAGTGGTGGCTCACGCCTGTAATCCCAGCACTTTGGGAGGCTGAGGCGGGTGGATCACAAGGTCAGGAGATTGAGACCATCCTGGTCAACATGGTGAAACCCCGTTTCTACTAAAAATACAAAAATTAGGCTGGGCACGGTGGCTCACGCCTGTAATCCCAGCACTTTGGGAGGCCGAGGTGGGCGGATCACGAGGTCAGGAGATCGAGACCATCCTGGCTAACACGGTGAAACCCCATCTCTACTAGAAATACAAAAAAATTAGTCGGGCATGGCGGCGGGCATCTGTAGTCCCAGCTACTCGGGAGGCTGAGGCAGGAGAACGGCATGAACCCAGGAGGTGGAGCTTGCAGTGAGCTGAGATCGCACCACTGCACTCCAGCCTGGGCGACAGAGCGAGAGTCCATCTCAAAAAAAAAAAAAAAAAAAAAAAATTAGCTGGGCGTGGTGGCGCGCACCTGTAGTTCCAGCTACTCGGAAGGCTAACGCAGGAGAATCGCTTAAACCCGGGAGGCGGAGGTTGCAGTGAGCCGAGATCGCACCATTGCACTCCAGCTTGGGTGATAGAGTGAGACTCTGTCTCAAAAAAAAAAAAAAAAAAAAAAAAATGCAGGATTTTGAACCTCTCTGGCCTGAGGGTTCCAATCCAGGCAACTGAGTGACTTACTTCTAAATATTTCTGGGCAAGTCTATTGTCTTCTTTGGTATTCTGTTCTCTCAGCTTAGTTCAAATAACCTAAACCGTGAGAATTAATATACTAGAAGGTTAATTCATTTCATTGGTAACAAAGGTTACTTCAATTACTCTTTTTTAAAATGGAAACAATCAGGCTGGAAGCTGTGGCTCACGCCTATAATCCCAGTACTTTGGGAGGCCAAAGTGGGCGGATCACTTGAGGCCAGGAGTTCGAGACCAGCCTGGCCAATATGGAGAAATACCGTCTCTACTAAAAATACAAAAACCAGTCGAGTGTGGTGGCACACACTGGCAGTTCCAGCTACTCCGGAAGCTGAGGCAGGAGAATTGCTTGAACCCAGGAGGCAGAGGCTGCAGTGAGCTGAGATTGTGCCACTGCACTCCAGCCTGGGTGACACAGCAAGACTCCATCTCAGAAATAATAATAATTTTTAAAAATTAAAAATTAGCCAGGTGTAGTGGATGTCTGTAATTCCAGCTACTTGGGAGGCTGCAGTGAGCAGTGTTTGAACCACTGCACTTCAGCCTAGGTGACAGAGTAGTCAGACCCTGCTTCAAAGAAAAAAAAAAAAAAAGGAAGAAAATAATCTCCAGGGTTGCTGGATTATGCTGCAGTTAACAGCCACCAGTACACTGAACAAATATTCCGTGGATATGACTGTGCTACACACTGGACTAGGAGTCTAGCAGTGAACAAGACTACCTTCCCCCTATGGAGCTTAAAATGGAAGCGGGGAGACAGAGACAAGCAACCTAAGGGCCACCAGCAGTGGAAACCAAGGTACCACATGAAAGAAAAAGAACTCGACTGTTTCTTTAATGACGGGTGTAAGAGAGGATGAGAAGGCTGTCAACAAATTGCTCAGAAAGAGGGAGTCAAAAGAATGAATCACTCCTCAACTGTGGAATTTCTCAACTAATTCATGAAAAGAGTATTAATAGTACTCCAAATTAGTCACCTATTTCAGGAGCAGAGGTAAAATTAAATCTGTATTTCTAGTACAGTCAGGAACAAACCCTACTTTGTCTTTAATTTTTAAAGAGCTATTACAGAGTAACCACTGTCAGGCATCTCATCATCTCTGGCAGCACCTAACACAGATAACTCACAATAAAGAAACGTGAACATGGGAGCATGACAGTGGCCTTTTATCCTAAAGGTTTTCCAGAATGATCCCGATGTTCACATATTTTATCCCACCATCCTCCTAATATGTCACGTTACCCTAGCAACTTCAGGGGTATCCCTCTTTGTAAATCATAGGGTGAGCCTATGCCCTTACCCACTGTCTATGCTCTCGCCCCTTCTTCCACAGCTGTGTGGCCTTGGTCAGGTCACTTAATTTCTCATAGCTTCTTTATCAGCTATAGATGGGGACAACAAGACTGGATGTGATTCCCTGCACTCAACACAGTGCCTTGCACACAGTAGGCATTCTGCAACTCATGGAAGGAGCTGGCTGCGGCAGTGAGGGCAGCCACAGCAACTCTGCCCCTACGTCCGTCTTTCGGTTTATCCTACTTCCTCGGACAGAGCACTGCTCTTGGCTCTGGTGCCTGGAAAGCTTGTCCCTCACATGCCAACACAAACAACTCTTCCTCTGGGAAACCTTTTTGGGCACTTCCTTACCACCACCTCATTGCTGTCTCCTCTGGCTCCTGCATGTCAGTGTCCATGTGAGGCTTGTGCCCGAGACCTGATTGTGACGAAATCCGTCTCAAATCTTCTCCTGAGCACCAAAGGAAGCAAACAAACTACTGAGCACCTATTTCTGGGCTAGGCATTTTCCTAAGCCCTTATTTATCAGAATGGCACAGGTGCTAGAAAGGCCCACCAGCTTCCTAGAGGGTGTGAAAACCACAGGCTGTTTTTCCTTTTTGTTTTTCAACGTTACTAATTTAGGAGCACAAAGTGTACCTTGAAGCAAAAGTGGCTTTACAACCTTTGGTTAAACCTAGGGAAAGCGGGGAGGGGAAGGGAACCCTAACCAGAAAACCTTTCACAGGAAACAGGAAGTAGCTGCTTCCCCACCCCCACCCTGCACTCTCTGAGCACAACCCAACTAGTTATTCTGTACAATTAGGCAAAAGGGCAGCATCTGAATCAAGGAATCTTTGGTGTTGGAAGAGAACCTTGAAATCACAGGGCCATCTGTGCCAAAACGGAAGGAGGCATGTTATTGCAAGGTGACAAAGCCATGGCCAAAACCCAGTCCAGCCCAGTCGGTCCGCAGGGCCCTTGGTGAGGCTGCACAAAGGCAAGGTTTGGAATCCCAGGGATTGTCAGCAGGAATGCACTGAATGCCTCGTAACCTTAAGGGCTTGGGGTTGGAATCCGAGCCTGCATTGTTCAAGTGTAACAGCTGACTAACAATGTCAGCTGGGGAATATTTTGATACCTTCCAGCTCAGCTCCACGTAGGAAGAGGCTGCACAAAAACCTCTGTGCCTGTAGGGCCCTCCGGAATGGTGGGCAAAGGCCTGGGCTGCCCACATTCTCCTCATAGCGAGATAAAGTGGTTCCCAAAAGAGGTTTCCAGATCCACCCCAGTGGGCACCATCAGAACTGACTCCAGGGAAACTTCCAGCTGTGAATGGCTAACAAAGCTAGGCACTCTCTCCATTTGAATGTGAAAGACCTGCCTCAATCAGAGAAGGCCCTTAAGCCATAAAACCCTTCACACCAAGGCCAAGTGTCACACTTGTAAGAGGGTGTGATTTATAAACTGACAGCACCCACAAAGCAGCTTTTGTACTCCTCCGTTTGTTAACAATTTATCTCCCCCCACCAAATTCACGGAGCTATTCAGATAAATCTTGACTGGGCCTCAAAAAGAAAGAAAGGCACCCAAGTTTTGGCCAAAACACCAAGGTTCACTCTGGATAATTATGGTTCTGTGAATAGACACTAAAATTAGGGCTTAATTCCTCTGTATCACACTTACAGCACCAAACTACTCCAACACAAACACAAAATGAGAAAGAAAATCTCCAACGCCGCCTTGCTGGAGAGTCTGAGAGTTCCACTTTTGTGGTTTTCTGCAGTCTCTTTTGTGGTTTCTGCACTCTTTAGAATCCCCTCGTTAGCGTAATTTAACTCAACATTCTGACCAGCTGTTTTTCTTTCTCAACATTTAAATCTACAAAGCAAAGAGTAAATATGGGCTTGGTCATGTCTTTCCTCTCAGTTCAATGAAACCAATTCTGGCCCCTTCATCTTGCTTTCCCCATCGCATGGTTCCCATCTCAGATTCCAGCACTAGCTACAGAAACCATCGTCTTCTGATCCCTTCTCCACTCCTTTCTATAAATGTAATTATTGCACCTAATCCAAATAGAGGCTGAGCCCCTAATATAAACTACATTAACAAATATGAATCTGAGGATTCATACCATCCTGGCCAACATGGTGGAACCCCATCTCTACTAAAAATACAAAAATTAGCTGGGTGTGGTGGCACACACCTGTAGTCCCAGCTACTTGGGAGGCTGAGGCAGGAAAATCTCTTGAACCTGGGACGTGGAGGTTGCAGTGAGCTGAGATTGTGCCACTCCAGCCTGGACACAGCAAGACAACATTGAAGGATTTTTCTTATTAAAGGTTATTTGGCAAAAGGAAAAAAACAGGCAAAGAAAACTTTTTTTTTTGGAGACAGAGTCTCGTTCTGTCGCCAGGCTGGAGTGCAGTGTTGCCGTCTCGGCTCACTGCAACATCCGCCTCCCCAGTTCAAGCTATTCTCCTGCCTCAGCCTCCCAAGTAGCTGGGACTACAAGCAACGCACCACCTTGCCCAGCTAATTTTTGTATTGTTAGTAGAGAAAATACAAAAAATTTTTTGTTTTGCTTTTTTTTTTTTTAGACAGGATCTTGCTAGGTGGCCCAGGTTGGGGTGCAGTGGTGTGACCATGGCTCACTGCAGCCTCCACCTCCCAGGCTCAAACAATCCTCCCAGCTCAGCCTATGAGTAGCTGGGCCTACAGGTGCTCACCATCACGCCAGACAAATTTTTACATTTTTTTTGTAGACACGGGGTCTTGCTACTGTAACCCAGGGCTGGTGTTTTGCTGCTTTAAAAAAAAAAGTTTTCTGGTCGGGCATGGTGGCTCATGCCTGTAATCCCAGCACTTTGTGGGGCTGAGGCAGGTGGACCACGAGGTCAAGAGATAAATACCATCCTGGCCAACATGGTGGAACCCCGTCTCTACTAAAAATACAAAAATTAGCTGGGTGTGGTGGCACACACCTGTAGTCCCAGCTACTTGGGAGGCTGAGGCAGGAAAATCTCTTGAACCTGGGACGTGGAGGTTGCAGTGAGCTGAGATTGTGCCACTCCAGCCTGGACACAGCAAGACTCCATCTCAAAAAAAAAAAAAAAAAGGGTATGGGGCCGGGCATGGTGGCTCACGCCTGTAATCCCAGCACTTTGGGAGGCTGAGGCGGGTGGATCACCTGAGGTCAGGAGTTCGAGACCAGCCTGGCCAACATGGTGAAACCCCGTCTCTACTAAAAATACAAAAAAAAATTAGCCAGGGGTGCTACTTGGGAGGATGAGGCAGGAGAATTGCTTGAACCCAGGAGGTGGAGGCTGTAGTGAGCCGAGATCATGCCATTGCACTCCAGCCTGAGCGACAAGAAAAAATTCCATCTCACACACACAAAAAAAAAAGTTTGGGACAGAGCCTACAAAAGTTTGCATTTCTCATTGTCTTGAAAAATCCCATCTGGAATCACTGGGCCCACATTCCCTCACAGCAACAGCTGGCTGACACTAAGCTGTGGCAGCCTCCCTTTAGATGGGACAAGCACCCGCCCCACCCCTTCAAGAAGTGCTTGCTCTTATCCTTTTCAATCGTCATTGCCTGACCCCTCCAAGGCCCCAGGGTTTCTGACCTCTGCCCCCACGTTACACATACCTTTTTGACCATCGTTGTCTCAGAAGAATCAAGTTTTGCTCTCTTGGTGTCGGGCCCATCTTCTACTCCTTGGCTAACTTTGGCAACTTTAGTTTTCTCCCTAGAGGGTGACAAGGGGAGAGAATGTAATTTTACCCTAGGAATCATGTTATTGGAATCAAAAAAAGCCTCTCCAGGTCACAGATCGGGATGGTGGTTAAGGGCAAAAGCTTTGGAGTCAGATCTCGGTTCAAATCGAGCTCTGCCATTGATAACATGATGAGTCTGGTACACTGTTGGGCACTCAGGAAATTATTGTGGGAAAAACAGAGCAGCGTAAGTTGCTCAGCACACTGCTGGGCACACAGCTGCTCTCAATAAATCAAAGTGATTACTTTGTAAACACTCTACTTGAATCATGAAATAAATAGCCAAACTTGGCTGGGTGCAGTGGCTCACGCCTGTAATCCCAGCACTGTGGGAGGCCAAGGCGGGCGTGTCACCTGAGGTCAAGGGTTTGAGACCATCCTGGCCAACATAGCAAAACCCCGTCTCTACTAAAAATACAAAAAACTAGCCGGGCGTGGTGGTGGGCGCCTGTAATCCCAGCTACTTGGGAGGCTGAGGCAGGAGAATTGGTTGACCCCAGGAGGAGGAGGTTGCAATGAGCTGAGATCACGCCACTGTACTCCAGCCTGGGCAACTGAGTGAAAGTCTGTCTCAGAAAAAAAAAAAAAAAAAAAAAAAAAAAAAAGCCAAACTTAATTCTGCCCCTCTGCTGTGGGCAGCTTATGTTAAAATAATCTGGATTGCTTCCCACTACTATAACTTCTTTATAATATACCCAAAGAAGCCAGGCATGGTGGCTGTAATCCTAGTACTTTGTGAAGCTGAGGTGGGTGGACCACCTGAGGTCAGGAGTTCAAGACCAGCATAGCCAACATAGTGAAACCCCGTCTCTGCTAAAAATACAAAAATTTGCCGGGCATGGTGGCGGGTGCCTGCAGTCCCAGCTACTCAGGAAGCTGAAGCAGGAGAACCACTTGAATCCAGGAGGTGGAGGTTGCAGTGAGCCAAGATCGTGCCATGGCACTCCAGCCTGGGTGACAAAAGCAAAACTCCGTCTCAAAAATAATAATAATAGCCGGGTGCGGTGGCTCACGCCTGTGTAATCCCAGCACTTTGGGAGGCCGAGGTGGGTGGATCACCTGAGGTCCGGAGTTCAAGACCAGCCTGACCAACATGGAAAAACCCTGTCTCTACTAAAAATACAAAATTAGCCAGGCATGGTGACGCATGCCTGTAATCTCAGCTACTCCGGAGGCTGAGGCAGGAGAATGGCTTGAACCCAGGAGGCAGAGATTGTTCTGAACTGAGATGGTGCCATTGCACTCCAGCCTGGGCAACAACAGCAAAACTCCGTCTCAAAAAATAAAATAATAATAATAATAATATGCCCAAAGAACTAGATTATCCTAAAGCCATAAAACACTAGAGTTAGGAGATGTCTGGAACATGACTGTCCTTCCCCCATCTTGATTTTACAGGCAAGAAACTTGGAGACCAGAGAAATTTCAGTGACTTGCCTGAGAGGCTGAACAAGAGAAGAGTTCTCAGTCTCTTGGTAGGAAGCTCCTATCTCACAGAGCCTGTCTTTCCCTCTCAATTAGCAAGTTGGAGGGTTTTGGAGGGGGTGGTCAGAAACTGCAGCCAAAATACCTAACTCATATAGTTTTACAATAATGTATCATCTGCCATCTTTCACCTAGAGACTACAAAGTCAAAACACGGCAAGTCCTGTCATGTAAGAATTACCAAGTTCTGCAGCCTCAGTGTTCAAAATGAGAGGATGAGGTCTGTTTGTTCTACCAGAGGAGTCTCTCTGGATATTGGACACCTTTTCCAAGGTAGACTTTGGTTGAATATGCCTCCAGAATCGCCCAACTATTTTGTAATCATTTTACTATCTCTCAACTTGAAAACATGTCAGCAGACCAGGCGCAGTGGATCATGCCTATAATCCCAGCACTTTGGGAGGCCAAGGTGGGAGGATCACTTGAGCCCAGGAGTTCAAGACCAGCTTGAACAACATAGCATAGATCCTGTCTCTACACATAAATAAATACATAATTTAAAAAAAAAAAGTATAAAAAGGAGAAAATGTTATGTTCTCCCCTCCTCTCCCAACACTTACTCTACAAACTCATGCTCTCCTAGATTGGCAAATGTGTATCCATGGTAGCCAAAAACATCTCCTGTAAAGAACTTGATGCTATTTTTGTGACAGATCTGGTCAACTTTAACTATGACATCCCTGGAGCAGCAAGTCAGACACACCTGCAGAAAGAAAGAAATTGGCTGGGTTTGAGTTTTGCAAACTGTGAATCACTGCCCTGATGTCTAAATAAATCTTAATGAACAGTCTCTCTGGGCATGCTCAAAGCATGTTTCAAACTGGTACAACAGGTTCTTTGGGCCCTATGGCTAGAAGACAAAAGAAAAGTTGCAGGTTTCAATGTGTAGAAAATATAAGTTATGAGACCGTCACGTTCTGCAGCCAAAATAAAATGTGTTTAGCTAAAAAGTAAAAGCCATTCAACAAATGTTTTCTGTAATCCACGAACATATACACATTTCATAGTTCTCATAAAAAAAATAACTTAGCAAGTTGTTTCTATACTGCTAAATCTATTAAAATCCAAATAAGCTACAGGGACAAGCAAAACCAGTTTTTTAAATTGACCCAAAGGTCATGTTTAAATACAAGGGCTTTTTACCCCCCTCCTTTTGATTGATATGTTAAGATAAAGAAGATAAACAAGTCCTGTTGAGATCATTTTTCCACAGATTGCGGTGTGAAACTTTATCTGAATTTAAGGACAAAAGAAAAGGTTACAGACCAAGTGACCTTCCATTCAGGCTTAGACAATGAACTGGTGATCCACTCAGTGGAATTATCAGTGTTGCTCTGGGGCCTCCAGGTTGTATTCCAGTAAGTTGAGGTATTGGAAATGGCTAAGTTCTACTGCACAAAATACCATCTTTTCGGGAGAAGCTTTGTGATCATGGTCAAAAGACAACTTCCAAATTGCACATGCTTTCTCCTGAACAAAAGGACATTTTCACTTGATAGACCCTCTTTGCTGTTGTCTAGCAGCCTGAATACCGAAATAACACTCACAGAGAAATGTGTTCCTTTGGTGTTTCAAAGAATGCAGCCACCCAAGGAAAAATCCCATCTAAAAAGTAAGAAATCCACAGGTGAACATGCAACCAATTGATCAAATGGAACCCTGCAGAGTCTAAAGTAACTATAAAACCTGCAAGGACCAGCCAAACACGGCCTGCAAGGCGGTCAACATGGCCCCATGCACACGCATTACACAATCAACTGGCCTCACACTTCAGTTTTAACAAACCCTCTAACTCTACAAGTTCAAGGGACACCTGGCATAAAATAAATGTGGTTACTACAGATAAGAAAATGAAGACTTATGTCCAAATGGAAAGTGTCCCAATACCTCAAGTTAAAAAATAGAAGGGACTAGGAAAAAGAAAACAGGACAAATGCACAGATGATCCATCCTTCCAAGCCCATATTTGAACAGATGCACATATGAAATAGAAAAGTGTAAAAACGGGAGGCTGAGGCAGAAAACTGCTTAAACCAGGGAGGCGGAGGTTGCAGTGAGCCAAGATCATGCCACTGCACTCCAGCCTGGGCGACAGAGTGAGACTCCATCTCAAAAAAGAAAGAAAGAAAGAAAGAAAAGTGTAAAAAACAGGCCAGGTGCAGTGGCTCACACCTGTAATCCCACCACTTTGGGAGGCCGAGGCAGGTGGATTACCTGAGGTCAGGGGTTCAAGACCAGCCTGACCAACATGGTGAAACCCCATCTCTACTAAAAATACAAAAAATTAGCCCAGCATGGTGGTGAGTGCCTGTAATCCTAGCTACTTGGGAGGCTGAGGCAGGAGAATCACTTGAACCCAGGAGGCAGAGGTTGCCATGAGCCAAGATCGCACAATTGCACTCCAGCCTGGGCGACAAGAGCAAAACTCCATCTCAAATAAAAAAAGGTGCAAAAAAAAAAAACTACCCAACCCAAATTCTAACCTCTCATGTAACATACTGGGGCCTTTCATTTAAAAAACTAGTAGCTCATCTATGACTATTTCACATTTATCAAGATTTGTTAAGCTTTTCCAGAATGCAGGGAACTATGTCTGAAAGGTTGCAGATATTGACAAAGAATTTATCCTTTCACCTCCGCATAGATTTGGCAGTGAAACTAAATGAGGCTGGATATGCCTCATTTGACTTACGACTACAGTGATTTTTCTCTAGTTATCCATGGCAACATGGTCAATGTGACTGTGAGAAACAGACAGACAGACATAGATCAAGATCAGGTGTGCTTTTCTTAAGACAAAACACAAGCTGTAGTTTGATATTTCTAACAAAAAAATGCCGCTGCCACAGAAATTAATCACCAACTTGTTAAGTTTTCGGAAGAAAACATTTGCAATAACATGGATTAAAGTTATGTGCAAAGATTCTGGAAGGAAGACAAAACACCAAAGACGAAACCTGGCTGAGGGAACATATGCCCAGAGAAGAAGCCAGCAGACAGCAAGTCACCAACAACTACAGCAGATGCAACAGACTGGACCTCTCTAGCAACACATTCACACAATATACTAAGCCTAAACAATAGAACAGCTTATACATTTTCTTGGGAAAAAGCTCAGAATTTGATATTTGAATGCTCTCAGATTGCTTTGGGATTTGAAAGTATATACAACTAGCACCTTAATTTGTTTAATTCCCACAGCAGATTTTATAATAAGAAACTTACAGCATCGAATTGAGTGAAAAATGACTCTGGTTTCTTCTCTATATCCTCAGTGTCCACCTTCACATCCACCATGGGGTTGAGATTCTGAGCTCGCTCCAAAGAGGCTTCAGCCCTATTTCGGCCAACAGACCCAGTACGAATCAAGAACTGAGCTCCGGGATCTTCTGGAGTTACCTAGGAATAATACACATATTTTTTTAAGTCTTGTATTTTTAGGGAAAATAAATCTTAAAAAGAATCTTTAAATTTTAAAGGATAGCTAAAATACCTACCACCTAAATTTTTTTTTTTTTTTTTTTTTGAGACAGTCTTGCTCTGTCACCAGGCTGGAGTGCAGTGGCATGATCTCGGCTCATTGCAACCTCCGCCTCCTGGGTTCAAATGATTCTCCTCCTGCCTCAGCCTCCCAAGTAGCTGGGACTACAAGCACGCACCACCACAACAGCTAATTTTTGTATTTTTAGTAGAGACAGGGTTTCACCACGTTTGCCAGGATGGTCTCAATCTCTTGACCTCGTGATCCGCCTGCCTCAGCCTCCCAAAGTGCTGAGATTACAGGCATGAAACACTGTGCACAGCCCTAAAATGTATTACTGTTCCTGTAGCAATTTGCCTTATGCAGGCTTCCTTCTAAGGCTTTAAAATGACTTTAAACTTTTTTTAAACTGGTCATTGATGGTTAAAGAGCACCCCCTTGTGTTTATAAAGAAAATTCACTGTCAACAAAAAAATCCATGCTTTCTTCTTCTATGCAAATTTGTAACTGCTAACAAATGACTGATTAACAGTGGCAAGAATTGACTAAATACTTAGCATGTGCCCAACTATAAGCATTTGGGGAAATACACAAGTAGTTTAAAGGATTAAATCTCTGTCTTCCAGTGGTTTAAAACTAGACCAGTGTGGGCAGGGCACGGTGGCTCACACCTGTAATCCCAGCACTTTGGGAGGCCGAGGCAGGAGGATCACCTGAGGTCAGGAGTTTGAGACCAACCTGGCCAACATGGTGAAATGCCATCTCTACTAAAAATACAAAAATAAGCCAGGTGTGGTGGTGTGTGCCTGTAATCCCAGCTACCCAGGAGGCTGAGGCAGGAGAATCACTTCAACAGGGGAGGCGGAGGTTGCAGTGAGCTGCGATTGCACCACTGTACTCCAGCCTGGGCAACAGAGCAAGACTCCGTCTCAAAAAAAAAAAAAAAAAAAAAAAAAGTAGACCAGTGCAGCCTGGCACAGTAGCTCACATCTGTAATCCCAGCAATTTGGGACGCCAAAGCAGGAGGATCACTGCTTGAGGCCAGGAGCTCAAGACTAGCCTGGACAACACAGAGAGGCCCTCTCTCAAAAAACAACAAAAATTGCAACCTCATGAGAAAACTTAAAAAAAAAATCAAACTTGTGCAAAAATCAGACACAATTAAGAATGCTTGAAATGAACTTTTAAAAAACATAGATAGACTATGGCCAGGTGCGGTGGCTCACGCTTGTAATCCCAGCACTTTGGGAGGCCGAGGCAGGCAGATCACCTGAGGTCCAGAGTTCAAAACCAGCCTGACCAACATGGTGAAACCCCATCTCTACTAAAAATACAAAATTAGCCGGACGTGGTGGCACACGCCTGTAATTCCAGCTACTCGGGAGGCTGAGGCAGGAGAATCGCTTGAACCTGGGAGGCAGACGCTGCATTGAGCCCAGGTCGTGCCACTGCACTCCAGCCTGGGCAACAGAGTGAGACTCTGTCTCAAAAAAAAAAAAAAAGAACTCAGAGAGGTGGAGAGATGAGTGGGGACTGGAACAGAGGAATTATTTCACCCCTAAGGCTGAACATCAGCAGAGCAGAGCCTCAAAGACAGGATAATATAATCCCCTAATAGCCACCAGTAAGATTACAGATTCCATACTGCTCTCAAAGTATTTCTTCACACATCAAACATCTAATTTAACCATTAATCTCTGCAAATAACCTTGCCACCTTCACCAAGACTAGGTACAACAGAAGTAATCTCCCCTCAACACCTCCTACCAACCATCCACAGCACACTCTCTATCTTACTACCTTCTCCTCCAAGAAAATGAGCTGGCCCACTTCCCATTCTAGGCTAACCCTGTATCCTTGACCCATTCCATCCTGCTTCTTCAGGGATCTCATTATGTGCTGAGAAGCTGTACCACACAATGGTTAACAGTAAGGCTCTGAAATAATTCAGGCTGGATTCAATCTTTGATTCAAATCCTGGCTCAACAACTGTGTGAACCTCAGCAAGAATGTGGGAATCCCATATAAAACGAGGACATGGATAAAAACGTACAGTTGAGGGCCACGCGTGGTGGCTCACGCCTGTAATCCCAGCACTTTGGGAGGCCAAGGCAGGCAGATCACGAGGTCAGGAGATCGAGACCATCCTGGCTAATACGGTGAAACCCCATCTCTACTAAAAAATACAAAAAAATTAGCCAGGCGTGGTGGTGGGCGCCTGTAGTCCCAGCTACTAGGGAGGCTGAGGCAGGAGAATGGTGTGAACCCGGGAGGCAGAGCTTGCAGTGAGCCAAGATCGCGCCACTGCACTCCAGCCTGGGCAACAGAGCGAGACTCTGTCTCAAAAAAAAAAAAAAATACAGTTGAGGCTGGGCACGGTGGCTCACACCTGTAAACCCAGCAGCTTGGGAGGCTGAGGTGGGTGGATCACTTGAGGTCAGAAGTTCGAGACCAGCCTAGCCAACATGGTGAAACCCCATCTCTACTAAAAATACAAAAATTAGCCGGGTGTGGTGGCACACGCCTGTAATCCTAGCTACTTGGGAGGCTGAGACAGGAGAATCACTTGAACCCAGGAGGCGGAGGTTGCAGTGAGCCAAGATCTCACCACTGCACTCCGGCCTGGGCGACAAGTGAGACTCCATCTCAAAAAAACAAACAAAAAAAACATATAATTGAGCCCAGAAAGTTCAAGACCAGCCTGAGCAACAATCATGAAACCCAGTCTCTACAAAAAATACAAAAAATTAGCCAGGTGTGGTGGCGTGCACCTGTAGTCCCAACTACTGGGAGGCTTAAGTGGGAGAATACCCTGAGCCCAGGAAGTTAAGGCTACAGTGAGCCATGATCATGCCCACTGCATTCCGGCAAGGGTAACAGTGAGACTGCCTCAAAAAAAAAAAAAAAAAAAAAAAAAAAACCCATACACATACAATTATCATTTCATCACTATCAGTCCACAGATCACACCTTCCTTGCTTTGCTCTCCTCTCGTGCTACACATTCTAGTCTCAATTTGGGCCCTCTTAGGTGTGGCTGTCCCCAAGCTTCCATCTCAGAATTACTTATCTTTCCACTCTGTATAGCTCCATAAACCAACTCAATGCCTCTTTCAGTTTCTACCAAAATCTGCTGTTATTTTTCAAATCACTCTTTCTGGTGCAGATTTCTTCCTGATCCACCTGAGTCTTCTCTACTGTACTGCCCACCAGCCGTTTTCTCTCAGATATCCATAAACCCTACATGTCTGCCTGCTTCTGTGTGCTGTCTCCGGAGTCCACCAGCCACCCACCCAGTCACTCAAGCCAGAAGCCTCATCTTCATATCCTTGCTATTTCCATGAGAGTGGTCCATAGTGAGGTGGCTGAGAACATGGGCTCTGGAGTCAGATGCCTGGGTCCCGGCCGTACCACTAACTACTGGGGCCTTGGATGGGCCAGTACTTTTCTTCCTTTTACTCAGTTTTCCCATCTGTAAAACAGGGATGGTAATGGGTCCTTGATCTCAGATGTGTTGTGAGGACTCAATGAGATAATACAACTGCAGCTCTGAGAACAGTGCCTAGCCCCTTCAGTGTCAGCTGCTCTGGTTATTCCTGGCTTTCCTTAAGCTCCCATACACAGACCTCCCAATTCTACCACCTAAATCTATTTCTCACATCTGTGTGCTTCCTGCCATCCCTATCAGCAAGGCCACTTTCACCTCTCACCTAAACTACTAAAAACTGCCTTCTAAGTGGTCTTCTGCCCTGTATTTTGTGCCAACCATAGTTTATACAGTAATTACTGATCTACACATAAAGCCCAAAGCTAACCATGTCACCCTTCCTGTCATTTGAAACTCTTCAGTGAGTCTGCACCACCCAGAGGATTAAGTAAAAGCTTACAGTGGGGCTTCCTAGGAGCCCCTCCTGACTTGGACTTCACCAGCAACCTGTCCCTACCCACCACTTTGGGTCTCACACTCTAAAAACACCAAACTACTTTTAGCTTCCATTTCTACCACACTGTAGGGTGCCTTTGTGACACTGCTATGTCCCCTGCCTAAAACACAGGCTCTTATCTTGACAACCCTCCTTGTTCTTTAAGACTTAGCTCAGATCAGGACTCCAGGAAATCTTTCATGTACCACAACCTCAGTCAGGGAGCCTGCTATGGTTTCCGGAAAAAAAAAAAAAAAAAAACCTTGAGAATGGGAACCAAACCGTGAGCATCTTTCTATCACCAGCACCTAGCAGACTTCAGGGCACCCAGTAGGTGCTCTCAGATGCTTGTTGAATGTAAACTACATAATACGCTCTAAGATGGGTGCAGTGGCCTCACACCTGTGGTGTCAGAATCGCACTGTTCTGTGATTGGCCTCCAATGTTGGATTCTTACAACCAGATGAAGTAATTATGTAATCCCAGCTACTAGGGAAGCTGAGGCAGGAGAAGTGCTTGAACCCGGGAGGCAGAGGTTGCAGTGAGCTGAGGTTGTGTCACTGTACTCCAGCCTGGGCGACAGAGTAAGTCTTTGTCTCAAAATAAATAAATAAAATAAATAAAATGTCACTGAGGCATGGGAATGTAGAGAGAGCAGCACTTATTTTCACCTTGAAGATGAGCCTGGTCAGAGAAAGCTACATTGGAGTTGGGCTCTACCATTATAATATTAATCAAACAGCATTATGTCAGCAGGGGATGGTAGCTCACACCTGTAATCACCGCACTTTGGGAGGCCGAGGCCAGCGGATCACCTGAGGTCAGGAGTTCGAGACCAACCTGGCCAATATGGTGAAACCCCATCTCTACTAAAAATAACAAAACTTAGCCAGGCATGGCCGGGTGCGGTGGCTCACGCCTGCAATCCCAGCACTTTGGGAGGCCGAGGTGGGAGGATCACCTGAGGTCGGAGTTCAAGACCAGCTTGACCAACATGGAGAAACCCGGTCTCTACTAAAAACGTTAAATTAGCCAGGCATGGTGTTGCATGCCTGTAATCCCAGCTACTCGGGAGATTGAGGCAGGAGAATTGCTTGAACCTGGGAGGCAGAGGTTGCAGTGAGCCAAGATCACGCCATTGCACTCCAGCCTGGGCAACAAGAGCTAAACTCCGTCTCAAAAAAAAAACAAAACAAAACTTAGCCAGGCGTGGTGGTGCGTGCCTGTAATCCCAGCTACTTCAGAGGCTGAGGCAGGAGAATCACTTGAGCCCGGGAAGCGGAGGTTGCAGTGTGCGGAGATTGCGCCATTGCACTCCAGTCTGGGCATCACAGCAAGACTCGTCTCGCAAAAACACACAAACAAACAAACAGCATGTCAGATCATTATTCCTAATTACTGGATACTTGTTAGGTTCAAGCACTATACAAAGCAGTCTGCCCACATTCTCTCTGATCCAGTGTTGTTTGTTTTTGTTTGTTTTTGTTGTTGTTGTTGTTGAAACGGAGTCTCACTCTGTTGCCAAGGCTGGAGTGCAGTGGCATGATCTCGGCTCGTTGCAAGCTCCGCCTCCCAGGTTCACGCCATTCTCTTGCCTCAGCCTCCCGAGTAGCTGGGACCACAGGCGCCCGCCACCAAGCCCTGCTAATTTTTTGTGTCTTTAGTAGTGATGGGGTTTCACCGTGCTAGCCAGGATGGTCTCGATCTCCTGACCTCATGATCTGCCCGCCTCAGCCTCCCAAAGTGCTGGGATTACAGGCATGAGCCACTGTGCCTGGCCTGATCCAGTGTTTTTTAAAGTGATGTCTGTGGACCATCTAAATCATAATCTCCTGAAACACCTTTCATTAATTTATTTCTTTTTAAGGCAAAGTCTCACTCTGTTGCCCAGGCTGGAGTGCAGTGGTGCCATCTCAGCTCACTGCAAACTCCACCTCCCAGATTCAAGCGATTCTTGTGCCTCAGCCTCCCGAGTAGCTGGGATTACAGGTGCACACCAACATGCCTGGCTAATTTTTGTATACTGAGTACAGACAGAGTTTTGCCATGTTGGCCAGGCTAGTCTCAAACTCCTGACCTCAGATGATCCGCCTGCCTCAGCCTTCCAAAGTGTTGGGATTACAGGCATGAGCCACTGCGTCCAGCCCTAAAACACCTTTTAAATGCACATACTCCTGAGCTCGCCTCAGACCTAAATGAGAATCACTAGGGGTGAAAGCTAGGGCACCACGAAGCCTCCAGGCCACTCTGCATTTTCAGTTAGTCACTCAGGTCATTTTTAGGCACAAATTGGAAAAACACTTCTCTACACCTCCTCACAAGCAACCACCAAGGGAGATATTACTAACCCCATTTTACAGGCAGGCAAGCTCAATGAGGGGGTGTGAGTCTCTACTGCTCATCCAGCTAGATGTGGTGGAGCTAGAATTCAAACCCAACAATAGCACCTTCAGTCTCCAGAGGCAATGGTTTATTAATGTTAGCCCTCCTTTCACAGCCCTTAAGGCACAAGGAGGAACTCACAAAATCTGCAGATCTTCATGCTGGAAAGGGGAGCCAGAGCAGGGGAGGAATGAGCTCACAACAGCGCACCTGTTCGTGATCCAGCATGGTCAGTCCTTTCACTCCTGCCAAGATGAGATTCTTGGCAATTTCAGCCCCAAGTCCTTTCAAGCCGACAAGAAGCACCCGAGAGGCCCGCAGCCTGTAAGACAAACATTGTTAACCTGATGATACAGAACAGTGAGCTTGCAGAATCACAGAAGAACAAAAAATACACAAATCATTTTGGTTTGCCAGGCACGGTGGCTCATGCCTGTAATCCCAGCACTTTAGGAGGCTGAGATAGGCGGATCACTTGAGGTCAGGAGTTCGAGACCAGCCTGACCAACACGGTGAAACCCCGTCTCTACTAAAATACAAAAACTAGCTGGGCGTAGTGGCAGGCGCCTGTAATCTCAGCTACTTGGGAGGCTGAGGCAGGAGAATCACTTGAAACCATGAGGCGGAGGTTGCAGTGAGCCGAGATCATGCCACTGCACTTCAACTTGGGCAACAAGAGTGAGACTCCGTCTCAAAAAAAAAAAAATCATTTTGGTTCTAACTGCATTGAGGCATCACACCTCGAATCTAGGAAAGAGACAGGCTCTAATCCATACTGCACAAAACAATTCATTCAACAAATATTTATTGAGTACCAACTATGCCAGGCATCCTTCTATGGTGTGGAAATAAGGCGGTGAATCAGACATAGTCCCTGCCCTCATGAAAAAGTAGGAGACAGATAAACAAATAGATACATAATATGTGAAAAAGTGATGAAAATCAAGTGTGACAAGAATCAAGAATGATGGAGAACGCTATTTGAGACAGAAATCATACAAGCCTTTCTGAGGAGATGCCATATGAGCAAAAATCAAAATGAAATAAAGGACAAACACACAGATATTTGGCAGCAGAACATTCCAGATAGAGAAAACAGCAAATGCAAAAGCCCTGAAGCAGGAGTGCTTGGCATGTTCTAGGGACAGGAATGACAGAGAGGCTGAAAAGTTGGAACAAGGGGCCACATCATGAAGGCTCTTACATGCAATGGAAGGATTCTGGATTTTCTTCGAGGCATGATGGAAAGCCATGGGGGTAGGAAGATGTCACAGTTAAGGTGAGGGAGGATGATGGTGGCTCAAACTAGCATGACAGCAGAAGAGGTGCTGAGAAGAGGCACTAGTTAAGTATAACACACAAGCAAAACACATGGTGGCATGAAAAGAGCATGTACACAGGAATTGCTTTTACCTTTTTTTTTTTTTTTTTAAAGACAGAGTCTCGCTCTGTTGCCCAGGCTGGAGTGCAGTGGCGTGATCTCAGCTCACTACAACCTCCGCCTCCCAGGTCCAAGCAATTCTCCTGCCTCAGCCTCCCGAGTAGCTGGGATTACAGGCGCCTACTGTCACGCCTGGCTAGTTTTTGTATTTTTGGTACAGACGGAGTTTCACCATGTTGTTCAGGCTGGTCTCGAACCCCTGACCTCAAGTGATCCACCTGCCTCAGCCTCCCAAAGTGCTGGGATTACAGGCATGAGCCACCGTGCCCAGCCTTGTTTTTAGCTTTTTAAATCTGTAAAGTGACAGAAGATGAGGCTGAAAAAAGGCAATCAGAGGTCAGGCCATCCCAAGACTTCTCTGAGGTCAGTAGGAAGCAGAATAGGTCAACTATATCTTATCTGAAATCTCTTGAACCAGAAGTATTTCAGAGTCACAATTTTTTCAGATTTCAAAAAGGAAATACAGACTTTACATCATGTATTATGAAACAACTCATCAAGATCTTGGGCTGCATCATGTAACCAAACTCATTAATAATTCTGCAGCAAATGTATTATTCATACTGAAAAGGATTTAGTAATAACTAAGAATAATTTTCACACAATTTAAGTTCTGCTGGTAAGAGTTTGCTATTAATTTAATTAAAAATTAAATAAAATTTAATCACAACATTCCACCCTCGCAAAATGCACCATTTCTTCCTCTCAATGCCTACCTACGCCTTTCCCCTTCAAAACCCAACTCCAATGCCATTTCCTCAAAAAAAGGCTTTTTTATCATGGCTGAGTCAATACCAGCAAGCACTCCCCCTCCCCGAACTCTTCCAGCAACAGCTACATATAAAAAGTCCCTGACAATAAATCTGCTCTCCACGACCTACATTCCTACATAGCTCTACAGACTGCTCTGCAGTTGTTTAAAATTCATTATTCAGCCGGGCCCGGTGACTCATGCCTGTAATCCCAGCACTTTGGGAGGCTGAGATGGGTGGATCACCTGAGGTCAGGAGTTCGAGACCAGCCTGTCCAACATGGTGAAACACCCTCTCTACTAAAAATACAAAAAAAATTATGGCCAGGCGTGGGGGCTCACGCCTGTAATCCCAGCACTTTGGGAGGCCAAGGCGGGCAGATCACTTGAGTCCAGGGGTTCGAGACCAGCCTGGCTAACATGGCAAAACCGTGTCTCTACAGAAAATACAAAAATTAGCCAGGCGTGGTGGCAGGCGCCTGTAGTCCCAGTTACTCGGGACAGTGAGGCAGGAGAATCACTCAAACCTGGGAGGCGGAGGTTGCAGTAAGCGGAGATCATGCCAGTCTGGGTGACACAGCGAGACTCTGTTTAAAAAAAAAAAATTAGCTGGGCATGTTGGTGGCGGGCACCTGTAATCCTAGCTATTTGGGAGGCTGAGGCAGGAGAATCGCTTGAACCTGAGAGGCAGAGGTTTCAATGAGCCAAGACTGTGCCGCTGCACTCCATCCCAGGTGACAGACTCCGTCTCAAAAAAAATTAAATTAAATTAAATTAAATACTCAACTGCCATCAACACCAAATACCATGTTTACGTTTTGTTTTATTGAAACAGGGTCTCATTCTGTGAACCCAGATTGAAGGGCAGTGGCAAGATCAGGGCTCGCTGCAGCCTCAACCTCCCAGGTTCAAGTGATCCCGCCACCTCGGCCTATTGAGTCCTGGGACTATAGGTGCACACCACTGCACCTGGCTGATTTATGGGTTTTTTTTTTTTTTTGTAGACACAGGGTCTCACTATGTTGCCCAGGCTCATCTCCAGCTCCTGGGCTCAAGCAATCTTCCTGCCTCTGCCTCCCTCAAAGTGCTGGGTTTACAAATCCCATCACTTTGGGAGGCCAAGGTGGGTAGATCACCTGAAGTCAGGAGTTCGAGACCAGCCTGGCCAACATGGTGAAACCCCATCTCTACTAAAATTACAAAAATTAGCCGGGCGTGGGCTGGGCACGGTGGCTCACACCTGTAATCCCAGCACTTTGGGAGGCCGAGACAGGCAGATCACGAGGTCAGAAGACCGAGACCATCCTGGCTAACAAGGTGAAACCCTATCTCTACTAAAAATATAAAAAATTAGCTGGGCATGGTGGCGGGCGCCTGTAGTCCCAGCTACTCGGGAGGCTAAGGCAAGAGAATGGCGTGAACCCGGGAGGTGGAGTTTGCAGTGAGCCGAGATGGCGCCACTGCATTCCATCCTGGGCAACAGAACAAGGGTCTGTTTCAAAAAGAAAAAAAAAAAAAATTAGCCGGGAGTGGTGGCAGGCGCCTGTAATCTCAGCTACTCGGGAAGCTGAGGCAGGAGAATCGCTTGAACCCGGGAGGCGGAGGTTGCAGTGAGCCGAGACCGCACCATTGCACTTCAGCCTGGACGAAAGAGCGAGACTCCGTCTCAAAAAAAAAAAAAAAAAAAGAAATACCCAAGTGGGCACAAAAATGATACACATTCAGCAGGGCACGGTGCCTCACGCCTATAATCCCAACACTTTGGGAGGCCAAGGCGGGCAGATCACGAGGTCAGGAGATTGAGATCATCCTGGCTAACATGGTAAAACCCCGTTTCTACTAAAAATACAAAAAAAAAAAAAAAAAAATTGGCCGGGAGTGGTGGCGGGTGCCTGTAGTCCCAGCTACTCGGGAGGCTGAGACAGGAGAATGGTGTGAACCCGGAAGGTGTAGCTTGCAGTGAGCCGAGATCGCGCCACTGCACTCCAGCCTGGGTGACAAGAGTGAGACTCTGTCTCAAAAAAAAAAAAAAAAAAAGATACACATTCACAGCAGCATTGTCCATCTACTTCCCTCAAGTTCCACAAACACCACTCTAGTCTGAGCCACCATCGTTTCTCTCCGACAAAACTACAGCAGGCTGGACGCAGTGGGTCACACCTGTAATCCCAGCACTTTAGGAGGGCAAGGCATGAGGATCACTTGAGCCCATGAGTTCGAAACCAGCCTGGGCAACAAAGTAAGACTCCATCTGTACAAAACAAAAAAAAATTAGCTGGGTGTGCCAGGCGCGGCGACTCACGCCTGTAATCCCAGCACTTTGGGAGGCCAAGGTGGGAGGACCATGAGTTCAGGAGATGGAGACCATCGTGGCTAACACGGTGAAACCCCGTCTCTACTAAAAATACACAAAATTAGCCGAGGCGGTCGGATCACTTGAGGTCAGGAGTTCGAGACCAGCCTGGCCAATATGGTGAAACTCCATCTCTACTCAAAATACAAAAATTAGCCAGGCGTGGTGGCACGTGCCTGTAGTCCCAGCTACTCGGGAGGCTGATCCTAGAGAACATCATCCTTGCTCCCATCCTTGCTCCCACCTTAGGACCTTGGCATTAGTGCTTCCCATTGCTTCTTCCCTCAACTTCTTAAGGGACACATTCTTTAGGTCTCAGCTCAATTGTCACCTCCTTAGAGAAGTCCATACTGGCCACCTAATTTAAAATAGGTCCACATCCTCTTCTATCTCGAATTATGCTACTTGTTTTTGTTTTGATTAAGATGGGGTCTGTGTTGCCCACTGTTTTGATTGAAATGGGGCCTCACTAAGTTGCCCAAGCTAGTCTCAATTGCCTGGCTCAAGTGATCCTCCAACCTCAGCCTCCCCAGTAGCTGGGATCACAGCCACACACCACTGTGCTAAGCTACACTACTTGTTTATATGTTTACTGCCCCCTCCTCCATTAGAATGTAAACTCCAGAAACCACTGTATCACTAGAACCAGTAACTTCCTTGGCATTTAGGACATACTGTTACTCAAATGGCTGTGAATTAATAGACACACCAAAACAAACCTGTGTCCATCAGCAGAATTATAGAAATCTGGTACATAATAAAATAATAATGGCCAACATTTATCTAACACTTACTATGTGCCAAGCACTGTTCTACTAAGCTCTTTGTATGTATTATGTCATTTAATTCCCATGACAATCTAATGGGCTGGCACTTTGTTACCCCTCTTTTGCAGCTGAGAAAACAGGCACAAAGAAGGTAACTTCTGGCCAGGCGCAGTGGCTCATGCCTGTAATCCCAGCACTTAAGGAGGCTGAGGCGGGTAGATCACCTGAGGTCAGGAGTTCAAGACCACCCTGGCCAACATGGCGAAACCTGGTCTCTACTAAAAATACAAACATTAGCTGGGCGCGGTAGCAGGCGCCTGTAATCCCAGCTACTTAGGAGGCTGAGGCAGGAGAATTGCCTGAACCCGGGAGGCAGAGGTTGCAGTGAGTCTAGATCACGCCATTGCACTCCAGCCTGGGCAACAAGAGAGAAATTCCGTCTCAAAAAAATAAAAAAATAAAATACACACACATAGGCCGGGTGTAGTGGCTCACGCCTGTAATCCCAGCACTTTGGGAGGCCGAGGTGGGCAGATCACTTGAAGTGAGGAGTTTGAGACCAGCCTGGCCAACATGGTAAAACCCCGTCTCTACTAAAAATATAAAAATCAGCCAGGTGTGGTGGCACGCGCCTGTAATCCGAGCTACTCCAGAGGCTAAGGCAGGAGAATCGCTTGAACTCAGGAGGCGGAGGTTGCAGTGAGCCAAGATTGTGCCACTGCACTCCAGCCTGGGCGACAGAGTGAGAGTCCATCACAAAAAAAAAAAAAAAACAACACACACACACACACACACACACAATCAGCTGAGTGTTACGGCATACGCCATGCACACACAAAATTAGCTGAGTGATATGGCATACGCCTGTGGTCCCAGCTACTTGGGGGCTGAGGCGGGAGAATCCCTTGAACCCGGGAGGTGGAGGTTGCAGTGAGCTGAAGATCACGTCACTGCGTCACTGCACTCCAGCCTGGGTAACAGAGCGAGAAAAAAAAATTTTAGTTGTAATTGTCAACTATCAATAAAAACTCCAGAAACTTGGCCTCAATTTAAGCAACCAAATCTGCTCTAGGAAGCTGCTTCTTTACTTTATTTTATTTTATTTATTTATTTTTGAGACAGAGTTTCGCTCTTGTCACCCAGGCTGGAGTGCGATAGTGTGACCTTGGCTCACTAAAACCTCTGCCTCCTGGATTCAAACAATTCTCCTGCCTCAGCCTCCCAAGTAGTTGGGATTACAAGCACCCACCACCACACCTGGCTAATTTTTTTTGTATTTTTAGTAGAGACGGTCACCATGTTGGCCAGGCTAGTCTCGAACTCCTGACCTCAGGTGATCCACCCACCTCGGCCTCTCAAAGTCCTGGGATTACAGGCTGAGTCACTGTGACGGCCTTTACTCTCTTTTAATCCACAACAGTCCCTTCACTTATTTTTCCCATGAAACTGACTTTTGGAAGAGAAGTAGGATAACTGTCTTATAAAATGCCCCACAATTTGTACATTTTATCAGCCTGCCCATTTCCAGGGCTTCTGTTTCATAAAGGAACTCCAGTCTCCAGAGTTCTCCTATCCCACCTAGAACCCTCCTATCCCACCTAGAGCCCTCTTAGAGGCAAGTCAATTTGCTCTGTGGAGCCTCCTTCCTCATCTGAACAGAGAAGGAAATCACTGCCCTTCCGACTCCAGAGAGCTGCTATAAGACTCAGGTGAAGGCCGGGGGCTGTGGCTCATGCCTGTAATCCCAGCACTTTGGGAGGCCAAGGCGGGCGGATCACCTGAGGTCAGGAGTTCACAGCCTGACCAACATGGAGGAATCCCGTCTCTACTAAAATACAAAATTAGCCGGGCATGGTGGCACACGCCTGTAATCCCAGCTACTTGGGAGGCTGAACCAGAAGAATTGCTTGAACCTGGGAGGCAAGGGTTGCGGTGAGCTGAGATCACGCCACCATACTCCAGTCTGGGTAACAAGAGCGAAACTCCGTCTCAAAAAAAAAAAAAAAAAAGACTCGGGTAAAAATGCAATCCCACTGCTAGGTATATACCCAAATGAAAATAAATCAGGCTGGGTGTGGTGGCTCACGCCTGTAATTGCAACACTTTGGGGGGCCAAGGAGGGCCAATCACCTGAAGCCAGGAGTTTGAGACCAGCCTGGCCAACACAGCAACCCCATCTCTACTAAAAAATACAAAGATTAGCCGGGCGTGGTGGCAGGTGCCTGTAATCTCAGCTACTTGGGAGGCTTAGGCAGGAGAATCGCTTGAACCTGGGAGGTGGAGATTGTACTGGGCTGAGATCGTGCCACTGTCCTCTAGCCTGGGCAACAGAGCGAGGCTCGGTCTCAAAAGAAAAAAAACTGCAATAAATCCCATGTTTATTGCAGCACTCTTCACAATAGCCAAGATTTGAAAGCAACCCATATGTCTATCAACAGACAAATGGATAAAGAAATTGTGGTACACGAGGTCAGGAGATTGAGACCATCCTGGCCAACAAGGTGAAACCCCGTCTCTACTAAAAATACAGAAATTAGCCGGGCGTGGTGGCGGGCACCTGTAGTCCCAGCTACTAGGGAGGCTGAGGCAGGAGAATGGCGTGAACCTGGGAGGCGGAGCTTGCAGTGAACCAAGACTGCGCCACTGCACTCCAGCCTACTCCAGCCTAGGCGACACGGCGAGACTCCGTTTCAAAAAAAAAAATAGAAATTGTGGTACAAAGGCTGGGCATTGCTGTTCACGCCTCTAATCCCAGCACTTTGCAGGGAGGCAGGAGGATTATTTGAGCCCAGGAGTTGGAGACTAGCCTGGTGAAACCCCACCTGTACTAAAATATTAGCTGGGCTTGTGACACGTGCTATAGTCACAACTACCGGGAGGCTGAGGTGGGAGGATCACCTGAGCCCAAGAAGTCAAGGCTGAAGTGAGTTGTGATCACACCACTGCACTCTAGTCTGCGCGACAGAGAGACCCTGTCTACAAAAAAAAGGGAATGAGATCCTGTCATTTACAACAACAGGGAGGGCACTGGATGTTATTATGTTAAGTGAAATAAATCAGGCACAGAAAGAAAACTTTGCACGCTGTCACTTATTTGTGGGAACTAAAAAAATTAAAACAATTGAACTCATGCAGATAGTAGACTGAGGGTTACCAGAGGCTAGGAAGGGTAGTGGGGGGTGGAGGGGAAGGAGGGATGACTAATGGATACAAAAATATAATTAAATACAATGAATAAGATACAGTATTTGATAGCATAACAGGGTGACTACAGTCAACAATAATTTGTTGTACATTTCAAAGCAACTAAAAGAATATAATTGGATTGTTTGTAACACAAAGGATAAGTGCTTAAGGTGGTGGATACCCCATTTACCCTGATGTGATTATTACCCATTGTATGCCTGTATCAAAGTATCTCACATACCCCCAAAATGTATACACCTACTATGTACTCACACAAAAAAATTTTTAATTTCTAAAAACCTCGGCTGAAAATGGACAAAAAACACTTTAATAAACTCTCTAAGACTGTCTAAAAATAGAGTACAAATTACAAACAACCTCTTCCCTCCCTCCTGCAACCCCCAGCCAATCCTTTTCATGTTCTCCACCAAATTTGGTACAGCTCCACTCCCTCAGAATAATTCCTACCTCCCACAAATTCCATGCCCTGACCCTGACTTGTCCCTTAGGTCATCTCCCACTCAGAGGCCCCCATCCATTCTTCACTGCTTCTCAGAAAAATCATCCCCATCCCTCTGAAAGTTCCCTAACTACATTCCAGTTTAAACCTCACCAACTTTGCCCCACTTCAAACAAAGCTATCTGCTGCCGCAAACCCCTTCGATTAACCCTTCCAGTACCTTAGAATCCCCTCCCCAACCCTTTAGGATCTCAGAACACACCAAGCTTCCTCAAAGTTTCCTCCAACTCACATAAATCCTCTTTCCACTCCATCCAGAAAATAGCAGTCCCTAAAATCAATGCAGTCCACCTATGTCCAGAGGCACATTCTCATCACTTAATTCCCAATCTATTCCAGGTGCCTTCAACCCTCCCACCAATGTTAATGCCTCATGATGACATCCCCCCACCCCATCAAAGAAGACCCCACAGATCTGAAATGAGCCTGAGGTAATTCCCATCCCACCACTGCACCCTCTAAAACCTTCTGAAAGCTCCCACCCCCTCAAACTAAATTCTCCTGACGTGTCTGCCTCCCCAACCCCTCCATTAATTCTATACTCTGTACTCACACAATACCCACCATCACCCAAATTTTACCTCTGAACTCAACCCCTCACATATTTCTACTTAGTTGTATAAAAAAACAAATCTGAGGCCGGGCATGGTGGCTCACACCTGTAATCCCAGCACTTTGGGAGGCCGAGGCAGGTGGATCACGAGGTCAGGGGTTCAACACCAGCCTGACCAACACGGTGAAACTCCGTCTCTACTAAAAATACAAAAATTAGCTGGGCATGGTGGCGGGCGCCTGTAATCCCAGCTACTCGGGAGGCTGAGGCAGGAGAATTGCTTGAACCTGGGAGGCAGAGGTTGCAGTGAGCCGAGACCATGCCACTGCACTCCAGCCTGGGCGACAGAGTGAGACTCCGTCTCAAAAAAAAAAAAAACAAACAAAAAAAACAAATCTGAAACCTAAAAGAGAACTGACTCTTCCCCGACCCCACCAAACCTACAGCTCTCCATATCTTTCAAAATGGCAATTCCATCGTTCCAGGTAGGTGCTCAAGCCAAAAACAGTGGTGTCATCCTGGACTTCTGCCCCAAATTCTGTTCCCTCTTCTACCTTCAAAATATATCCAGAATATATTTATTTGACCCCTTCTCTTGAGTTTCAAGCCACCAATATTTTTATCTCAACTGGATTACTGCAACAGTCCAGCCAGAATCTTTACTTCCATTTCTGACCACTTTAACCTATTCTGGAGCGATCATTTTAAAACACAAACCAGGCCAGGCCGCAGTGGCTCACGCCTGTAATCACAGCACTTTGGGAGCCCAAGGCAGGCGGATCACGAGGTCAGGAGATCGAGACTATCCTGTCTAACATGGTGAAACCCCGTCTCTACTAAAAATACTCAAGATTAGCCGGGTGTTGTGGCACATGCCGATAGTCCCAGCTACTCAGGAAGGTGAGGCAGGAGAATCGCTTGAACCTGGGAGGCGGATTCACTGCAATGGCAGTGAGCCGAGATCGTGCCATTGCACTCCAGCCTGGGCCACAGAGCAAGACTCCGTCTCAAAAAACAAACAAAAAACAGATCATGTTACTCCCACACTCAAAACACTCCAACAGGTTTTCCCACACACTTAGAATAAAAGCTACTCCTCAAATCATTTGGTTCCTGCCACCTTATTTCTCTAATTTGACAATCATGCCTGGGCCTCTGGGAATTTGCACTTGCTGTTCTCTTAGCTAGGAAAGTTCTCCCAGATGACCACAGGGCTCTTTCCCATATAAGTCTGAGGCTCAATGTTACCTCTTCAGAGCCCTTCCCTGGCCAACCTATCAAAACAACCCTCTCACTTCACCATCCTTTAATAACTGACACATATACACACGCTTGTGGATTTTTTTTTTTTTTTTGAGACGGGGCCTCACTCTGTCACCCAGGCTGGGGTGTAGTGGTGTGATCATGGCTCACTGCAACCTCCACCTCCCAGGGGCTCAGGTGATGCTCCCACCTCAGTCTCCTGACAAGCTGGGACTATAAACTTATGTCACCATGCCTGGCTAATTTTTGTATTTTTTTGTAGAGACTGGGTTTGGCAACATTACCCAGGCTAGTCTCAAACTCCTGGGCTCAAGAGGTCCCCTCCCCCCAACTCAGCTTCCCAAAGTGCTGGGATTACAGGTGTGAGTCACTGCGTCCAGGCTAAGTAAAAATATTGATCAATGAGGCCAGGCATGGTAGCTCATGCCTGTAATCCCAGCATTTTAGGAGTCTGAGATGGGGGGAGATCTCTTGAGGCCGAGGATCGCTTGAGCTTGGGAGTTCAAGACCAGTCTGGGCAACATGGCAAAACCCCATCCTACAAAAAAAAAAAAAAACAAAAATTAGTCGGATGATGTGGTGGGGCACGCCTGTAGTCCCAGCTACTTGGGAGGCTGAAGAGGGAATATCCCTTGAGCCTTGGAGGTTGAGGCTACAGTGAGCTGTGATCCCACCACTGCACTCCACTGGGCCACAGAGAAAGAAAAAAAAAAAAAACAAGCTGGGCACAGTGGCTCACGTCTGTAATCCAACCACTTTGGGAGGCTGTGGCGGGCAGATCACTTGAGGTCCGGAGTTTGAGACCAGCCTGGCCAACATGGTGAAAACCCATGTCTACTAAAAATACAAAAATTAGCCAGGCATGGTGGCGCGAGCCTGTAATCCCAGCTACTCAGAAGACTGAGGTGAGAGGAAGTCTTGAACCCGGGAGGCCAGAGGCTGCAGTGAACCGAGGTCACCCAACTGCACAAAACAAAAGACGTCCTGGCGCGGTGGCTCACTCCTGTAATCCCAGCACTTCAGGAGGCCGAGGCGGGTGGATCACTTGAGGTAAGGAGATCGAGACCAGTCTCGTCAATATGGCGAAACCCCGTGTCTACTAAAAATACAAAAATTAGCCGGGCGTGCTGGCGGGCCCCTATAATCCCAGCTACTCGGGAGGCTGAGTTAGGAGAATCGCTTGAATCCGGGAGGCAGAGGTTGCAGTGAGCCGAGATCGCGCCACTGCCCTCCAGCCTGGGCGACAGAGAGAGACTATCTCAAAAAAAAAAAAAAAAAAAAAAAGAATTCCCTAAGCTACTCCACAATGCCCAAACTACGTCTCCTGTCCTATCAAGACACAGCCCCATACCAAACACAAGCAACCTTTTCGGGAGCCTACGGCCGTCCCCCTCCAGCCTCTCCGAGCCTCTCAAGATTCCCATTTGAGATAACTTGCTCCAAAACTCCTCAAAACCCGCATTCTCTCAGACTGGCCCGCCCGTGAGCTCCCACAAGAGTGTAAGCTCCCGTCTGTCCGGTTGGCCAGTCCAGTCTCCCCTGTGTGCAGCACGGAACCAGGTCCCATACCCTCGAATGAATGAACTGCGTCCCTCACCTCACCCTTTCCACGTATCCCCAGCCCCTCTTATCCCCTAACCGCGATCAAACCCCACAATCACCGCTTTCGGGCCTCGGATTTCCTGAGTTTGAATTCTCCCGCTCTCTCAGGACTCCCCAACGCCCCCTTCAGAGCTCCCATCCTTCGGAACGGCCCTCCCAACCACTTCCCAGACCTTCCAGAAACATCCCCAATCAACTCCTCCAGTCCCCCCAAGAGAGAGACGATCCCAGAGCACAGAATTCCCGCCTCCTCCCTTCAAATCACACCTTCCCGCTCCTTCCGGGCCGCAAACGCCTCAGAATAGACGCCCCCTCCAGACCCTAGCGGCCTCAAGCCGCGCCGGCCCTGACCGTTTCTGGGCCTCCAGTCCCCACAGGCGGATCTGCCGGTCATACTGTGCCGCCTCCTCCTCGCTAATGCCGCCGCCAGCCTCCTCCTTCTCCACCATGGCGCCGGCTCTTCCTGCCTCAGCTCCGGTCCCGCTCAAGCCAACCGCCCGCCGGACCCGCGCGCCACCTACCGCCGCCGGCAGCACGCCCGGAGTGCTTCTGCGCATGCGCAGACCCTCCCACGCCTGCGCAGTACCTCGTCCGCGGAGCCTGGGACCAAAAGTACCTCACGAGACTCAAAGGCGATCCGGCGACTGCATGTCACGTGACGGAGGGTCCAACCAATCCTAGCCCCAAAAATGGCGCGGCTTAAGGCCCCGAGGGCGTTGCCCACGTGGTCACTTATGTGGCACTTAAATTCTGCAAATATTTAAGGAGTGCATACTGAGATCCCAGCAATAGGGATGTTGTAAAATAACGGTATTGAGTGAAATCGACAAAGCCCTGTCCTCATGGAGTTTACGATCCAGTGAGAAAAGCCCGAAGAGAAATAAATATAAACCCAGCGATGATAAATGCTTTGGAGAAAAATAAAGCAGGACATGGGGCTACAGAGTAACAGGGGTGGTCAGGGAAGGCTTATCAGAGGTGACATTGAACTGTCAATTTTTTTTTTTTTTTTTCATAGAGATGGGGTCCCTCTGTTGCCTAGGCTGGTCTCCAACTCCTGGCCTCAAGCCATCCTCCCGCCTCTGCCTCCCAAAGTGCTGGGATTACAACCATGAGCCACTGTGCCCAGCCTTTCATGTCCCTACTATGTGTTGCACTTTGTGCCCAGCCCTGGACATACAATAATAATAAAAATGAACACATCTCTGCCTTAGAGGCAGTCACGGCCCAGTGGGAGAGAGGAGCGTTAAGAAAACAGGAATAGGCCAGGCACGGTGACTCGCACCTGTAATCTCAGCACTTCGGAAGGCCAAGGCAGGCAGATTACTTTAAATCAGGAGTTGGAGACCAGCCTGGCTAATGTGGTGAAATCCCGTCTTTAGTAAAAATAAAAAAATTAGCAGGGCATGGTGGCTCACACTTGTAGTCCCAGCTACTTGGAAGGCTGAGGTAGGATAATTGCTTGAATCCGGGAGGCGGAGGTTGTAGTAAGCCAAGATCATGCCTCTGCACTCCAACCTGGGTAACAGAGCAAGACTCTGTAAAAAAAAAAAAAAAAGAAAGAAAGAAAGAAAGGAAGGAAGGAGGGAGGGAAAGAGAGAGGGAAAGGAAGGAAGGAAGGGAAAAAAAAAAAAAACCAGGGATGGCCCCAGGTGGTCAATATAGGGAAACGCTATCTCTATTAAAAATACAAAAATTAGCTTGGTGTGGTGGTACTGAGTCTATAGTCCCAGCTACGTGGGAGGCTGAGGTGGAAGGATTTCTGATGTTAGAATCATAGGCTTTTTGGCAGGGCACAGTGGCTCATGCCTGTAATCCCAGCACTTTGGGACGCCAGGGAGGGCAGATCACGAAGTCAGGAGTTCGAGACCAGCCCGGCCAAGATGGTGAAACCCCCATCTCTACTAATACTAAAAAATTAGCCGGGCGTGGTGGCACACGCCTGTAGTCTCAGCCAATTGGGAGGCTGAGGCCGGAGAATCGCTTGAACCTGGGAGGCAGAGGTTGCAGTGAGCCAAGATCCTGCCACTGCACTCCAGCATGGATGACAGAGACTCCCGTCTAAAAAAAAAAAAAAAAAAGCCACCATGCCCACCTAACTTTTGTATTTTTAGTAGAGACAGGGATTGCACCATGTTGGCCAGGCTGGTCTCGAACTCCTGAACTTGTGATCCACCCGCCTCGGCCTCCCAAAGTGCACGGATTACAGGTGTGAGCCACCATGCCTGGCGGAATCATAGATTTTTATTTAAGAATTGCTTAGGCCGGAGGTGGTGGCTCACGCCTGTAATCCCAGCATTTTGGGAGGCAGAGGTGGGCGGATCACGAGGTCAGGAGTTCGAGATCAGCCTGGCTAACATGGTGAAACCTTGTCTCTACTAAAACTACAAAAAATTAGCCGGGCGTGGTGGCAGGCGCATGTAGTCCCAGCTACTGAGGAGGCTGAGGCAAGAGAATAGCATGAACCTGGGAGATGGAGCTTGCAGTGAGCCGAGTTCGCGCCACTGCACTCCAGCCTGGGCAACAGAGCAAGACTCCGTCTCAGAAAAAAATAAATAAATAAATAAATAAATAAATAATAAGAATTGCTTAGCGCCCGGCATGGTGGCTCATGCCTGTAATCCATGCGCTTTAGGAGACTGAGATAGGAAAATCACTTGAAGTCAGGAGTTCATGACCAGCCTGGGCAACATGACAAGACCCCTGTCTCTACAAAAAAAAAAATTTTTTAATTAGCTGGGTGTGGTGGTGCGTGCCTGTAATCCCAGCTACTTGGGAGGCTAAGGTGGAAGGATCCTTTGAGCCCAGGCGTTAGAGGCTGCAATGAGCTATGATGGCACCACTGCACTCCAGCCTGGACAACAGACCTTGTCTCAAAAAAAAAAAAAAAAAAAAAAAAGCTTAAGATATTTTTCAGATCCTGAATTCCAGCAAAACAGCTGATACCAACCAGTGTGAAGACCCCGCAGAGGAACCAAATCGACAGGAGAATAGAGTTTCTTCAACTCCCTGTTTCATTACTTCACCCTGCACACTTCAACCAACCAATGACCTCCACACTTCAACCCACTCCAAAACCCTTAAAAAGCCCCGAACTCCCTGGGGAAGTGGATTCGTGGTTCCTTCCATCTCCTCTCTTGGTTTTCAGTGGCCCCTATGATTAAACCTCTTTCTCTGCTGCAACCTGGGGTCTCCTACTATTGACTTGCTGCAAGCATTGGGGGGAAGGACCTATTATGATGGAAAAGCTTTCAATAGGCCAGGCACTGTGGCTCATGTCTGTAATCCCAACACTTTGAGAGGATCACTTGAGGCCAGGAGTTTGAGGCTGTCAAACACAGCCAGACCCCGTCTCTACAAAAAAATATAAAAATTAGGCCGGGCACAGTGACTCATACCTGTAATCCCAGCACTTTGGGAGGCATGGACGGGAGGATCACCTGAGGTCAGGAGTTAGAGACCAGCCTGGCCAACATGGTGAAACCCCATCTCTACTCAAAATACAAAAATTAGCCGAGTGTGGTGGTGTGCGCCTGTGATCCCAGCTACCCAGGAGGCTGAAGGCGGAGAATCACTTGAACCCGGGAGGTGGAGTTTGTAGTGAGTGGAGATCTTGCCATTGCACTCTAGCCTGGGCAACAGAGCGAGACTCTGTCACAAAAATAAATAAATAAATAAAATAAAGATTAAAAATTAAAGTTCTGATTCCAAAGTTTTTTGCACTTTGGTGTGCCACTTCCTAATCTCCGGGGAAAATGCCAGTTACAAGATCAAATAACCACTTTGTGCAGGAAACGACATTTAGAATTCAGAGAATGACCCAGCTGCAAAGGGCTGTGTCAAGTATCTTTTAGATAAGCCTCTGAAAATAAAGTGCTGTTTAGTTGCCTTATATTATTAAAGGAAAATGTACATGGATTATAGAAAGAAAAATAGAGGCCAGGCACGGTGGCTCATGCCTGTAATACCAGCACTTTGGGAGGCCGAGGCGGGCGGATCACCTGAGGTCGGGAGTTCGAGACCATCCTGACCAAAGTGGAGAAACCCCATCTCTACTAAAAATACAAAATTTTAGGCATGGTGCCGCATGCCTGTAATCCCAGCTACTTGGGAGGCTGAGGCAGGAGAATCGCTTGAACCTGAGAGGTGGAGGTTGCAGTGATCCGAGATTGTGCCATTGCACTCCAGCCTGGGCAACAAGAGCAAAACTCTGTCTCAAAAGAAAGAAAGAAAGTAATCCTGGGCTGGGCGCGGTGGCTCACGCCTGTAATCCCAGGACTTTGGGAGGTCAAGGTGGGTGGATCACAAGGTCAGGAGTTCGAGACCAGCCTGGCCAATATGGTGAAACCCGGTCTCTACTAAAAATACAAAAAAATTAGCCAGGCGTGGTGGCACATGCCTGTAATCCCAGCTACTCGGGAGGCTGAGGCAGGAGAATTGCTTGAATCCGGGAGGCAGAGGTTGCAGTGAGCTGAGATCGCGCCACTGCACCCCGGTCTGGGTGACAGAGCGAGACTCTGTCTCAAAAAAAAAAACAAAAACAAAACAAAAAAGAAAGTAATCCTGAAGGTCCATGGCATATAGTAATTCGTAATTGGTTAGGGAGTGACCCAGTGACCCAGGTTCTTACCTGTGACTATGCCATAACTCTTGTAAAATGATCACTTTGTTGGCCAGGCGCGGTGGCTCACGCGTGTAATCCCAGCACTTTGGGAGGCAGAGGCGGGCGGATCATGAGGTCAGGAGATCGAGACCATCCTGGCTAACACGGTGAAACCCCGTGTCTACTAAAAATACAAAAAATTAGCTGGGCATGGTGGCGGGTGCCTGTAGTCCCAGCTACTCGGGAGGCTGAGGCAGGAAAATGGTATGAACCCAGGAGGCAGAGCTTGCACTGAGCCAAGATAGCGCCACTGCACTCCGGCCTGGGCAAAAGAGCGAGACTCCGTCTCAACAAAAAAAAAAGAAAAGAAAAAGAGCCCTGAAAATAAAGCTAATTGCTGCATAAATTATTTTCTCCTGTACTTGCAGACTCATTGAAGGTCTAAAAGTGTCTCCCTTTCCTCTCTTCACTTCTACTTTTTATAGTTTCTGGGAAAAATTAAATGTGATGGTATAGTCTCATGTTTGGAAATATGCATCCTTTTAAAAAAACATTTTTATTGGCTGGGCCCGGGGGCTCACACCTATAATCCCAGCACTTTGGGAGGCCGAGGCAGGTGGATCACAAGGTCAGGAGATTGAGACCATGCTGGTCAACATGGTGAAACCCTGTCTCTACTAAAAATACAAAAAAATTAGCTGGGTGTGGTGGCGCATACCTGTAGTCCCAGCTACTTGCGAGGCTGAGGCAGGAGAATGGGTTGAACCTGAGAGGTGGAGGTTGCAGTGAGCTGAGATTGCGCCACTGCACTCCAGCCTGGCAACAGGTCAAGACTCCCTCTCAAAAAAAAAAAAAAAAAGACATTTTTATTGAGGTGAAATTCACATAATATAAAATTAGGCAGCATTTTGAAGTGCACAATTTAGTGGCTTTTAGTACTTTCACCATATTATACAATCACCACCTCAATCTAGTTGCAAAACATTTTCACTATCCCAAGAGTGGTGGCATAAGTCTTAAATGGCCAGGAGTCAACTATGATTTTGCTATGTAAACAATTTCAAAAGAACTGGAATAGTTCAGTGTTACAGCTTAGCATAATTTAGTATAAACAGTCCTTTCCCCACTTTTTAAGTGCTATCTGAGCTTTATTCATTAGGTGATTATTAATTAGGAATGCTATATTGTAGAACATCTTGGCATGTCTGGTCCTTGTCCTCTAATCCCAGTAACAAACCCTTCACCATTGTGACGATGAAAAAAGGTAAGTTTCCAAATTCTCCCAAGGAAGCAATACTGTTCCCTTGAGAACCAGATGACAACCAAAAAACCAGTCGTTAATTTTCCTTAATAATTTCCAAAATGTCCTCTAGGGGGCAACATTATCCCTTGAGAACCAGGTAGACCAATCACTCCTCTTCCAGCCTGGATCTCAGGACCTCTCACCTCCTCAATGAATCTGCGATTGGATTAGCAAGGAAGAAAGGGAAAAAATGCTATGGGTTGGTGGTCAGCAGGTTCCAACAAAATGGAAATGCCTCTCTTTGGCCAATGGTCTCCTCCTTTGTTCTCCAGGCGTTGGTGCCAAATGGTAGTGCTTCTTCCACACTCTGGAGGAACTTCTCTGTGAATGCCTCCTCACTCACAGTGTAAATAACCCTCCCTAGAGCCATCCCAGGAACTGGAGAAAAAACAGGTCTTTCATCAGCATAATTACTGGCCGGTGGCAGTGGCTCACACCTGTAATCCCACCACTTTGGGAGGCCGACGTAGGAAAATCAATGAAGGTCAGGTGGTCAAGACCAGACTGGGCAACATACGGAGACCCCCTTCTCTAGAAAAAAGAAAAAATTCTGGCTGGGCGTGGTGGCTCATGCCTGTAATCCCAGCACTTTGGGAGTCCGAGGCAGGCGGATCACGAGGTCAGGAGTTTGAGACCAGCCTGGACAATATGGTGAAACCCCATCTCTACTAAAAATACAAAATTGGCCGGGCGCGGTGGCTCAGGCCTGTAATCCCAGCACTTTGGGAAGCCGAGGCAGGCGGATCACAAGGTCAGGAGATTGAGACCATCGTGGCTAACACGGTGAAACCCCGTCTCTACTAAAATTACAAAAAAAAAAATTAGCCGGGCGTGGTGGCGGGTGCCTGTAGTCCCAGCTACTCGGGAGGCTGAGGCAGGAGAATGGCATGAAGCCAGAAGGCAGAGCTTGCAGCAAGCAGAGATAGCGCCACTGCACTCCAGCCTGGGCGACAGAGCGAGACTGCGTCACACACACACACAAAATTAGCCGGGTATTGGGCCAGGCGCGGTGGCTCACACCTGTAATCCCAGCACTTTGGGAGGCTGAGGCAGGTGGATCATGAGGTCAGGAGATCGAGACCATCCTGGCTAACATGGTGAAACCCCGTCTCTACTAAAATACAAAAAAAAAAAAAAAAGAAAGAAAATTGGCCGGGAGTGGTGGCGGGTGCCTGTAATCCCAGCTACTCAGGAGGCTGAGGCAGGAGAATGGTGTGAACCCGGAACGCGGAGCTTGCAGTGAGCTGAGATCACACCACTGCACTCCAGCCTGGGCAACAGAGGGCAACTCCGTCTCCAAAAAAAAAAAAAAAAAAAATTATCAGGCATGGTGGTGTGCACCTGTGGTCTCAGCTACTTAGGAGGCTAAGGCTGGAGGATCACTTGAGCCAAGGAGGTGGAGGCTGCAGTGATCTGTGATTGTGCCACTGTACTCCAGCCTGGGCGACAGAGCAAGACCTTGTTTCATAATAATTAAATAATTATAATAATAATAATATCGATGTACCAAGAGCAGAAAGAAACAGGTACCATGGAAGTATTAGCTGACTTATGTGCATTTAAGGAAGTTCAATAAAAAAAAAAAAAATACAGAGACCTGCCAGCCCAGAGATATTTTGGAGGTCCGGGAGAAGAGTTTTGTTAGAATTTTGTTTTTTCCCTAAACACAGGGCAAGCTACTGAAACTTTCATCCCCTATACCCCCATCCTTTGATGGAAAAGGTGGTAAGAAAAAGCCCTTTGGAATTTTGGGGGCAGCTTGTATCATGGCCGGGAGACCTGCTCTCACTCATCAGCGAAGTGAACTGTAAGGCCGGTGGAGCCCAGAGCAAGAGGAGATTCTCTAGCCTGTCCAGGATGTGGTGCAAATGACTCTACCATTTAGGTCTTATAACCCAGCAGATGCACAAAATATGTGCGTGCAGTACAATACACTGTTCTTTTTTTTTTTTTTTTTTAAGGCAGAGTCTCACTCTGTCTCCCAGGCTGGAGTGCAGTGGCACAATTTCAGCTCACTGCAATCTCCACCTCCCAGGTTCAAGCGATTCTCACGCCTCAGCCTCCCGAGTAGCTGGGATTACAGGCATGCCCCATGACGCCCAGCTAAATTTTTTGTATTTTTAGTAGAAATGGATATTCACCATGTTGGTCAGGCTGGTCTCGAACTCCTGACCTCAAGTGATCTGCCCACCTAGGAATCCCAAAGTACTGGGATTACAGGCATGAGCCACCAGCCACCGTGCCTGGCCCCTGTCTTCTTTTATTATGGACATTTAAGCAGTTCCCAGTTAGGGGCATTTTTTGTTTGTTTGTTTGTTTTTGATAAGGAATCTGGCTGTGTCACCCAGGCTAGAGTGCAGTGGCACAATCTTGGCTGACTGCAACCTCCGCCTCCTGGATTCAAGCGATTCTCCTGCCTCAGCCTCCCGAGGAGCTGGGATTATAGGTGCCCACCACCACGTCCAGCTAATTTTTGTATTTTAGTAGAGACAGGGTCTGACATGTAGGTCAAGCTGGTCTCGAACTCCTGACCTCAAATGATCCGCCCTCCTTGGCCTCCCAAAGCGCTGGGATTCCGCATCTGGCCACTTAGGGGCTATTTCTTTTCTTTTCTGTTTTTTGTTTTGTTTTGTTTTGTTTTGTTTTCCAGCTCACTGCAACCTCCACCTCCTGGACTCAAGTGATCCTCCTCCCTCAACCTCCCAAGTAGCTGGGACTGCTGACGTGAGCCACCATGGTTTGTTAATTTTTTTATTCTTTGTAGAGACAGGGACTCACTATGTTGCCCTACTGGTCTCAAACCTCTAGGCTCAAGCAATCTTTCTGCCTCGGCCTCCCAAAATGCTGGGGTTACAAGCATGAGCCACTGTACACAGCGCAAAGTGGTTATTTAAAGTTGCAGCGGTGTCAGAGCATTCCAATCATTCCACATAATCATGTAATACCTAGTTTAGTCACACTGTGGAATACTATAGAGAAATGAGAATGAATGAAATATAACTACATGCCACAAACATAATGTGGAATGAAAGAAGCCAGACACAAAAGAGTACATATTATGGATTCCATTTTTATGAGAAAATTAAGACAAATTAAGAGAATATTTATGTATGTAGCTAGAAGTTAGAATGGTGATTGCTTTAGAAGGACCAGTGACTACATGGGAACAGGACGGGGACTCTGCTCTGCTTATAATTTTCTGTTTCTTGATTTAGCTGCTGGTTACATAGAATATTCACTTTGCGTAAATGTGTCAAGCTGCGTACCTGTGATTATATGCTTTTTCTGTACGTATGTTATTCTTCAATAAAAAATAGCCCGAGGCTGAGGTGGGCGGATTACCTGAGGTCAGGAGTTCCAGACCAGCCTGGCCAACATGTTGAAACCCTGTCTACTAGAAATACAAAAATTAGCCAGGTGTGGCAGTGGGCACCTATAGTCCCAGTTACTCAGGAGGTTGAGGTAGGAGAATCACTTGGAAGTGGGATGTGGAGGTTGCAGTGAGCCGATCCAGCCTGGGCCACAGAGCAAGACTGTCTCAAAACAAAAACAAAAACAAAAACAAAAACAGAAAACAACAAAAACCCCATAATAAAAATGAAATAAAACAGGGATATGTGTGTGTGTGTGTGTGTGTGTGTGTATATATATACACACACACACACACGTATACATTTTCTGTTTTTTTGAGACAGAGTCTTGCTCTGTCACTCAGGCTGGAGTGCAGTGGTACTATTTCGGCTCACTGCAACCTCCACTTCCTGGGTTCAAGTGATTCTGGTGCCTCAGCCTCCCAAGTAGCTGGGATTACAGGCATGAGCCATCGCACCTGGCTAAGAGTCATGTTTTTAACTTTTAAAATGTGTCCCTGGTCAGGCACAGTGGCTCATGCCTGTAATCCCAACACTTTGGGAGGCCGAGGCAGGCAGATCAGGAGGTCAGGAAATTGAGACCATCCTGGCCAAGATGGTGAAACCCCGTCTCTACTTAAATTACAAAAGTTAGCCAGGCGTGGCGGTGGGCACCTGTAATCCCAGCTACTCAGGAAGCTGAGGCAGGAGAATCGCTTGGACCCGGGAGGTGGAGGTTGCAGTGAGCCGAGATCCCACCACTGCACTCCAGCCTGGGCAACAGGGCGAGACTCTGTCTCAAAAAAAAAAAAAAAAAAAAGGCCAGGCGCAGTGTCTCACGCCTGTAATCCCAGCACTTTGGGAGGCCGAGGCGGGCAGATCACGAGGAGAGGAGATCGAGACCATCCTGGCTAACACGGTGAAACCCCGTCTCCACTAAAAATACAAAAAAAAAATTAGCCGGGTGTGGTGGCGGGCGCCTGTATTCCCAGCTACTCGGGAGGCTGAGGCAGGAGAACGGCATGAACCCGGGAGGCGGAGCTTGCAGTGAACCGAGATCCCACCACTGCACTCCAGCCTGGGCGACAGAGCAAGACGCTGTCTCAAAAAAAAAAAAAAATGTCCCCAGGCTGGGCGTGGTGGCTCATGCCAGTAATCCCAGAACTTTACGAGTCTGAGGAAGGCAGATCACTTGAGTTCAGGAGTTCAAGACCCGCCTGGGCAATATGGTGAAACTCCATCTCCACCAAAAATTCAAAAACAGCTGGGTGTGGTGGCACGACCTGTGGTCTCAGCTACTCATGAGGCTGAGGCAGGAGGACTGCTTGAGCCTAGGAGGTCCATGATGCAGTGAGCCATGATTGTGCCACTGTCCTCCAGCCTGGGTGACAGAATGAGACCCTGTCTCAAAGAACAAACAAACATGACTCATACAAAAACAGGGTGAGCAGATGTCAAAGGTGTTATTGAACTCATTAATGATGAAAGCAGCAGAAAAATAGAGATGGCTGAAAGAAGGAGCAGTGGATATTCTGGGGGGTGGGGGGGCTGGAAGGATGTTGCAATTATGTTGGGAAATTGGATACAAAACTGGCAAATTTCTTTCAGGCTTGTCTGTGATGCCAGACCAGTTATTACAAAGGAGATTCTTACACAAATTATTATCTAACTTTACTGAGTCTAGACACTAATCAACAGCTAAATAGTAAGTTAACTGGGTGCAGTGGCTCACACCTGTAATCCCAACACTTTGGGAGATTGAAGTGGGAGGATTGCTTGAGGTCAGGTGTTTGAGACCAACCTGGGCAATATAGGGAGACCTCATCCCTACGACAACACAAAAAAATTACCATGGTGGTGCACACCTGTAGTCCCAGCTACTCAGGAGACTGAGGCAGAAGGACTGTTTGAGCACAGGAGGTCAAGGTTGCAGTGAGCTATGATAGTGCCACTGCATGATAGCCTGGGGCACAGAGCAAGGCTCTGCTTGAAAATAAATAGTTGGCTGGGTGCGGTGGCTCACGCCTGTAATCCCAGCACTTTGGGAGGCTGAGGCGGGCGGATCACGAGGTCAGGAGATCGAGACCATCCTGGCTAACACGGTGAAACCCCGTCTCTACTAAAAATACAAAAAATTAGCCAGGTGTGGTGGCGGGCACCTGTAGTCCCAGCTACTCGGGAGGCTGAGGCAGGAGAATGGTGTGAACCCAGGAGGCAGAGCTTGCAGTGAGCCGAGATCTCGCCACTGCGCTTCAGCTTGGGCGACAGAGCAAGACTCAGTCTTGGGAAAAAAAAAAAAAGAAAATAAATAGTTACAAGAGCATCCAAAAAGTAGGGGAGTGGGAAAGGAACAGGAAATTGACAGAAAGTAGCGAAAATTGCCAGGTGCAGTGGCTCACGCCTATAATCCCAGCACTTTGGGAGGCTGAGGCGGGCCGATCACCTGAGGTCAGGAGTTCGAGACCAGCCTGGCCAACATGGTGAAACCCTGTCTCTACTAAAAGTACAAAAATTAGCTGGACGTGGTGGCAGGTGCCTGTAATCCTAGCTACCAAGAAGGCTGAGGCAGCAGAATCGCTTGAACCTGGGAGGCAGAAGTTGCAGTGAGCCAAGACTGTGCCATTGCATTCTAGCCTGGGCGACAAGAGCAAGACTCTGTGTCAAAAGAAAAAAAAAAAAAAAGAAAGTAGCTAAAGTCAAAACAATGGGCCGGGCACAGTGGCTCACGCCTGTAATCCTAAGACTCTGTGAGGCTCAAGTGGGAGGATCACTTGAGCTCAGGAGTAGTTCAAGACTAGCCTGGGCAACATGGTGAGACCCTGTTTCAAAAAAAAACCAGACAACATACACACACAAATTAGCTGGGTCTGGTTGCCCACGTATGCATTCTCAGCTACTTAGGGGGCTGAGGTAGGAAGATCACTTGAGCCAGGGAGGTCAAGGCTATAAGTGAGCCATGATTGTACCACTGCACTCCAGCCTGGATGACAGAGCGAGGCTCTGTCTCAGAAAAAAATAAAATTAAAAAAACAAAAAAAAGTCATGGGAGGCTGAAGCAGGATAATCGCTGGAACCAGGGAGGTAGAGGTGGCAGTGGGCCAAGATTGCACCACTGCACTCCAGCCTGGGCGACAAAGCAAGACTCCGTCTCAAAATAAATAAATAAATAGGCCGGCTGGGCGCAGTGGCTCACACCTGTAATCCCAGCACTTTGGGAGGCTGAGGCGGGTGGATCACCTGAGGTCAGGAGTTCGAAATTAGCCTGGCCAACATGGTGAAACCTCAGCTCTACTAAAAATAAAAAAAATTAAAAAAAAAAATGAGCTGGGAGTGGTGGCAGGCGCCTGTAATTCTAGCTACTGGGAAAGCTGAGGCAGGAGAATCGCTTGAACCCAGGATGCAGAGGTTGCAGTGAGCCGATATTGCACCATTGCACTCGACCCTGGGCGATAGAGTGAGATTCTGTCTCAAAAAAAGTAATAAAATAAATAAAATAAATAGGCTGGGCGCGGTGGCTCACGCCTGTAATTCCAGCACTTTGGGAGGCCGAGGCGGGGCGGGTCACTTGAGGTCGGGAATTCAAGACCAGCCTGGCCAACATGGTGAAACCCCATCTCTACTAAAAATACAAAAAATTTGGCCGGGCGCAGTGGCTCACGCCTGTAATCCCAACACTTTGGGAGGCAGAGGCGGGCGGATCGTGAGGTCAGGAGATCGAGACTGTCCTGGCTAATACAGTGAAACCCCGCCTCTACTAAAAATACAAAAAATTAGCCGGGCATGGTGATGGGCACCTGTAGTCCGAGCTACTCGGGAGGCTGAAGCAGGAGAACGGCGTGAACCCGGGAGGCGGAGCTTGCAGTGAGCCGAGATTGGCGGGGCGCAGTGACTCACGCCTGTAATCCCAGTACTTTGGGAGGCCGAGGCTGGCGGATCACAAGGTCAAGAAATGAAGACCATCCTGGCCAACATGGTGAAACCCTGTCTCTACCAAAAAGACAAAAATCAGCTGGGCGTGGTGGCACGTACCTGTAGTCCCAGCTACTCAGGAGGCTGAGGCAGGAAAATCGCTTGAACCTGGGGGGCGGAGGTTGTGGTGAGCCGAGATTGTCCAGCCTGGGCAACAAGAGTGAAACTCGGTCTCAAAAAAAAAAAAAAAAATTAGCTAGGCATTGTGCATGCCTGTAATCCCAGCTACTCCGGAGGCTGAGACAGCAGAATCGCTTGAACCTGGGAGGCGGAGGTTGCAGTGAGCCGAGATTGCACCACTGCACTCCAGCCTGGGAGACAGAGCGAGACTCTGTCTCAAAAACTAAAAAACTTGGCAGGGCACGGTGGGTCACACCTGTAATCCCAGCACTTTGGGAGGTCCAGGCAGGTGGATATAACCTGAGGTCAGGAGTTCTCGACCAGCCTGGACAACACGGTGAAACCCCATCTCTACTAAAATACAAAAAATTAGACAGGTGTGGTGGCGTGCGCGTGTAGTCCCAGCTACTCGGAAGGCTGAGGCAGGAAAATTGCTTGAATCTGGGAGGCAGAGGTTGCAGTGAGCCAAGATTACGACACTGCACTCCAGCCTGGGAGACACAGCGAGACTCTGTCTCAAAAACTAACTAAACAGGCAGGGCACGGTGGCTCACACCTGTAATCCCAGCACTTTGGGAGGCCGAGGCGAGCGAATCACAAGGTCACGAGTGTGAGACTGCAGGGCCAACATGGTGAAACCCCGTCTCTACTAAAAACACAAAAAATTAGTTGGGCATGGTGGTGGGCGCCTGTAATCCCAGCTACTTGGGAGGCTGAGGCAGGAGAATCACTTGAACCCTGGAGGCAGAGGTTGCAGTGAGCCGAGATTGTGCCACTGCTCTCCAGCCCGTGTGACAGTACGAGGCTCTGTCTCAAAAAAATAAAAATAAATAAATAAATAAATAAAAATAAAAAAGTCAGATGAAGTGTCAGAAGGGCTTGGCAGACAATGTTCCACAATGTTCCATCATGACACTGAAGAAGTACAGGGAATTCCTGCTTGGTGGGATTTTTGTTTTCCCCATTACTTAAAAGCAGATGGCCATCTAGAATTGTAGAATGGCCCCATTGAAACTACAGAGATGGGGCCCCTTCAGGACCATACCTTGAAAAGACAATGGCTGTCCTCTTAGATGTGGTCTATGTTCTCAATCAGTGATTTTGTCCATAACCCAGAATACATGAGGTCCAAAAATCAAGGTGTAAAGGAAGGAATGGCACCATCCACAATCGAACATAGTGAGCTACTTTGGTGTCCTTCCTTTCCATTCCTACAAACCTGAAGTATTAGTTCTTGGTGTGTTAAAGAAAACTTTTTGGACAACATAGCTATGAGCATGAGTGAACATTTTATTACAATCTTACATGCAAGGAAAAAAGGTCTCTTGTTGGCCAATTAAGATTCACTCTAATAGGGACATTTTATAGGAGAAGAGAATAATTATCTAACCATTAGATCTGAGATTGGATCCAGAAAGACGATAGTCAGGGTAAAGGTAACACAATTCTTGGCTGGCAACTGGGGTACCAGGTGGGATGGTGGGGGGAGCACCAGCTTCTTAAAACAAGTTTCATCCACTGATGATTTATTTTAAGCATTTTGTCAGGAATTTTCTTCTCGCTGTGTCACCCAGGCTCTAGTGTAGTGGTGTGAGCTCGGCTCCCTGCAACCTCTGTCTCCTGGGTTCAAGCGATTCTCCTGCCTCAGCCTCCTGAGTAGCTGAGACTACAAGCAACTGCCACCACACCCGGCTAATTTTTTTTGTATTTTTAGTAGAGACAGGGTTTCACCACGTTGGCCAGGCTGCTCCTGACCTCGTGATCCACCTGCCTAGAGTTCTCAAAGTGCTGGGATCACAGGCGTGAGCCACTGTGCCTGGCCTTATTTTTATTTTTATTTATTTATTTTTTTTGAGACAAAGTCTCCACTGGAGTACAGTGGCATGATTATAGCTCACTGTAGCTTCAACCTCCTTCAACCTCCTGGGCTCCAGTGATTCTCCTGCCTCAGCCTCCCAAGTAGCTGGGGCCACAGGTGCATAGCATGAAGCCGGGCTAATGTTATGACTTCTTTTTTTTTTTTTTTGAGACGGAGTCTCGCTCTGTTGCCCAGGCTGGAGTGCAGTGGGGCTATCTGCAAGCTCCACCTCCCGGGTTCAAACCATTCTCCTGCCTCAGCCTCCCGAGTAGCTGGGACTACAGGCGCCCGCCACTATGCCCGGCTCATTTTTTGTATTTTTAGTAGAGACGGGGTTTCACTGGGTTAGCCAGGATGGTCTCGATCTCCTGTCCTCGTGATCTGCCCGCCTCGGCCTCCCAAAGTGCTGGGATTACAGGCGTGAGCCACTGCGCCCGGCCATGTTTTGACTTTTTGAAGAAACTGGGGTCTCACGATGTTGCCCAGGCTGGTCTTGAACCTCTGGGCTCAAGCAATCCTCCTGTGCTAGAATTATAGGCATGAGCCACTGTGCCGGCTGCAACATTTAATTTAATTAAAGTCTTTCTGTCACTCAGGCTGGAGTGCATGATCTTAGCTCACTGCAACCTCTGCCTCCCGGATTCAAGCGATTCTCCCCTCAGCTTCCCGAGTAACTGGTGATTACAGGTGCCGGCCACCACGCTTGGCTAATTTTTTTTTTTTTTTTTTTTTTTTTTTGAGACGGAGTCTTGCTCTGTCATCCAGGCTGGAGTGCAGTGGTGCCATCTTGGCTCACTGCAACCTCCACCCCCTAGGTTCAAGCGATTCTTCTGCCTCAGTCTCCCAAGTAGCTGGGATTACAGGCGCGCCACACCATGCCTGGCTAATTTTTTGTCTTTTTAGTAGAGACGGGGTTTCGTCACGTTGGCCAGGCTGATCTCAAACTCCTGACCTCAAGTGATCCGCCAGCCTCGGCCTCCCAAAGTGTTGGGATTATGGGTGTGTGCCACCACGCCCCGCTGCCAGCTGGAACATTTAAAAAACAGTAGGATCCGCTGGGCGCGGTGGCTGACGCCCGTAATCCCAGCACTTTGAGAGGCCGAGGCGGGCGGATCACGAGGTCAGGAGATCAAGACCATCCTGGCTAACGCGGTGAAACGCCGTCTCTACTAAAAATACAAAAAATCAGCTGGGCGTGGTGGCGGGCGCCTGTAGTCCCAGCTACTTGGGAGGCTGAGGCAGGAGAATGGCGTGAACCCGGGAGGCGGAGCTTGCAGTGAGCCGAGATCCGCGCCACTGCACTCCAGCCTGGGCGACAGAGCGAGACTCTGCCTCAAAAAAAAAAAAAAAAAAGTAGGATCAATATACCAGGAAGTCACATGGTGCCTCTGTCTCCAGATTTATCACTGTTGACACGGTTTTTCTCTCTTCCTGGAATCTAAGTGGTCTTTGCTTTGTCAGGGCCTGAAATAAGGTATTTCTTTTCTTTTTTTTTTGAGACAAGAGTCTCACTCTGTTGCCCAGGCTGGAGTGCAGTGGCATAATCTCGGCTCACTGCAGCCTCGCGACCTCCCGGGATCGGGCGATTCTCCCTCTTCAACATCCCGAGCAGCTGGGACTACAGGTGTGAGCCATCATGTCCTGCTAATTTTTGTATTTTTAGTAGAGAAGGGGTTTTACCATGTTCGTCAGGCTGGTCTCCAACCCGAGCTCAAGCGATCCGCCCGCCCCGGCATCCCAAAGTGCTAGGATTACAGGCGTGAGCAACATCGCCCCGCCTGAAATAAGGTATTTCTTCTGCCTGGAACCATCTCTTCTTTTTCATGTACCAGCCTAAAAGAACAATTACAAGACCCTCCTCTAACACTCCACCCACCCCCTTTATTCTTTAACTCTGTTTCTCTCCCTTGGGGCATTATCGGTTAAGTTCCATGAAGACAGAAACTGTTCCCATGCTCCATCACAGGGACTGGCACTGTAGAAAGAGCTAACAAGTATTTAAGGAAGATCCCTGGATTCGAGGTTACAGTGAGGTATGATCGTGTCACAGCACTGCAGTCTGGGCGACAGAGCAAGACTCTGTCTCTTAAAAAAAAAATCTTGCTGTGCTTTTTAGAACTAATCCTATGACCGTGAACCGATTACTTAAAACACCGAACTTCAGTCTGCAAATGGGAATAGCAGCAGCTTATGTTAGGACGGTTATGAGGGTCAAAAGATTTTGTTTGTACAGTCTACGACACCGGCCAGTGTTTCTAGCTCTGCTATTTGAGAGCCTTCCATGGGTCCTACACCCCAGGTCCTTAAACTCCCCTGAGGGACTACCAAGCCCCGCCCCTCTCGCATCCAATGATGACATCATCGACTGGGTTGTCGAGTGACGTCACCTCCGGGCTGGCTGGGCTTCATCGCTTCTCCGGAAACCTCCGACTCTCGGCACCTGGCCTCCAGCTTTCGGTTATTTTTTTTTTCCCTCTCCGTAGCCTGAATTCCTTCCCTCCCATTCTCCCACCTAAAACTATTGGCTCTTCCCGCCTTCCTTCAAACTAGCAATTTTCGGTTTTTCCCTCTTGCTCTCCGGCGAATTCCTGAAAGTCGTTTATTCTCCCCTTCAGCCCCGCCCGTTCAGCTCATTCTCTTAATCGCATTACCCTGGCTGCTTTTCTTTCGGCTGTTTCCACCTCCTGCCACCCACCCGGACACCGCTTTCGGCTCTTTCCGGACCGTCTCAGTTTCTCCTCCTTCCCCGGTCCCGATCGGCTTAGGCTATTTATGGCTCCCCTAGGTTTCTCATGCTCTCTCTAGCCCCACCCATATCACCACCTTCAGCTCTTTCTGGCTCTCCCCCGTCGCCTCCTCGCTCCTGCTCAGCTCCTTTCGGCTATTTCCGCCTCCCCTCGGCCTCGCCCTTTGCCTTCGGCTCTTTCCGCCGGCCTTCGGGCAAGCGGTCTCTACCCCTCTCCTGCACGTGACACGGCCTCCGCCTCCGCCTCTCAGTTCCCCCTCCCATCTCACCCTTCCTCCCGCCTCAGCCTCTAGGCTGGTTCGGGCCGAGCCGCCATTTTGTGTCAATTCCTGATTGCGGCGGGGGCCGGGCAGCCGGGGCACCCAGGGCGGGCAGAGAAGGGAGACAGTCGGCCCGTCTCCGCGGCCCGTTCCCTCTCTCCCTCAAATCCTTTTTTTCTTTTTAACCCCCCACCCCCCTCGCTCGCTCTCCTCTTCTCCCCTTACCCTTCGCTTGCTCCATCGCGCGCGGCCCGCGCTAATTACACCCAACCACCCACCAGTGTCCGTGTCTCCCGGGTGTCCCGCCCCCCGGGGGTGCGTGGGGGGGGGGCTCTCGCCCCTATGAGGGCCCCGCGCCAGTGAGCGAGTGACCGCAAGGGTGGGCTGCGGAGAAAGCAGGCGGCGAGCGGCCCTCCGAGGCCTAGGCCGTGCGGCCTACGCGGAGGTCAGCGCAGAGGTGATTCCGAAACCGAAAAAATATATACCCCATTCCCATCAGGAGCCCTCCGAGCTTAAGTGTGCCCCTCCCGCCACGCCCAAGCAGTCCTTTTTCGTGCATTAACATCCCCTCCCCCCCAAAGGAACTATGGAGGCCGCGCCCGGGACCCCCCCGCCGCCGCCATCAGAGTCGCCGCCGCCGCCATCGCCGCCGCCGCCATCAACGCCTTCGCCTCCTCCGTGTTCCCCCGACGCCCGCCCGGCCACCCCGCACCTCCTCCACCACCGCCTCCCGCTCCCTGACGACAGGTCAGGCCCCCGGTTGGGCCGGGGCTGCGTCCCCGGGGGGAGGAAGAGGAGGAGGAGGAAGGGGGGCGGCCGCCATGTTGGGCCGGGCCGCGGAGGAGGAGGAGGAGGAGGAGGAGGAGGAAGGGCGGGGTCGGTGGGTGTCTCTCGATCGCTTGCTCGCTCGCTCTTTCTCGCTTGCTTTCTCTCCCGGCCTCATGCGTTTCCCCCCCCTCGCGGCGCTCGCCCGCTCTCCCTCGCTCTCGCTCTGTCTTTTTTGGGCGCCATGCTGAGGGGAAGGTGAGGAGGCGCCCCTCGGACCCCCCGCGCCCGTCCGCCTGTCCTGGGGAGGGGGCGCCGTGGGGGGTGCTGCGGAGACCCACGGGGGTCCTGGCTGCCCCTGCGCCCGGAGCTGGCAGCTACGGGCCCGCTTGCCCGTCGCCTGGCTTCGGGGAAGGGGATGGGGGAGGGGCTCCGGACCCTTTTTGGGGGGATCTCGAACAACAGCCCCGCTCTTAGGGGTTTGGGGTTGGGGGTCTCCCAGCCCCCGGCAGTATCCTTTCTCCTGGGGGAGGCACACCCTGTCCTACTTGGATGATAGGTACTTTAGCTTAGGAGGCAGAAGGTGGGGGTTCATTCAGGTCCCTTCTCCATCCTTGTAATTGGGGGTCATTTGGGTGGGTGCTCTATAGCACTTGTATTTTTTGGCGGGGGGTGTTTTTTAGCTATCCCCTAGAAGGCCGAATTGGGGAGGGGGGAGATGCATCTCCAGCCCTTTTGATGAAAACCCCAGCCTATTTTTTTAGAGAAGACTCTTCCCCGTGTTTTTGCTAAAGGGCAGGGGTCCTCTCGCTTTTCGTAGGTAGGTGACGTGAGGGAGGATTCTCAGCCTTGTTTTGCGGGGGTAAGGTTTGGTTTCCCTGCCTTGTAGGGAGAGGAAGTTGGTCCCGCGCTTTCTCCTGGGGTTCCCCCCTCTGTCGGGGTAAAATGGGGCACCGTCTCTTCCGGGAGAGAAAAGGAGATTTCCTTGTGCTTTGGCAGGGCGTTAAAGGAAGCGCCCCCTTCTCTTTATTAAGTCCGAAACGCGGGCCCCCCACGCCCTTCTCTGGCTGGCGGGTGATAATGGGGTCAGCCCGGCGCGTTTCAGGGCGAGGTTGGGGCCCCGTTTCCTTCCCCTGCTCGAGCAGAAGGAGTTGGGGTGCAGGGTTCGCCCACTGTTTCCTGGTGGGGCGAGAGAAGAGGCGGCTGGAGAGTAGGTTTGGACACGGACGGTGGGTTTCAGCCGGCAGGAAAGCGAGTCTTGGAGGGAATGGGGGTGGAGAGGGGAAGAGAACGCTCTGGACAGATGGCTACTCCGTCGCAGCCCTGGCTGGGGAGCCGCTGAGGACCCTTCCTTAGCCGGGGGGTCTCAGCCAGGGCTTCCCTTGCCAGGCTGTACGTACGACCCCTTCTCCCCACTCCCACCTCCCCTTTCCCCTTTCTCCTTCACAGACCATACTTTGCCTTTTAAAAGAAATGCCACCCACATTCAGAGACACAAGTGCAGCAGTTTGGTGAGCTTTTACAACATTTTTTTTTTCTGTTTTGTTCTAATTAAATGTATCGTCCTGGGAATCGCAGCCCATCGCAGCCCGACTCCAGTTCAAGGAAATAAACAGATTAGCAAAGGTCTGTTCGCTAAGCCCTCGTTGGGCTTCCGGGCCCCCTCTCCGGGGGCAGGTGCATTACTCAAAGGTGCTTACACGCTTTATTCGACCTCTAAGGAGTTCTCTTATGTCAGAAGTGTATGTCTTACAATGGGTTGGGATGGTAAGTAGCCTCTTTTATTGAGTAATTCAATGATCTCCCTCTTTTTCTCCCTTTACTGCCTGCCTTCCTCCTCGCCTTTAGACCAAAGTGATGCTTGAGAGTGAATTGATATGTTCGAATCAGGATTCTAACCCTGTTGAGCCCTTTTAGACTTGCACATCCTTTCAATGTTTAATTTTTAAAATTTGACGTACACAGTTTTCTCAGAAAAAAAAGTGTGTTACTGTAACATGACAAAAATCGATGTAAAAGGCCCGTATGTTTTCAGACCCTTGGCATCCTTCTTTCCATTTCAATCCATTGCTTTGTCTCCAGCCTTCATCTTTGAAGAAAGTGGATACTTCAAGTCCATTTGTAGGAGACAAGCTTACTGGATTTGATTTATGATGCAGGTATTCAAATTAATGGTTCCCCTCCCCCCCACTCCCCAAAAAAGATTGGTTCAAGTAGCTCCAATTTTCTCATTTTACTCCAATGTCTCTTGTGGTGATGGACGTTAAAATTGAGCAAGTCATTTGTAAAGTACTGTTGAAGCACAAAATCTGTAAACTGTGTCAAGCCCCCATCTCTGCCTGTCTCCACTGCTCCTTTGTTCGAAAGCACATGTCTGACTGTGAAAAGTTGATGCAAACGTGTTACACGCCCAGTCATGTTGGAGGGAACACCTCCTCCAGCCCCCAGTCCCCCCGGCCTCCACGTAACAAGGAAAAAACAACAACAGAAATGACTTGCAGAACCAAACACTGTACTTCTGATGTGTTTTACAAGCATAAGTTCCGTTAAAAGACAAAACACGTTGAAGTTGCATTTTCCCAGTTTCCCACTTTTGATCCCTGACATACTTAGAGAACCCTGGCCCTCTCCAAAAGAACCGTTTTGTTTTTTTCCTTCTTACAAGGAAAAAAGGTCACGCACATGTAGATGAGGAAACTGCAATTCAATAGGCCACTTGTTTTCTTCCTCTTAATATGTTCACAACTGCCGTAGAGTGGTGATCCTAGGTATGTAAAATCAGTTACGGGAGGAAGAAATCTCCAAACTACGATATCCTGCAAGAAATGTCTGAAGCACGAACCGAACAAAACACATTATCCAGGGCACTGGGTCAGCCCAAAATGAATTGCACTTATTTGAAGTTTCCCATCCTTTGTAAAATTCTTTCTCCAGGAGCTGAGAACAGAAACTGGATGACTGATGACCCAAGTTCCAAAGGCTACTAAGTTGCTTATTTAAATTGACTTTTAAAAAGAAACGTTAAGGAAATGAGATTTCTTTTGTAAGTGAAATTTTTTAGCAATGTTCAGTGAATTTGAAACTATTTCCCCAAGCATTTAAAAAGCTCACAGGCATGTCAACACAACGGTTTATTGTTTTCCATTCTCAAAGAAATCTCATCCATTAAGACCTAGAAGCCCCAGTAATTAAGTCAAAAACTGTATTTTGGTAATCTGTTTTTGAAATGTCACAGTACTGCCTTTTTTCCCCCCAGACTGATGTACCAGTATTAGTTAAAAATCAAATTAATGGATGTTGCAAAAAAAAAGAAAAGGGTGTCACTCAGAATCCCTGATTTAATAACAAATCTTATTATACACTTACAAACTTTTACATTTTTATTTTCTCTGGGTGAGAGATTTAACTTGAAAGCAAATCAAAGTCTCCTAGTAGAAAAAAAGTCTGTTGTGACCATGGAAATATGGATGTTCTCGTCATAAAACCCCTTTATTTTTTAAAACTCCTTTATTTTTTTAATTCCCCTCAAATTTGCTCTTTAAAAGAAAAAAATGCGGTTCCCCAAAATGACTAATTCATGGCCTGTCCTCTCCCCCAGGTACAATTTTGCTCTGCTCTGAAGGTTTAAATTTTTGATTTCTTTATAAGCCATAGTTTTCTCTAAGTAGAGCCAGCTATTTTAGTAAGCCACTGCTGTGGTTTTTCCACAGCCAGGAAGGCTGATCCCAGGGGAGAATTGTTTTGTACCTGTGGACCTGGCTGTTCAACTGCCTGGCAAGTTAAAGATGAACGGTTTTGACTCTTGCGTTTCCATACAGTTGAATGTAGAGCAATTTCATATTGGGCCTGGTTAGTAATTTATTTAACGGTGCCTACACCTCTGCTTCTTGCTCTTAGATCTTTTACCTTCTTCCCTGATGGGAGAGAAATGGCTGTCTGAGGGTCCTTCACTTCCTTTTGTTACATTTTTATGGCTATTGGGCCTGTAGAAACATCTCTCCATAGAGGTCAGATCCAGTTACAGTAAATACCTCTGGTGAAAATTGCTAATGAAACTATTTCCAGGTCTCCGTGGATAGCTATCAAGTCAAACCAGATTCTAGAGAACTTAATTTTGGTCCCCACGAACAGTAATTCTAGTGCCAGAGCAACTGGGTCCGATTCACACCGAGAGTTGAGTGACAGAGTGAATAGCAAGCAAAGTAGCTGAATTGAGCCAGGCGCTTAACCTGTGCCTTGGCAGCACAGCTAAGAAAAAAGGATGACTCCTGAGATTTCTGGCAATTGGTATTTATTCAGCAGATCAGAGACTGTAGGAGCAGCCTCATTGGTGGAGGGACTCCTCTCCGAATAACATGGTATGAAGCCAGTTTCATAATTAAAACCTAATAGGATGGAAAAGCTGCCAGTTTGTCTGGGTGGCATGTCAAGTTCATGGGGATAAGTTAAAGTAAAAATGAGATTGATTGGGGGGAGCCAAACTTCATGGGTTTGACTCCCAGTTTCTTGGCCTTGTCTTTGCTGCAGAACGCTTTTGCTTTTAGGAGTTAATGCAGATGCAGTTTTGAAGACATTGTGTACAGTTTCACTGGTGATGTAATGAGGTGCGATAGGCAGTTTATTTTAAATAGATTTCTGGCACATCACCCATTGGGGTGACTCTTAGTAGTTGTTGACAAAAATGAAGATACGGCCTCTTGGTTGGTGCTAGATTTAGTTGTGTCCTGTTACTTTTTTTTTTTTTTTTTCTTAACAGAACGCAGGATTATTTGCTGAGAGCATAGTTTGCTGCTTCTGGCCAAACTGGTCTGCATAAAGGATCTTTCTCGTGTATTTTTTTTGCCATTTCGCATCTGTGTGAATAGGTGACTCAGTGCCCTGTTTGTCAGGCAAGTGGTGACATCTTTTTGAATGTCGGAGGTGGCAACAGGATGTGGAGGAAGACTGTGGACTTTGGAGCCAGATAAAACTGTTCAGGCCTGGCTTCTCCCCGGCAGTGTGCAGTAGGCATCGAGTATAAAATGCCCACTTCTCAGGGTCCTTGTGGTCAAATGAGTGCATTTGGGGACACCCACACAATGCCAGCATTCAGTGAATCTTCCTGCTTTCCCTACTAGAGAAGAATTTGAAACAGAACTTTTACAGTTGGTGTATAAACAGAAGTAAGAATAACATCTATTTTTGAAGGAAGTGCATTTATCTTTCATCTCTTAGGGTTCTGGTCAGCTTATTTAATTGCAGGGAGCCAATTGGGGTTGACACTAAGTGGAAGCCATCTTAAGATATTTCTTGCTTGCTCAGTGTCTTTTTATGGATGCTCAAATGGTCATACTGTCTGGAGCTTAATGCTGACTGTACCTCCTGTGTTCATCTTTTGCAATTAGAGTCCGAGTCAGTGCTGTAGTCTCAGTAGGGCTTCTGAGAACTGGGAAGCCAGGGATCTAGAATCTCATACCACTGCAAACTAGTCAGTTTCCCCACGCAAGTCCTTTACTCTCTCCAGAGGGGAATGAACAAGGTCTCATCCAGCTCCAGGATTCTTCACTCCTTTGGGATCTGGCTGAGTCAGATAAGGTTTTGTTCATTCAGTAACTGAGTTCCTCCCCGGCTTTTCTTGGAGCCCAAGAGTTTTCTGAGTGTGCAGAGAACCCTTCTATCATGAAGACTTTATTTAGAGTCGGGCTAGGGTTGTTACTGCCTTTACCAGGCTTCGTATTCCCTTCCTCTGTGTCTGGCCTACCTTCTACAGTTTCTGGCCACGATAAAGGGTTGCTGCTGCTGCTTGCAGCTTACTAATATGCACTTGGAAAGCAGATGCCTTAATTAATTTGAAGGTTAGGCTCAGTGGCTAGATCACAGGCAGGCCCATCAGGTTCCTGGTCATGCCTGTCAGTTGTCCCAGAAAGGATAGAGTGAACTCCAGAGCCAAAAGCTTTGTTTTTTCTCTTTTATTGAGACAGGGTTTTGCTCTGTTGCCCAGGCTGGAATGCAGTGGCACCTCATAGTATTAATAGCTCACTGCAGCCTCGAACTCTTGGCTTCAATGATCCTCCACCTCAGCCTCCCAAAGTGCTGGGATTACAGGTATAAGCCACCATGTCTGCCTGGGTGCTGCCATGTTCTCTCCACACGGGATTGGCCCTCTGCTGAGAGTGATGGGTGGTGGACAGCTATGGTTGGGGGAGTTAGGCAAACTGGATGTGATTCTTGAGTTCATCTCCTAAGTCAGTGTCTTTGTCTTTCCGAAGGGGCAACAGTGCCATTTGTGCACAATTGACCTGAAGGTCAAAGATTATCTGCCAGAGCCCTTCTGAGTGCTTCTCATGCATTAGCTCATTTAACCTTTACCTCTGCTGTTTGAGGAGAAACCAAAACAGAGAGGTGAAGTCACTTGTCCCAGGTCACAAAACAAGTGTGTGCTGCAGGCAGAGTTAGAACCCGGGGTGGCTGGTACTCAGACCCCATCTCTATACATACCATTATACTGTGGTGGATCTGGTGTGCTATTTTTCAGACTGTGGGGTATAGCCACTAGTGGGATATGAAGTCCAATTATTGATCTTTTTCTTTTGCATTGGAAAACCAAGGAAATGGAAGAGGAGAGAAAAAGCAGAATGCATTTAAATGTGGCTTCTGGAAACTTTTGTTTGGGAGAAATGCAAAGAAGCAGATGTGGGTCAGTGTCAAAAAGTGTGAAAGCCGTTGCATCCAGGCTAGGGGTCGGCAAACTATGATTCTCGGGCCAAAGCCAGCCCACCCAGCCTGTTTTTGTAGGTAAAGTGTTTTTTTGTTGGTTTGTGTTGTTTTGAGACAGAATCTTGCTCTGTCACCCAGGCTGGAGTGCGGTGGCATGATCTTGGCTCACTGCAACCTCTGCCTCCTGGTTCAAGGGATTCTCCTGCTTCAGCCTCCTGAGTAGCTGGGATTACAGGCGCACACCACATGCTCAGCTAATTTCTGTGTTTTTAGTAGAGATGGGGTTTCACCGTGTTGGCCAGGCTGGTCTTGAACTCGTGACCTCGAGTGATCCACCCTCCTTGGCCTCCCAAAGTGATAGGATTACAGGTATGAGCCACCGCGCCTGGCCAGTAGGTAAAGTTTATTGGCACACAGCCATACTCATTCATTTATATCATCAGTGGCTGCTTCTACGTTACAGCAGCAGAGTTGAGTAGAAAGTTGCTGCCCACCACGTGATATGGTATGCACTGTCTGGTATGCCTGCACAGCAGCCATTGTCATTTTTTTTGTGGTGGGAAGGAATGAGGAGGGAATATAGATATTCCATTTAAAGTTGGCCCTCGAGAGGGTGGGGGTGTTAACTGTTTCCTCAGTCCACTGTGGCTCCATTCTCCCTGCGTTCCACTCCTTTCAGTGAATGTAGAGGCCCAAGCCTAGGCTTTTAAACCCTCTTAAATGGAAGGGATTTTCATTCATTAGAAGTAACTGGAGACTTCTTGAGGTCCCGTGTGGAAGTGGATCATGGCCATTACATCCCTGCTATGGCCTAACCGAGGGAGCTGGGCCCAGACGCTAGTGTCGCTTGGCCAAAAGTCTGTTGCAGGTGGCTTGGATTATTGCCCTCCTCATTTTCCTAACAGACACCAGGGCTTAGGTTTCCTTGGGATTCCAGGCAGGCCCTGCCACTCCACGGGGAACGAGAGCAGTCACAGTAACTGAAGCTTGTGGGCCACACGGGTGGGCTGCATCCGAGGCAGGGCCTGTCTCCTCTGTTCAGTCTGTGCATCCATCACTTTCAAGCTTATTTGGAAACCCTTGATAAACACTTGAATGAGTTTGTGTCAAAGTTTTAAGTGATACAGGTTGCTGAAAAAGTTTTCTTGGAAATTAGTTACTGTTTCTATTGATGAAATTGACCAAAAGGGTATGAGAGCTGAGATTGATACTTCATATAGAATATGCACTGAGCATGTACCCAATCTGTACCTGGCCCTGTGCTGGGCCCTTGGAAATGTGGGGTTACTGTGAACCTCATTCTTGTCTGCCCTTAAGGAACCCACAGGTGACTAGAAATTAACGAATAGGTTGTATCAGTTCTTTTTAAGAAATTATTATTATTATTATTTTAGACAGAGTCTTACTCTGTCACGTAGGCTGGAGTGCAATGGCATGATCTCAGCTCACTGCAACCTCTGCCTCCTGGGTTCAAGCGATTCTCCTGCCTCAGCCTCCTGAGTAGTTGGGATTACAGGTGTGCGCCACCACACCCAGCTAATTTTTGTGTTTTTAGTAGAGATGGGGTTTTACCATGTTGGCCAGGCTGGTCTTGAACTACTGACCTCAGGTGATCCACCTGTCTTGGCCTCCCAAAGTGCTGGGATTACAGGCGTGAGCCACTGCGCCTGGCTAAGAAATTCTTTAGGTGGTATATGAACAAATCTCAAGAATCTTAGGCCCAGATCTCTTATTTATTTGTTTATTTTTATTTTTACATATTTTTTAAGACGGAGTCTCGCTCTTTCACCCAGGCCGGAGTGCAGTGGCACGATTTCAGCTCACTGCAAGCTCTGCCTCCCGGGTTCATGCCATTCTCCTGCCTCAGCCTCCTGAGTAGCTGGGACTACAGGCGCCTGCCACCACGCCTGGCTTATTTTTTTGTAGTTTTTTTTTTTTTTTTTTTTTAGTAGAGACGGGGTTTCACCATGTTAGCCCAGATGGTCTAAATCTCCTGACCTCGTGATCCGCCCGCCTCGTCCTCCCAAAGTGCTGGGATTACAGGCATGAGCCACTGTGCCCGGCCAACGGGCTGATTTTTATATTTTTAGTGGAGACAGGGTTTTACCATGTTGGCCAGGCTGGTCTCGAACTCCTGATCTCAAGTGATCTGCCTGCCTTGTCCTCCCAAAGTAATGAGATTACAGGTATGAGCCACTGCGCCCGGCCTGAAACCCTGTCTCTACAAAAAATACAAAAATTAGCTGGGCATGGTGGTGCATGCTTGTAGTCCCATCTACTTGGGAGGCTGACGTGGGAAGATTGCTTGAGCCCAGGAGATCAAGGCTGCATTGAACCAATGATCACACCACTGCACTCCAGCCTGGGTGACAGAGCAAGACCCTGTGTAGAAATAAATAAATAAATAATTATAAACAAAGAGAAGTCTTAGTTCATAAGTTAAATTATTAGACTTTCTCCTCTGGAGTGATAGAAATCGGTCCTCTGATGAAAACCATGATCTTTGCAGCTTTAAACCATCTGAAGCTTAGTTGGCATGAGAAGGTGGTTAGAAAACTCTTCATTGCTGAGAAGCAAATTCCAGAGGTTCATCTGCCAGGAGTAACTTGGATCTGAGGGATAGATACCTTTGCTCAAGAATGCAAATTTTCAGAGCTCGTGGGAGTGGAAGAATAGATACTCAGGCAAAAAAAATGGCATCTTTGTCTCCACAAGCTTCCTTTTAGCAGGCTGGGTTTTTTCACGGTCAGCCTGTTTGAAGCTTTACAGAAATGTTCTGCCTAAGTGGTTTGCATGCTTGGACAAACCCCAGAGTGGACACTGCACACTTGGGGGCGAAGGCATTCGTTTCATATTAGGGGACTTTGGAATTTCACTCCCTGGGATTTTTGTATTGCTTTCTCTTTGTGTTGGGATGAGTCCTATTTTTTTTTTTTTTTTGCCAGAATTCCTTCGGTCTTTCCATGAGCCCTTATTCTCTATCCAGATGTCTTTGGTTAGGTTTTTGAAATGCTACCATTTCCTTCACTTGATATTGGAAGGACCGTATCGGCCTTGTGTCTTTGTGTTTGGGTAGGTTTTACTCCTAAGCATTTATTCTGGGCAAGGTTCCTGCTAAGTGCTTGTGTTACATGGCCTCATGGGATTCTCCCATGACACCATCCTGGGGACTCCATGGTTGCCTGTGCTGCACAGTTATGGAGACTGGGGTGCAGAGTGTTTAAGGAATTTGCCCAAAGTCTTGGTACCTCATTCTGGCATTTCTTGGAATACTGATTCATGAAGTCTGTTTTATGTATGTATATCTTATTTTTCCCTACTCGATTATACATTTCAGGGTGGGCGTTGTTTTGTCAGTTGACCTGTTTAGCAAATTACTCTTTTTGACATAATTTGTAGTTGTCAAATAATTTGTAGAGGTTAAGAGCTGGTCTTTGCATCCAAAAGTACTGGACTTAGTTTCTAGTTCTGCTTCTTCCTGCTGTGACCCCATGGGCAAATTCCTTCTTGTCTCTGAGCCTGTTTAGGCCTTGGTGAGGAGTGTGGAGGCCTGCAAGCCCAGATTCCAGCTCTCTGCTGGGAAATTATTAAATAACTGCTTGGGGACCTTGCAGCCTCTCCTCACATTGCTGAGTTGTCCCACTTGGAAGTTCTTGTTTTCTTTTTCTTTTTTTTTGAGACGAAGTCTCAATCTGTCACCCAGGCTGGAGTGCAATGGCATGGTCTCAGCTTACTGCAACCTCCACCTCATGGGTTCAAGCAATTCTCCTGCCTCAGTCTCCCAAGTAGCTGGGACTACAGGCGTGTGCCACCATGCCCGGCTAATTTTTTTTTTTTTTTTCGAGACAGAGTCTTGCTCTGTTGCCCAGGCTGGAGTGCAGTGGTGCGATCGCTCATTGCAACCTCTGCCTCCCAGGTTCAAGTGATTCTCCTGCCTCAGCCTCCTGAGTAGCTGGGATTACAGTCGTGCGCCACCACGCCCAGCTAATTTTTGTATTTTTAGTAGAGATGGGGTTTCTCCACGTTGGTCAGGCTGGTCTCGAACTCCTGATCTAGTGATCCGCCCGCCTCAGCCTCCCAAAGTGCTGGGATTACTGGCATGAGCCACCGTACCTGGCCAGAACTTTTTTCTTTCTTAACTTTTTATTATGGAAAAAAAATTTTTTTTAGTTATTTATAGAGGCTGGGTGCAATGGCTCATGCCTCTAATCCCAGAACTTTGGGAGGCCAAGGCAGGAGAAGGCCAAGGCAGGCTTTAGTCCAAGAGTTCAAGACCAGCCTGGGCAACATAGAGAGACCCTGTCTTTAAATTATTTGTGGAGACGGGGTCTAACTGTGTTGCCCAGGCTGGTCTCTAACTCCTGGGCTCAAGCAGTCTGACAGGGTCTCACTCTGTTGCCCAGGCTGGAGGGCAGTGGTGCAATCATAGCTCACTGCAGCCTCGACCTCCTGGCTGAATCGATCCTCTCGCCTTAGCCTCTTGAGTAGCTGGGACTACAAGCACATGCTGCCAGGCTAAGTTTTGTATTTATTGTAGAGATGGGGTTTCCTCATGTTGCCCAGGCTGGTCTCAAATTCCAGGGCTCAAGTGATCCGCCTGTTGGCCTCCCAAAATGCTGGGATTACAGGCATGAGCCACTGTGTCTGGCCTATACCTGTAGATTCTTCAGTATGAATCTCTAACTTTATGATTATTTAAAAACATAACTACAGGCCGCGTGTGTTGGCTCACACCTGTAATCCCAGCACTTTGGGAGGCTGAGGCAGGCGGATCACCTGAGGTCAGGAGTTCGAGACCAGCCTGGCCAACATGGCGAAACCCTGTTTCTACTAAAAATACAAAAATTATCTGGACGCGGTGGCAGGTGTCAGTAATCCCAGTACTCAGGAGGCTGAGGAATGAGAATCACTTGAACCCAGGAGGCGAAGGTTGCAGTGAGCCGAAATCACGCCACTGCACTCCAGCCTGGGCGACAGAGTAAGATCCCCGTCTCAAAAGAAAAGACAATAAAACAAAACAAAAAACCTTTCTACAAAACTCATTTCTAACAAGATTAACAATTAATATCTCAAATACCCAGGCTGGGTTCAGATGGCTCCAATTTCTCCTATCGTCACATCCACCAGTAGGTGTCTTCGTATCTAGATGCCAGCAGTGGGTAGACTGTCTTATGTTGAAGTGAGGGTGTAGGGTACAGGGTACAGATGCTGATGCCTGGACTTCTCTTTGCCAGTTTTGTGTCTCACTTGGGTGGTTGCCGTGGCGTAGGCACGTTACCATGGAAATGGCATGATGTCACAGAGCAGGCTATGATGACACCTGAGAATGCTGAAGAAAAGGAGACAGAGCACATTTGTTCTTGGTTTCTGGTTGATGAACCTAGGTAGTAAGGACACTGAAAAGCATGTGCAAGACCCAGAGGTTTATTTCAAGAATTTCCTGGCTCTGAAAATCCCTCCGTGAGGTTTCCCCTATGGCTGCTTCATTACGTCCTAACTCAAGGGAAGGTCTCGGGCCTTTCTTTGGCATGAGCCCTGAGCTGAATTTCTGAAGCAAAGGCCCTGCGCCTTCAATCCTAATAAACGACTAGTCCGCAGAATCGGACTTGGGGATCCTGGACTTCTGCATTTAGGCTGGTTGTTAAATATTTGAAGAGGCGGCGCCTCCTTGTAATTTTTGTGATTTTGTCCCTAGTTAATGGGTCATTCAGAGCCTACCCAGGCAATTTGTTGAGAGTCTGGGCAGTTAATGATCATAACCCTGACCTTCACATTAACCTAGCCGCCTCTTATCAAGGGCTCTCATGATCTTAAGGTAACCGCTGCTGTTCCCATGAGTTTCCATCTTTTGTGTTGTACTTTGCCTTTTTTTTTTTTTTTTTTTTTTTAAACTCTTGTAAACCAGGTTGATCCATAAACCCTGGGCCCCTTTCAGCTTTCGTCCAACCCTCTTGTCTAGAGAGCTGCCATGTTGCCAAGCTTCATTTCTGTAAGAAGCCTTTGTTCCTTCCCGGGGCTCAGCTCTCCCTACGCCTTTTTGTCTTGATTAGCCACTTGGTGGCTTCTGGTACTGCCTAGATTAGAGCTGAGGAAGGGGAGATGTTGCTTTTGTCAGTTTTGTCAGCAGGATGGCTTGGGAGAACAGTGTATGTGTGGTTGTGACCAAGTAGAAAGAACTTGTTGACCAGCAGTCAGCAGTGTCCGTCAGGGAGAGCTGGCTGCAGCTTTCTTTTTTTCTTTTTTTTTTTTTGAGACGGAGTTTCACTCTTGTTGCCCAGGCTGGAGTGTAGTGGCGTGATCTTGGCTCACTGCAACCTCCGCCTCCCAGGTTCAAGTGATTCTCCTGCCTCAGCCTCCCGAGTAGCTGGGTTTACAGGCGTGTTCTTCCAAGCCCGACTAATTTTGTATTTTGAGTAGATATGGAGTTTCTCCATGTTGGTCAGGCTGGTCTTGAACTCCCGACCTCAGGTGATCCGCCCACCTCGGCCTCCCAAAGTGCTGGGATTACAGACGTGAGCCACCGCGCCCGGCCCTGGCTGTAGCTTTCTTATAGAGAACATGCTTCCCACTTAGCATTCCAGCCAGTTAGGGCTTTCCGTGGAGAGATGCCCTCATGCTAGCTGGTTTTTAAAACCAACAGCTGCTTCTTCCTTTGTGCCTGTTCCTCATGTCAAGGGCTTTATCCCTATTATTTCATTTAACCTTCACAGCCCTTGAGATAGGTGCTGCTGTTATCCCATTCAGTAGATCAGAAAAGCAAGGCTCAGGTTACAGACTAAGAGCATACTCCAGAGAAGAGGTGGAGCTGGTTGAGTTACTTGGTCTGCAGAAAGGAGCATGAGGCCCGAATCTGTAGGCTGCTGGATGAGGCAGTATGAAATATCTCCTTTGAAATATCATGTCTACTTTGGACATGAAATATCTTTTGTTTTGTTTTGTTTTTTGAAACCGAGTCTCTAGCTCTGTCACCCAGACTGAAGTGCAGTGGCGCGATCTTGGCTCACTGCAATCTCCGCCTCCCAGGTTCAAGCGATTCTCCTACCTCAGCCTCCTGAGTAGCTGGGGCTACAGGCACCCACCACTTCACTGGTCTAATTTTTGCATTCTTAGTAGAGACGGAGTTTCGCCATGTTGGCAAGGCTAGTCTCAAACTCCTGACCTCAGGTGATCTGCCTGCCTTGGCCTCCCAAAGTGCTGGGATTAGTTTTTTTTTTTTTTTTTTTGAGACACAGTTTCACTCTGTCTCGCAAGCTGGAGTGCAATGGCACAATCTTGGCTTACTGCAATCTCTGCCTCCCAGGTTCAAGTTCTTGTGCCTCAGCCTCCTGAGTAGCTGGAATTTCAGGCACCCACCATCGCGCCCAGCTAATTTTTGTATTACTGGTAGAGACAAGGTTTTGCCGTGTTGGCCAGGCTGGTCCCGAACTCCTGACCTCAAGTGATCTGCCTGCTTTGGCTTCCCGAAGGCATGAGCCACCACACCCGGTCTGAACATGAAATGTCTTTACCAAGCACTGTTTTTGCCAAGTCCGTGGTGTGTGCTGAACCCAGCATCCTTGTGGGCCCTGTGGAGTTGGCCTGTTCCTTAGAGTGGGCGTCCAGATCTGTTCTTTGACCAGGGGGAGGAGCAGCCAGTGCTGAAAATGGGAACCGAAATACCCGGGAGCTTTGTCCGGGAGGTACGGGGCAGGACTGGCTCAAGGCAAGGCGTTGGCCTCTTCCCATTTCCTCATGGGGGCCAGTTCCAAGTCGGTCTCCCAGGGTGGTTGCTTTCTTGTTCCCGAGGGCTCTGGGCAGCGGACCGAGTGCAGCCATGTCAGGCGTTGCCAATCCAGGCTCTGGGAATAGAGTGCTCCCTGCACAGGCCGCCACGGCAGGCTTTTCTCCTGCTTGCTTGTCTCAAGAGAGTTTGGCAGGTCTAGATTGAAATGATTAGCGCGGTGGGGCTTCCCCCACTTTTCTTGGGGGATTATGTCGAGGTCTATTAAGCATGTTCCCTTGGCATTTAATCCCACTCTGACACGGATTTTGCCGGCAGTCTGTTAAGTGGCATCGCTGAAACCTGGTTGCTGTTTTGTTGAGACCGCCTTTGTGCCGTCGCGCTGGTGGCCCACGGGATTCCCATTTGGCTCGACTTCCTTTCTTTTTGCTTTCTGTTGAACAGAGTCTGAAGAATATAGTCAAGACCTCGTGTTCACGCAGGACGTTTAGCTAGGAGAGCATCTTGGGTGTCGTGAGGGGGGACCCCTTGAGGTGACTGTGGACAGAAGTTAGCCCAGGGCTCGGAGGGGCTTGAGGGCCTGACATGGCCAGAGGGCCCTGAGAATGCAGTGATCTGTTTATTGTTGCTGTCTCAGTGCCCCTTTATCAACCGTCAGCAGTTTAACAACAACAAAAAAATCCTATGTATTTCTCTGCCTCTCTCAACTTTAGGGAAACAAAATTTCAAGTAGTCACTGCCTGTTTTGTGAAAAGTTGTATGGTTGATTCTCTTTGAGCCCAGATGTGCCTGGAGCTGTTAATATCGATAATGTGCAGAATCCCTCTTTGGCTCAGGTCTTTGTAGGGTGAATTTGAATGCTGCACTTCTCTACCTTGGTGATTCCTTTCTAGAATCATTCTGGATGATGGTTAAGGCTCTTGGAGTTCCTTGAATGGTCTTTTGTCCTCTGCCCGCAGGTGTTAGATGTAGAGTAGCCTGTACCTTCGTCCGAGCCAGCGAGTGGCATCAGGACAGGGAAGGAGGCCTCAGCTGACCCTGGGCAAGACTGTCGCCTGCTGTGCCGCGGTGTTGGACATAAGGGAGGGCGTGCTGAGGCTGCCACCCACTCCGGCTCAGCTGACCCAGCCCTGATGATCAGGCACCTGCCTTGTGGACCAAGTTTCTTGTCAGTGCAGAAAAGGAGGTAGTCAAGCAACCTGGCACAGATATGGCATTTAAAATATTAGTGGCCTGGGTGGTGATCATGTCCCTCTCAGCTTTATCCCTTCTAGACTTAAGTGTCGAGAGTAATGTTGTTCTTAGCTTTTCTTTATGGAACCCCAGCATGTATACCTCCAGTCTGTCCCGGGCCTTCTCCCGCTCAGTCTGTCCGTCTCTCCCTTTCTCTTGAGGTGTGGCCCTGGCCTGCCCCCAGTATTCCCATCAGGGTGCCACCTCCCAGTGTCTGCACAGCTCCTGGCGGCGGGCAGTTTGCCATGTCACTGAGTAACAGCTTCTCCCTTGGGACAAAACCAGTTTTCCCAGTCATGTGGCCCTTTTCGGTGTGGGTGAGGTGTCCAGTGAGGACTTTGCTCCACGCCTGGTTTCTGTGGGCCGCACCCCAGCGGGAAGGCACCTCCCTTGTCAGGACTGCAGCCTGCACCCCCGCCCCATTCCAAGTTTGCTAGTCGGGGAAGCAACACAAGGTGCACATGGGTCAGGTCACCTGTGTTGTTGACTTTGAAGCAGCAGAAAGAGTTTTGTGTCCTGCATTCTGTTTTGAGAGTTGCCCTTGACCTCTGCCCAGGGGTATCTGTGGGGCTGGGCCACTTGGGTTTGAAATAGAACCCATCCCCTTTGAACTGGGAGTGAGAGTTCATAGAAAAAGCTGCTCTTGAGGCGCTCCTTGATGTTTGGGTAGCAGCCCCAAGGCAGACAAAGGGAGGGACATAAGCGAAAGGACAGTGGAGGGTCCTGGGAGGAGGAGTCTGCCACATGCCCTGGAACCTTCAGGCAAGCACGCCTAATACATTGGCTCCCGCTTGGGCAGCTGCGGGCCTTTCCGCAGAGATAGCTCCATTTGTGGCTAACCTTTTGGGGCCTGGGCTCGTGATGTTTCCTCCTTACATCACTTCTCTTTGTGTCCTAGTTAATTGAGACGGAAGGAGTTGGATGCTCTCACGCAAGCCTTTTTGTGGTCATTCATGGGGAACTTTGGGAGCTTTTTAAAATTATTCAAAAAGATTGTTTTTTTCCTTTACCAACTCCTGTACTTGTGAACACTGTGTCTGTGGGTTTGGCTCAAAAACTGGATTCTTTTTCCAGCCTCCCCCTCCTGAACCCAATTTCTTCCTCACTCCTACCCCACCCCATAGATATTTACATATGCAGAATGTCCACTGGGCAGTGTCTGTCATGTTTGGAGAGCACTTTTAAAGTCCTGGAGATTGGGGTGACACGGGGGAATTGGAAGAGTGTAGGATGGGGAGCCAGAAGGGGTTCCACTATCTGGAGGTGAGTCAGAGGAGGGAGAGAAAGCAGGGCCGGTATCATGTGAGGCCCTCAGGAGGGGCCTGGGATCCGTCCCCCCTCCTCCAGCTGCTCAGTGTTTGCTTGCCTCCGGCCTAGAGGTGTGGGACTGACGAGGGTGGGTCAGACCTTGTGACCTGGGACTCTGAGCCTGTTTCCAGCGGTTCTCATGGGGCTTTTGTAATAAAGTACTTGGAGGGTTCTCAGGCCACAGCCCAGGCCTGCCTGTGGGTGGGTCCCAGGTAGCTTGGGGCCACCCCTGGTTCAGAACCAAGGCCCTCTCCACGGTGCACAGCCACCGCCCTCAGCCTCAGGTGGCACTGACGCCCAGCTCACTGGGGCCCGGGGCCCAGCAGGCAATCCTGGGCCTGGGAGGGAGGGGATGTGGGTCTGTGCTCCCTGGGAGAGAGACTTCTGTGGTCAAGCAAGGTTTAGAAGTGCCCCAAGTGCTTCACAGCAGAGCTGTGTGGGTTTCTGGACTATGGGGCTTCCTGGAAGTTGTGCAGCGTTAAGCATTATGAATCCCCAAGATGGGGCTCTTCCTGCTTATGTGACCACAGCACCTTGTCGGTTTCTTCTTCTAAGAACACTAGTTCTGTTGGGAAATCTGGCGTAGATGTGTCCCGGTGTTAGTGGTAATGCCCTTAAACTCCTACCCCTCCCCCAGCCAGGTTAGACTGGAGCAAGCACAGTTCTTTCAGGGGGAGGATAAGGGATGGAACAAGAGGCCATGGCCCCCATGTCCTCCCAGGGTCTCACTTCGCTCACAGCAGTCAGGCCTTCGGTTCCTGTCAGCCTTGGCCAGCCCAGAGCCCTAGGAGGTCTCCTCTCAAACCCTGTGTTCATGGTGGGATTGGGGTTTGTTTGTAGGGAAGATGGAGAGTTGGAAGAAGGTGAATTGGAAGATGATGGGGCAGAGGAGACCCAGGATACCTCCGGAGGGCCTGAGAGAAGCCGGAAAGAAAAGGGGGAGAAGCATCACAGTGATTCGGATGAGGAGAAGTCCCACAGGAGACTGAAGCGGAAACGGAAGAAAGAGCGGGAGAAAGAGAAAAGGAGGTCGAAGAAGAGGAGGAAATCCAAGCACAAAGTAGGTCGGAGATCCCCTGGGACTGCCACTGCCTGGCATTGGGCCTGGCTGAGAGCCCCAGGGGCTGAGCTTTTGCTGTCCACCCCAGAGGGCACTCTTAATGCCTTTGCTTATCTCAAATTGGATAAAGACCTTTTTTAAAAGAGTTGGTAGCTTATGCTTCATTGCCACTAAGTGCCCCAGGTGAGGTGTTTCAGGTGAAGCGCAGAGCCCTGCGGCACATGCCAGCATAGTTTGTCCTGAGGCTGACTGTGCCCGAGTGGCCTGCCTGTGGCAGGTTGCTGAGTCTCCTTCCCCTGTCATTACAGCGCCATGCTTCTTCTAGCGATGACTTCTCTGACTTCTCAGATGACTCGGATTTCAGCCCCAGTGAGAAAGGTCACCGCAAGTACAGAGAGTACAGCCCCCCATATGCGCCGGTGAGTGACTGGCATGCACTGCTGAGCTCTGGGGCCGGGAGGAGTTCAACTGCTTGTGTTTCTTGAGCACTTGCTGTGTTCTGGGCATTTTTTGTGAGTTTCAGTCCTGGGCCATCAGGTATTAATTTAATCCCCATTTTATGAGTGAGGAAACTGAAACTTAGACAATTTCAACAAGGCAGCCCAGACAACCAAGTGAGACCCCACAAAAAATAAAAAAATTAACCAGGCATGCCTGTAGTTCCAGCTACTCAGGAGGCAGAGGTGAGAAGATCCCTTGAGCCCAGAAGTTTAAGGTTGCAGTGAGCTATGATCAGCCACTGTACTCTAGCCTGGGTGACAGACAGAGCAAGATCCTGTCTCAAAAGGAAAAGAAAATTTCAACAGGGTTGCCCAGCTCTCTGAAGTAAAGGAGCTGGGATTTGAACCCAGGCCCTAGCTGACCTCCATGAGGCATGTTCTCGAGCCTCCTCCATGCGGCCTTAGCAAGGCCCTGTATGTCTCAGAGAAAGATGCTGACTGGTCCACGTCACGGCTGACTGGCTTCCACTGTTCACAAATGACCTTTTTGGGAAATTGGCAAGAGAATGAAATGTTCTCAAGTAGCCAGTAGGCAGAGGTTAGATACTCAGCCACTGTCGCTCTCATTTCAAGCAGCAATTTAAATTATTTGTTCAGTTTGTATACCATTTCTTCCCCCAGAAAATCCCATAAGAGAAAAGCAAATCATTTTTTTTTTTTTTTTTTTTTTTTTGAGGCAGAGTCTCACTCTGTCGCCCAGGCTGGAGTACAGTGGTGCAATCTCAGCTCACTGCAAGCTCTGTCTCCTGGGGTCGCACCATTCTTCTGCTTCAGCATCCTGAGTAGCTGGGACTACAGGCACCCGCCACCACTCCCGGCCAAGTTTTTGTGTTTTTAGTAGAGACAGGATTTCACCGTCTTAGCCAGGATGGTCTCCATCTCCTGACCTCGTGATCCGCCTGCCTCGGCCTCTCAAAGTGCTGGGATTACAGGTGTGAGCCACCGCGCCCGGCCGCAAATCATCTTATGATTACTTTACCCAGTATTCGTTGGCACGTGGGTGTCCGGGTTTGGATGAGAAATGTTTTGTCTTGTTTGTTTATTTATTTATTTATTTATTTATTTATTTATTGAGACGGAGTCTTGCTCTGTCGCCTAGGCTGGAGTGCAGTGGGGCAATCTCGGTTCACTGCAACTTCCACCTCTCTGGTTCAAGCGATTCTCCTGTCTCAGCCTCCCGAGTAGCTGGGATTACAGGCATGTGCCACCTTGCCCGGCTGATTTTTGTATTTTTAGTAGAGACAGGGTTTCACGATGTTGGCCAGGCTGGCCTCGAACTCCTGACCTCAGGTGACCCGCCCGCCTTGGCCTCCCACAGTGCTAGGGTTACAGGCGAGAGCCACCGTGCCCGGCTGGTTGAGAAATGTTTTAAAGTTAGTAGGTCTTTAAAGCTGTCCCAGGTATCCCATGACCCAGCATCATCCATCACAACAAATGATTCATTGTCCAATACCATAGTTGAGATTGATCTACTGGTGTAGGTTTGGCCTTCAAACCTGAGGGAGGCAGGAAATGGAGGGAACATTGCGTGCTTTTTATGAACTAGAGCTGGAGGCATTTTAAAGATCTGCTAAAGTACTTGTATGTGTGTCTGTGTGTCTAGCTGTATTTTGCATTGTCCTGTTTTTCTATAATTCGGATTTTTTAAAATTAGTGGGCTTTATTGTTTGTTTGTTTGTTTATTGAGATGGGATCTCACTCTGTTGCCCAGGCTGGAGTGCAGTGGTGTGATCTCACCTCACTGCAGCCTCGAGCTCCCTGGGCTCAGGTGATCTTCCTGCCTCAGCCTCCTAAGTAGCTGGAACCATGGGCCATAACGCCAAGGCTAATTTTTGTACTTTTGGTAGAGATGGGGTTTCAAAATGTTGCCCAGGCTGGTCTCAAATTCCTGGGGTCAAATGATCTGCCCACCTCGGCCTCCCAAAGTGCGGGGATTGCAGACATGAGCCACCATGCGCAGCCGACTTTTTTATGCGTTCATTCATTCATTTATTTAGAGATGGAGTCTCGCTCTGTCGCCCAAGCTGGAGTGCAGTGGCACAATCTCGGCTCACTGCAACCTCCGCCTCCCTGGTTCAAGCGATTCTCCTGCCTCAGCCTCTCAAGTAGCTGGGATTACAGGCGCCCACCACCACACCTGGCAAATTTTTTTTTTTTGTATTTTTAGTAGAGACGGGGTTTCACTATGTTGGCCAGGCTGGTCTCGAACTCCTGACTTTGTGATCTGCCTGCCTTTGCCTCCGAAAGTGCTGGGATTACAGGCGTGAGCTACCACGCTTGGCCCAACTTTTTTTTTTTAATTTTAATTATTTTTTGAGACAGAGTCTCGCTCTGTCGCCCAGGCTGGAGTGCAGTGGCGCAATCTTGCCTCACCGCATCCTCTGCCTCCCGGGTTCAAGTGATTCTCACACCTCAGTCTCCCGAGTAGCTGGGATTAGAGGCGCCCATCACCATGCCCGGCTAATTCATTTTGTATTTTTAGTAGAGACTGGGTTTCACCATGTTGGCCAGGCTGGTCTGGAACTCCTGACCTCAAGAGATCTGCCTGCCTGGGCCTCCCACAGTGCTGGGATTACAGGTGTGAGCTACTGTGCCCGGACTTTATTTTAATTTTTTTGAGTTGTTGTTTCGCTGTGTCACCCTGGTTGGAGTGCAGTGGTGCAGTCTCTGCTCACTACAACCTCTGCCTCGCGGGTTCAAGCAATTCTCCTGCCTCAGCCTCTCAAGTAGCTGGGATTACAGGTGCCTGCCCCACACTCGGCTATTTTGTTGTTGTTGTTGTTGTTGCATTTTTGCATTTTTAGTAGAGATCGCATTTCGCGTCTGCATCTCCTGACCTTGTGATCTGCCCGCCTCGGCCTCCCAAAGTGCTGGGATTACAGGCATGAGCCACCGCGCCCAGCCCCCTGACTTTCTTTTTTAGAGCTGTTTTAAGTTTATTCAAAATTGAGCAGGTAGTAGTAGAGTTCCCTTCTCCCCTCTGCCTGCCCCCTTCCCTGCCTCCAGTTTCCCATTACCAATGTCTTGCATTGTTGTGGTAACTTTGTTAGAATTGATGAGCCGGTATTGATACATTGTTATTACTTAGGGTTGTATAGTTCTCTGGGTTTTGCCCAATACACACTTTATTGTTACATATTCGTCGTTACTCCATTGTCTGGATATACCAGTTTGTTATCCATTTACCTGTTGAAGGATGTCTTGGTTGCTTCCGTTTTTATGAGTATCTTTAACTTCTTCTAGTACCACTTGGCATTACCACACTTTGGAAAGCATCATTTGAGATGGCTGTCCAGCCTGGCTGCCAAGCAGGCCATTTATTGAATTCCAGGGCCCTAGGAAAATTGTGACCAAGCAGCCCCCGCCTGCTTCCCAGGCCCCTCCACGTGCGCTTGCTCTGCATCCTTGGGAAATGCTCCCTTCTTCTCCCCTTTGTTCATCAGGGATCGGGGGTCTGTGGTTCTGTTTTCTTTCTAGTTCTGGCCCTTTATGAAGAACAGAAACACTTGGGCCCGCTGCTACTCCCACTCCCTGGTACGAGAACCAGTCCCCAGAGGGGCTGGAGACCAGCAGTGCAACCCTGGGACAGTAGTGACACCCAGACAGACATGTTCGTTTAGGGAACCCTGGGTATCTTGGTAGTCTGCACCCACGGCTGTGGGATCCGGCTCACCTCTTTTCCCCATCTCTGGGACGCAGTCCCACCAGCAGTACCCCCCATCGCATGCCACGCCCCTGCCCAAGAAGGCATACTCCAAGATGGACAGCAAGAGTTATGGCATGTACGAGGACTACGAGAATGAGCAGTATGGGGAATATGAGGGCGACGAGGAGGAGGACATGGGCAAGGAGGACTATGACGACTTCACCAAAGAGCTGAACCAGTACCGGCGTGCCAAGGAGGGCAGCAGCCGCGGCCGAGGTGAGCCCTGCCCTTACAGTTTCTCCTCTGGGGCATCGGAGCCACCCGGGCCAACCCCGGTGGCCTGGTCTCACAGAACCTCAAGTTTGGTCACTTAGGGTTGGGATAAGTGTACAAAGAAGGGCCAGGCTCTGCATGTGCATGGCACAGGAGACCGGAGAGATCACCCGCTGGGCTGTGGTTGGGGTGGTACCAGGCTGGTGTGAGGCAGGGAGAAGGCCAGCGTGCCCGAAAGGTCACTTCCTGGTCAGCTGTGGGGGGAGAAGGGAACAGCTTCTCTTTCACCTGGGCCATGGTCACTGACAGCTGGCTGCCACACCCCACAGCAGTGCTCCCCCATTCTCCCAGCCCCATCACCTGACAAAGTGTGACTGCAGTCCTTGCCACTGCCACACCTCTGAACCTTGAACCTGTGTCCTTTGGGAGGAAGGTGGAGGAGGCTTGAGCACCAGAGACACGGTAGCCCTGACTGGCCTCTTAGAACACATCTCTGCCGGCGCAGTGGCCCATGCCTGTAATCCCAGCACTTTGGGAGGCCGAGGCTGTCGGATCACCTAAGGTCAGGAGTTCGAGACCAGCCTGACCAACAACAGCAACCAAAAAGAACCATTGAACCATCTCCTGCCAGAAAGACTGCCCAGCCTGAGAATGGCTTCTGGAATCTTCCAGTGCAGGGGTTCTCAGACTTGTGAGCCCTGCCTGAGGCCCAGCTTGTTGAGTAGCTGTTCATTCATTCTTTTTTTTTTTTTTTTTTTTTTTTTTGAGACGGAGTCTTGCTCTGTCGCCAGGCTGGAGTGCAGTGGCGCGATCTCGGCTCACTGCAACCTCTGCTTTCCGGGTTCAAGCAATTCTTCTGCCTCAGCCTCCTGAGTAGCTGGGATTACAGGCACGTGCCACTACACCCAGCTAGTTTTTGTATTTTTAGTAGAGACGGAGTTTCACCATGTTGGTCAGGCTGGTCTCGATCTCGTGACCTCGTGATCTGCCCACCTCGGCCTCCCAAAGTGCTGGGATTACAGGCGTGAGCCACCGCGCCCGGCCCATTGGTTCTTCTAGCAGTCTTTCTTGGATACCTCCCTGGGGCAGCCCCTGTGCTTTGGGGAGATCCTAGGCCAGTGCTGTCAAGTAGAAATAGATTGGAAGCCACCATGTCGTTTATATTTTCTGGTAGCCACATTTAAAAAGTGAAAAGGACACTGGATAGTCCCAGCTACTTGAGAGGTGGAGGCAGGAGAATCACTTGAGCCCGGGAGTTGGAGGCCAGCCTGGGCAACACAGCGAGATCCCATCACTCTTTTTTGTTTATTGGGAGACAGAATCTTGCTCTGTCACCCATCCTGGAGTGCAGTGGCACGATTTAGGCTCACTGCAGCCTCTACCCTGTGCCTCCTGGGTTGAAGCAATTCTTTCTTTTTTTTTTGAGACAGAGTTTCACTTTTTGCCCAGGCTGGAGTGCAATGGCGCGATCTCGGCTCACTGCAACCTCTGCCTCCAGAGGTCAAGCGATTCTCCTGCCTCAGCCTCCCAAGTAGCTGGGATTACAGGCGCCTACCACCATGCCCGGCTTTTTTTGTATTTTTAGTAGAGATGGGGTTTCACCATGTTGGTGACCAGGGTGGTCTCGATCTCTCGACCTCGTGATCCGCCTACCTCGGCCTCCCAAAGTGCTGGGATTACAGGCGTGAGCCACTGCGCCTGGCTGGGTTCAAGCAATTCTTGTGCCTTACTCCCGCAAGTAACTGGGATTACAGGCATGTGCCACCACACCCAGCTTATTTATTTATTTATTTATTTGAGATGGAGTCTCGCTCTGTTGCCCAGTCTGCAGTGCAGTGGCACAATTTTGACTCACTGCAACCTCCGCTTCCCGGGTTCATGCCATTCTCCTGCCTCAGCCTCCTGAGTAGCTGGGACTACAGGTGCTTGCCGCCACGCCCGGCTAATTTTTTGTAGTTTTAGTAGAGATGAGGTTTCACCATGTTAGCCAGGATGGTCTCGATCTCCTGACTTCGTGATCCGCCCGCCTCAGCCTCCCAAAGTGTTGGGATTACAGGCGTGAGCCACCGCGCCCAGCCTATTTATTTATTTTTTTTGAGACAGAGTCTCACTCTGTCGCTCAGGCTGGAGTGCAGTGGCACCATGTTGGCTCACTGCAACCTCCGCCTCCGAGGTTCAAGCAATTCTCGTGCCTTAGCCTCTCCAGTAGCTGGGATTACAGGCCTGCACCACCATGCCTGGCTTTTTTATTTTTAGTAGAGATGGGTTTCACTGTGTTGCCCAATCTGGTCTTGAACTCCTGAGCTCGGGCAATCCACCCGCCTTGGCCTCCCAAAGTGCTGGGATTACAGGTGTGAACCACTGCGCCTGGCCTAATTTTTTGTATTTTTAGTAGAGATGAGGGATGAGGTTTTGCTATGTTGGCCAGGCTTGTTTCGAACTCCTGTTCTCAAGTGATCTGCCCAACTGGGCCTCCCAAAGTGCTGAGATTATAGGATTGAGCCACTGCACCTGGCCACTCTTTTTTTTTTTAAGTGAAGAAAAAAGTGAAACCAATTAAATTAATTTTGATAATCTGTTTTCAACCTAATATGTTTAAAATCTTACTTCAACGTGTAATCAAATTAGACAAATGAGATATTTTATATTCTTTCTCATTTGGGTTTTTTTTTGTGTGTGTGTGTGTGTGTGTGAGAGACGGGGTCTCACTCTGTTGCCCAAGCTGGAGTGCAGTGGCGCATTCTCAGCTTACTGCAGCCTCTGCCTCCCGGGTTCAAGCAATTCTCCCACCTGAGCCTCCTGAGTAACTGGGATTACAGGTGTGCGCCACCACACCTGGCTAATTTTTCTATTTTTAGTAGAAACAAGATTTCACCATGTTGGCCAGGATGGTCTCAAACTCCTGACCTAAGGTGATCTGCCCACCTCAGCCTCCGAGAGTGCTGGGATTACAGGCATGAGCCACCACACCCAGCCTCTTTTTTTTTTTTTTAACTAAGTCTTTGAAGTCCAATGTGTGTTTTGGAGTCTTGTCTAAATCACAGGTCCAAACTACAGGGCTAGCTTGTCTTGTCAGACTTCAAGGCTAGCATCTTGTAGTTTGGACCAGACGTGTTAGTTGCACATTAGCCCATGGGCTGGTGTTTGCCATATTGGACAGTGCAGTTCTAAGTAGACAAGTCCCTGTGAGGAAGGGGAGTGAGTACTGGAGTAGCTGTGTGTCTGGGGTGCTGAGGGACCCCCATTGAGAGAACCAGAGGGTCCAGTAGCCTACCTGGGGCATCTAGGAAGGCTTCTTGGAGGAGGAGGAGGAGGAGAAGGAGGAGGAGGCAGCTGAAGTGATTGACCTCAGGAGCAAAATGTGGGTTGTCTTCTTTCTTGCTGGTGGCATCTGCTCCTGCTGGAGGCTCACTATCTGAATCTCCATGCAGGCAGCCGAGGCCGGGGCCGGGGCTACAGGGGCCGAGGAAGCCGTGGAGGATCGCGAGGCCGCGGCATGGGCAGGGGCAGCCGAGGCAGGGGCAGAGGCTCTATGGGAGGAGACCACCCGGAGGATGAAGAGGATTTCTACGAGGAAGAGATGGACGTAAGGTTTCCTCTGGCCCTGGGGACGTCGGGGTGAGGCTGGTGGGCTTTCCGGGGCGTGAGCACTGCTGGTAGAGGCTGTGAGGCCAAGGTAGGAAGACATACGGCCCTTCTGAAGGAAGGGAAGCCTCAGAGCGCAGATGTATGTGTTTAAAAATATTCATTTATCATTTTGGAATAGATAAAACCTTCACGTGGTTTAAAGTAGAAAAGGTATCGGCTGGGCGCGGTGGCTCACACCTGTAATCCCAGTACTTTGGGAGCCTGAGGCAGGTGGATCACGAGGTCAGGAGATGGAGACCATCCTGGCTAACACGGTGAAACCCTGTCTCTACTAAAAATACAAAAAATTAGCCGGGTGTGGTAGCACGCGCCTGTAGTCCCAGCTATTCATGCAGGAGTCTGAGGCAGGAGAATCACTTGAACCCGGGAGGTGGAGGTTGCAGTGAGCCGAGATCGCACCACTGCACTCCAGCCTAGGCGACAGAGCAAGACTCTGTCTCAAAAAAAGAAAAAGAAGAAGTATCACAGGATGTGCTGTGAAAACATCCCATCACTAGAGAGAAGTTTCCTGAAAGTCCTCTAGAGACATTTCCAGCCAGGCACGTGGTCCTTCATCCCTGTCCCGACCCAGGAGGAGGAGCGGCAGGTGCACTGCACTTGCCATCCTGGTCCTACCCACAGACCTTCCACGCCAGTCCACAGTCCACTGCCCACTCCCTTTTAGAGCCCCACAGTGATGTGTACGTAGGGAGGCTCCATGCTGGGTTTGCCTATTGGGTCAGGTCTTCACAGTGAAGACTGCAGTGGGAAGGATTGGGACCACCTGTCGTCAGGCTGTGTGGAAACGGGTTATGGTATGAGTCCCCTGGATGGTCACCATCCTTCAAAAAGGAGCAGTGTGTAGGTGGGGACAGTGTTCATTGTTCCCTACCTGACGCTCTCCTGCCCTCTCCTCTGCGCATTCCAGTATGGAGAGAGTGAGGAGCCAATGGGAGACGACGACTATGACGAGTACTCCAAGGAGCTGAACCAGTACCGCCGCTCCAAGGACAGCCGAGGCCGAGGTGGGCAGGGGCCTGGAGAGGACACGCTGGGTGGGGCAGGGATTCCAGCAGCTGCTGGAATCTAGTCCTGGGGGTGGGGGAGGGGGTGGTCAGCAGGTCTTCACACAATCTCCCCTCCACAGGGCTAAGTCGAGGCCGTGGCAGGGGCTCCCGAGGTCGAGGGAAAGGAATGGGTCGGGGCCGAGGCCGAGGTGGCAGCCGAGGAGGGATGAACAAGGGCGGAATGAACGATGACGAAGACTTCTATGACGAGGACATGGGCGTGAGTTGACTCCACTCTGATCTGATGTTTGGGCCAAGGTCCCTTCTTAGTCCTTTTTCCCTTTAATGAGTCATTCTGTGAAGCTGATCCTTGCTGCCATCAGCCACCCCCCAAAGGGCTGGCCAGTGTTGACCAGCATAACCAGCGACAACTAGAGTTATCCTGGGGAGATGCGCTGCTGCTGAGACCCTGTGTTTAAAACCATGTCATTAGCAGCACCTGCAGCCATACCTAACACATCTCTGAGGTTCAGAAGGTTCTAGGTGAACCATCCAATTAGCCCTGGAAGGTTTTGCAGGGAGACCCATGCCACCACCTCTGGGTGTGGTGGACGTGTTCCTGCACAGTTGTGTGGAACTTGAGGTGTAAGTGGCTAACAGCTCTAAAGGCTAGAGCTTTTCCTCACCAGGCAGCAACACCCCACACCGTGGGGCTTATAAGGTGCACGCAGCCTCCGTGTTAGATGCAGCCTGCCCATCGGTGCTCTTGTGAGATCTGAAGGGACCCCTCATCCCCTTCTCCCGTGCTTCTTATTAACCCCGATCCCATCTCTACCCTTCCCTTTCATTCCCCTTTACGTCCACACCCTGTCCATTGCAGGACGGTGGTGGTGGAAGCTACCGGAGTCGTGACCATGACAAGCCCCACCAGCAGTCGGACAAGAAAGGCAAAGTCATTTGCAAGTACTTCGTGGAAGGGCGCTGCACCTGGGTAAGGAGCGCTGAAAGCTGGGCACCTCTAGGAGGCCATAGCCCCCAGAGGACACATGGCTTCCAGAAGGTTCTGGAGCCGTGGTGAGGGTGGGTGGGAGTGACTGTGTAGTCCTTGTCCTTGTGGACACTTGCCGATACTGGGAGTTGCCTGGGCGGCCTGAAAGACTCAGGTTACCTTTCAGAGTGAGGAGGACCCCCAGTAAGATGAGGACTTTTGGTTTTAGGGGAATTTTTTGGCCAAAATTTTCAACCAATCCATATAGCCTGAAACGTAATTATGGAGGTTGATGTGAATGCAAAGCAGCAGCATATCCTGGTGAAGTTATTGAGCTTCAGGGTTGAATGGGGAATGATTAAAGCATCCAAACAGAAGAGGAGGGGAGGATGAGGTTAACCTTGGACTTCATAGCAGAGTTCAATGTCAGAAGATGGACCAATGACCACAGAGTTCTGAAGGAAACAAGTATAATAACCCAGTATTAGTTCAGCCGGCAGCTTCTTACCCCAGTATCCCAGGCAGCAACAGACACCAGCAGATGTGTGCTCAGGGCACACTGCACCCCTGCATCTGTCTTGGGAAGAAATAGATGCTTCAAACAAATAATGTTGTGTATAAAATAATTTGTTTTTTCCTTTGAGACCAAGTCTCACTGTCACCCAGGCTGGAGTGCAGTGGCGTGATCTCGGCTCACTGCAACCTCCGCCTCCTGGGATCAAGCGATTCTCCTGCCTCAGCCTCCTGAGTAGCTGAGACTATAGGTGCCTGCCCGCCACCACACCCGGCTAATTTTTGTATTTTTAGTAGAGACAGGGTTTCGCCATGTTGGCCAGGCTGGTCCCAAACTCCTGATTCCAGCCTCCTGAAGTGCTGGGATTACAAATGTGAGCTACCGTGCCCGGGCAGTATTTCTTATTTAGTTACAATTTCTATTCTGTTGAGAAACTTGAAATACATATAAGCAAGAACAAATGAATACACCCTGGGCAACATAGACCCCATCTCTCTCTCTCTCTCTCTCTTTTTTTTTTTTTAATTTTTTTTAGACCGAGTCTCTCTCTGTCGCCCAGGCTGGAGTGCAGTGGTGTGATCTCGCCTCACTGCAAGTTCTGCCTCACTGCAAGCTCTGCCTCCTGGATTCATGCCATTCTCCTTCCTCAGCCTCCCAGCTACTTGGGACGCTGAGGCAGGAGAATCGCTTGAACCTGGGTGGTGGAGGTTGCAGTGAGTCAAGATCGTGCCATTGCACTCCAGCCTGGGCGACAGAGCCAGACTCTGTCTCAAAAATAAGTAAATAAATTAAGACAAATGAATAGGCATTCGTAAAAGGGGGACAGATCAGCTTCTGTCTTCAGTTCACGGTTATGGTGAGTGATTCCTGAGGACTGAATGATGAAGAATGGAGAACACAATCCTGGATTTCACCTAGGTATTGTGTCGTTGAGACTGTGTTCAACCGGAAATAAAGGAAAACTTAACAAAATTGGCTTCAACACATAGACATTTGTCTCTCAGAACCAGGAGTCTGGAGCTGGGTGGGCAGTAGCTGGCAGCGCAGTGGTCAGGGGTACCCTGGGGGACCTAGGCTCATTCCTGCTTACTATTCTGCCATCTTTAAACATATGGCTTTTGTCCTCATGGTTACACGGTGGTTGCTGTGCCTCCGAGCATCACATCCAAGGTCTGGGAGGAAGAAAAATGGACAAAAGGCTTTTCTTTAAATTCAGGAAGTACCCAGGCTTGGTGGCTCATGGCTATAATCCCAGCGCTTTGGGAGGCCAAAGTGGGAGGATCACTTGAACCCAGGAGTTTGAGACCAGCCTGGGCAACATAGTGAGACCTGTCTCTACAAAAAAATATTTAAAAAATTAGTCCCAACAGCCTTTGGGACCTGCCCTTCCTACACCTGTCTTCCTTTCCTAAGGGGGATTCGTTTCTGTCATTGGCCCCTCCATGCACCAGCAGTGACAGTATTTCTTCCCTTTGCAGACAGAAGTAAGCAAGAGCTTCCCACGCCACCACCTTATGTTTTTGTTGCTTCTCTTCTAGGGAGACCACTGTAATTTTAGCCATGACATCGAACTCCCAAAGAAGCGAGAACTGTGCAAGTTTTACATCACTGGATTTTGCGCCAGAGCTGAGAACTGCCCTTATATGCACGATATCCTTTAGTGCCAGCATCTGGTCTGAATGAGGGCGCAGAACTTCTCTGCTCCTTGATGGTGGTAGTAACAGCCAATCTTCCTTCTCTGTGCTTTCTCTCTGTGCCAAGAGCTTTCTGTGAGTCTCCATCTCATTTAACACTCACGTCCGCCCTCAGAGGGGTCTGTCTTTCCCATCCTTCCAGGGAGTAAACTGAGATGCACATGGAGCATGTTCTGTTTACATAGGCTCTCAAGACTGGCCCATACCATTGGCTGAGATTCTTCCAGGTGGTTTTATACCTTGGGTGAGTCATTTAACTTCCCTAGTCTGGTTGACCATCTGAGGACGCAGCCCCCAGCCAGTGTAGTGGGGCTGGAAGTGCCCTGCAGTCTGGAGTGCCGGGGTCTCTCCGTGGATTTCCTGCCAACCCACTGAGCAGCCCTTAGCACATCGCCTCACCTCTCTGGGCTCAGATTTCTTATCTCCAAAACAAAGGGAGCTGGATTCTGCCTTGGGTCTGTGGTGGGGGAGGGGGGCGTTCTGTGAGATGAAGCATTTACCTTAATTTGCCATGAACGTGATTTCCCGTGTAAGCTGTACCACACCACTGGGAACTGCATCAATGGTGACGACTGCATGTTTTCCCACGACCCTCTGACCGAAGAGACGAGGGAGCTCTTGGATAAGGTAATGTCCGGGGGTAACGGGGCCCCCGGCTACAGGAACTGGGACATGCGCACTCCATTGCCTCAGTGCTGTGGCCTGCCTGTCCAGCCTCTGCAGTGCCCAGTTTGGTTGATCTGGAATTGGGCCATTCTAAGGAGGACACGGGCACTGTGTCCTCTTCTGCAAGGAGTTGAGGTGGTCACATGTGTTGTCTTAGGCCAGGACAAGCTTTTGCTGTTTCCCCTGGGGCATGACCAAATGAAAGGAATGCTGCCTGATGGGCCTCCAAGCATGAATCGTGATCTCTTAGGTGTCATTTAGAGAGAGCTCACAATACACAAAGATACACGAATCACCTGTAACCCCAGCACTTTGGGAGGCCGAGGCAGGAGGATCAGTTGAGCTCAGGAGTTCAAGACCAGCCTAGGCATGTAGCAAGACGTTGTTTCTACTAAAAATAAATTAAAAAAAATTGGCTGGGCTGGGTGCAGTGGTTTATGCCTGTAATCCCAGCACTTTGGGAGGCCAAGGCAGGCAGATCAGTTGTACTTAGGGCAACATGGCAAAACCCCGTCTCTTAAAAAAAAAATACAAAAAACTTAACCGAGTGTGGTGGCTCACGCTTGTAATCTCAGCACTGTGGGAGTCTGAGGCGGGCAGATCACCTGAGGCCAGGTTCTCAAGACCTGCCTGGCCAACATGGCAAAACCTCATTGCTACTAAAAATATAAAAATTAGCTAGTTGTGGTGGCACATGCGTGTAGTCCCAGCTACTTAGGAGGCAGAGGTTGCAGTGAGCTGAGATCACACCACTGCATTCCATCCAGCCTGTGCAACAGAGTGAGACTGTGTCTCAAAAAAAAAAAAAAAATTAGCCAGGTATTGTGGCACATGCCTATGGTCCCAGCTACTCGAGAGGCTGAGGTGGGAGGATCTGTTGAGTCCAGGAGATTGAGGCTGCAGTGAGCCATGATCATGCCACTGCACTCCAGCCTGGGTAACAGAGCAAGACGCCATCTCCAAGAAAGACCACAAAAAACCAAAGATACACAAAGACGAGGCAAGGATTGTATTTTGGTGGAAAAGTCAAACGTTTCTTTGCAACTCTCAGGGCCCCCATTATGCATTAGAGAAAATAGAGGGAAGTTGGGGGTCTCTAAAGGGGAAGGCTCCCTTGGGGGAGGTGTCAGGGCTTCCCCACTAGCCAGGTGACATTTGAAACTCATCCTGGCATCAGTTGTCCTCCCTGAGGAGTCAGGCTGAGGACCTTGGGTTAGGGTTAAATACCCAAACATCAGTCCTGAGTTTCCTGATTCATCTGGGGAGTGAGTGGGTACGGGAACTGGTGCCCTTTCAAATGAAGCTTTCCTGCCTTCTAGTTCACAAGGAGGTTCTAGGAGATTGGCTATTTTTTTTGACAGTGGAAAGGATCAAGGCATCAGCACATCTGCCGGCTTCCAGAGTCCATCTGTCAGTGACTGTCTTGTTAACTGGTGGCAGGGGCACCCCTGTGAGGGGTGCAGGGGAAGCCCCATGCAAGCAGACGTAGGAGAATGTCCATTCCTCGTTGGCAGGGCGCCTGTAGGAAAAGGCAAGTCCCTCCGGGGAGCCTGCTGCCCTAGGGTTTTTTTGTTTTGTTTGTTTTTTGATACAGAGTCTCACTCTGTCACCCAGGCTGGAGTGCAGTGGCACAATCTCGGCTCCCTGCAACCTCTACCTCCTGGGTTCAAGCGTTTGTCCTGCCTCAGCCTCCCGAGTAGCTGGGACTACAGGCGCATGCCGCTGCGCCCAGCTATTTTCAGTAGAGACGGGGTTTCACCATGTTGGCCAGGTTGGTCTCGAACTACTGACCTTGTGATCCGCCCACCTTGGCCTCCCAAATCGCTGGGATTACAAGTGTGAGCCACAGCGCCTGGCATGCCCCAGGGTTATGTAATCAGTACATACCTAGGGTCTGAGCTGTTTGACAGGGGAAGCAGTGGCCAGTCAGGCCTCACGGCTCCTTGGGAGGACTCACTGATCTCTGACTGAGGACTGCCCCCTGCTGGAGGCTCCAGGTTTGTGCTTCAGGCCAGTGCTGCCCACAGGAGCACCACAGAATCACATCATTCATTTAAAATTTTCCAGTAGCCACATTAAAAAAAAAAAAAAAAGTAAAAAGAAACAGGTGAAATTACTTTTTTTTTCTTTTTTGAAGTGGCGTCTGGCCAGGCGCAGTGGCTCACTCCTGTAACCCCCCCACTGTGGGATGCCGAGGCAGACGGATCACCTGAGGTTGGGAATTCAAGACCAGCCTGACCAACATGGAGAAACCCCATCTCTACTAAAAATACAGAATTAGCCAGGCAAGGTGGTGCATACCTGTAATCCCAGCTACTCGAGAGGCTGAGGCAGGAGAATCGCTTGAACCCGGGAGGCGGTGGTTGCGGTGAGCTGAGATCGTGCCATTGCACTCCAGCCTGGGCAACAAGAGCGAGACTCTGTCTCAAAAAAAAAAAAATGGAAATGAAATGGAGTCTTGCTTTGTTGTCCAGGCTGGAGTGCAATGGCGCGATCTCTGCTCACCGCAACCTTCGCCTTCTGGGTTCAAGCGATTCTCCTGCCTCAGCCTCCACAGTAGCTGGGATTACAGGCGCCCACCACCACACCCGGCTAATTTTTGTTTGTTTGTTTTTGAGACGGAGTTTCACTCTTTCGCCCAGGCTGAAGTGCAATGGCACCATCTCGGCTCACTGCAACCTCTGCCTTCCAGGTTCAAGTGATTTCCTGTTTCAGCCTCCTGAGTAGCTGGGATTACAGGTGCCAGCCACCATGCCCAGCTGAGTTTTGTATTTTTAGTAGAGACAGGGTTTCACCCTGTTGGCCAGGCTGGTCTCAAATTCGTGATTAGTTTTGTATTCTTAGTAGAGACAGGGTTTCACCATGTTGGCCAGGCTGGTCTCGAATTCCTGATCCACCCACCTCGACAGGTGATCCACCCGCCCCGGCCTCCCAAAGTGCTGGGGTTACAGGTGTGCACCAATGCGCCTGGCTAATTTTTTGTTTTTTTTGAAACGGAGTCTCGCTCTGTTGCCAGGCTGGAGTGCAGTGGGCGTGGTCTCGGCTCACTGCAACCTCCGCCTCCTGGGTTCAAGCGATTCTCCTGCCTTGGCCTCCCAAAGTGCCGGGATTACAGGTGTGAGCCACCATGCCCGTCCGTGCCTGGCTAATTTTTGTATTTTTAGTAGAGATGAGGTTTTATCATGTTGGCCAGGCTGGTTTCAAACTCCTGACCTGAAATAAGCCACCTACCTCGTGAAATTAATTTTAACAATATATCTCATTTATCGCCAAACATAATTTTAGGAAATAATAAAAAATAATGAAAAAAATAGAGATAGTTTAGGGGGGCTTTTTGTATGTAGTTTCAACGGCTGGAAAAAAAATTTTTTAAGTGGCATTGGGATTATATTTGATCTCCCTTGGCTTCATGGAAGTGGGCACCTGTGAAGCCAACAGAGATTAAGTATAATGGTACTTGAGTCCGTTAAAAGTAAATTCTGTAGAGAGCAATATTTTCTGAAAGCAAAACTTGATGTTTGCAAAACTTAGAGGGTTGTAGATTTCTGCTTTGGAGTATGCACACAGACCTTTTTCCTGAAAATCCATACCTTCTTTTTTTTTTTTTTTTTTGTTTGAGACGGAGTTTTGCTCTTGTTGCCCAGGCTGGAGCACAGTGGCGCGATCTTGGCTCACCACGACCTCCGCCTCCCAGGTTCAAGCGATTCTCCTGCCTCAGCCTCCTGAGTAGCTGAGATTACAGGCATGTGCCATCACGCCCGGCTCATTTTTTGTGTTTTTAGTAGGGACGGGGTTTCTCCACGTTTGTCAGGCTGGTCTCGAACTCCCAACCTCAGGTGATCCACGCCCGCCTTGGCCTCCCACAGTGCTGGGATAACGGGCGTGAGCCACCATGCCTAGCTGAGAATCCATACCTTCTAAATTTATCTGAGTGCTTTAAGCAGTTCTTAGCATTTTATCTATGTTTTTGTGTGTCCTCTTTGGTACCAGTTTTTTTTTTTTTTTAAGACGGAGTTTCACTCTTGTTGCCAAGGCTGGAGTGCAATGATGCGATCTCGGCTCACTGCAACCTCCGCCTCCTGGGTTCAAGTGATTCTCCTGTCTCAGCCTCCTGAATAGATGGGATTACAGGTGCCTGACACACGCCTGGCTAATTTTTGTATTTTTAGTAGAGACAGGGTTTCACCATGTTAGCCAGGCTGGTCTCGAACACCTGACCTCAGGTGATCCACCCGCAGGCCTCCCAAAGTGCTGGGATTACAGGCATGAACCACCGCACCTGATATATAGTTCTGTGAGTTGTTTTTTTTTTCCAAGACGGAATCTCGCTCTGTCGTCCAGGCTGGAGTGCAGTAGTGCAGTGTTGGCTCACTGCAACCTCCGCCTCCCAGGTTCAAGCAGTTCTCTGCCTCTTGAGTAGCTGGGATTACAGAGGCCCGCCACCACATCCAGCTAATGTTTTTTTGAAAAAATTTTTTTTTGAGACGGAGTCTTGCTCTGTCACCCAGGCTGGAGTGCAGTGGTGCAACCTTGGCTCACTGTAGTTTCCGCCTCCCAGGTTCAAGCGATTCTCCTGCCTCAGCCTCCTGAGTAGCTGGGATTACAGGTGTGTGCCACCACGCCCGGCTAATTTTTATATATTTAGTAGAGACAGGGTTTCACCATGTTGATCAGGCTGGTCTCGAACTCCTGACCTCGTGATCTGCTCGGCTCTGCCTTCCAAAGTGCTGGGATTACAGGTGTGAGCCACTGCGCCCGGCCAGCTAATATTTTTGTATTTTTAGTAGAGATAAGGTTTCACCATCTTGGTCAGGCTGGTCTTGAACTCCTGACCTCGTAATCCACCTACCTCGTCCTCCCAAAGTGCTGGGATTACAGGCGTGAGCCACTGCGCTTGGCCTGGTTCTATGAGTTTTGACAAACACATTGAGTCATGTCACCACCCCACAAGATGGATCTAGGAAACCCATTCCATCACCCCAGAAACTCTGCTGTGTCCTTTATAGTAAATGCCACCCCACATCTCCAGTGCCTGGCAACCGTGGATCAGGGTCTGTCTTTTGGTTTTGCTTTTTCAAGCAAATCATATAAATAGAATTATGGGGTAAACAGGCTTTAAGAGTGTGAGTGTGTGTGTGTGTGTGTGTGCGCGCGCGCGCACGCGTGCATGTGTTGAGTCTGGCTTCTTGCACTTGGCATGAAGCCTTTGAGGTTCACCCGTTGTTGCAAGTAACAGTTCATTACCATTTGTTGCTGTGTAGTGTCCCACTGAGCGGATGATCTGTGTTTGTTTATCCAGTCATCCGTTGAAGGACATTTGAGTTGTTTCCAGTTCGAGGCAACAGCGTTGGTGACCAGTGGCCTGGAGCTTATTCACATGGCCTAATGGGGCTCAGCCCACATGCCTCTGCACCTCTACAAGTGTTACTTATTGCTTGCAGAAGGTGACTGACTGTTGGAAACTGTGATCACTGATAGTCTGTCCTGGCTAGAGAGGTTTTGGCACCTAGCGGGGTGCTAGTTGTCTCAGCTGGTGTCTTTGCTGGTGGAGGGGCCAGGGACAGAGGTGCCCTCCACAGGGTCTGTGCTGGCAGGACCGATGGGCAGTTTGGGTTGACTCCGCAGTTGACTCCATGGTGGAGTCAACCATTCAGGGCCTGAGCTCCTTTCTCCTCTGCACTGGACCCAGCCTCTGGATTCCAGGGAATGCATTGGTTTGTGTTCCTTGCTTAGTCGTTCACTCAATAAATCTCTGTGCCTTGTTTGTGCCAGGCACTGGGGGTGCTGAGGAGGCAGGGTTAGGTCCTTGGGCGGATGCTGATGACACATGGGGAGTGTGAGTGTGTGTGTGTATGTGTGTGTGCGCACACACACGTGGGGATCAGGCCGTGAAGAATAAGTGTGGGAGCCCAGGACTCTAGCTGGGCTCTATTCAGGAGGCAGACATTCAAGAGGCTTTGTGAGGAGGTGACACTGGCGGCCCCAGGATGTGCGGCAGTGGGGACTGAAGAGGAGGAGGAGGAGGGAGATGCAGGGTGGCAGCTGCAGCGCAAGCCATGGCCCCACACACAGTTGAGGAAGGGCCCTTGGGCCAGGAGGAAGTGAGCCCGTGGCAGTGTTGAAAGCAGCTGGCGCAAGGCTCTGGGCCCTCCCAGCAAGGCTCATCTCAGGTGGTGGTGCCCACGCTCAAAGGGCAGAATGCGGGTTCTGCCTCCACGGGTCCCCCTGTGCTGCTGGTTCACACGCTGACCACCCCTGGAATATCAGGGTTCAGAAGGACAGAGGGGTTCCACCGCGTCGTTTTCCACACCTCCTCCATGAAGCCACATTCTTATTGGACCCTGGGGTTCCAGGGTCCAGATACCATTGCTAATGGCTAGGAGAAGGGAAAACTGCGAATGCACAACCCCCACCAGGGGGTCCTGTTTCTGTCCGCCTTGCTGTTCCTGGGCAGAGGGGCAGGACTAGTTTATCTTGATGACCCTGTGTTAGGACCAACTAAGGGATCTGTGCTGGGGTCCCCAAGATGACCCAGAGCAACTTGCTGGGGGACTCACGGCCAAGATGTTAACTGCGGTGAAGGGACACAGGCAAACTCAGCCCTGGGAATGAGTACATGAGGGCGCCTGGAGGAAGCAGGCGCATCCTCTTCCTGTGGACTCGCAGGGGCCACGCTGCCCTCCTCCAGTTGTGACAGCACGAGTGGCATGCTGTCTGCGAGGAGACTTGCTCAGCGCCCAGGGTTTTCACTAGGCTGCTCACCTAGGCAGCCTCTGCCCAGCATGGACCAAAATTCCAGATTTGGGGGGCAAAGCAGGCATTCAGCACAAACTGCATTGGTTGCAGAAACAGTTTAGATGCAGTGAGCCCCTCTTACTGGACAGTGAATGCTGGGAGCCCTCCCAAAATGCAGCTTCCCAGACACCAGCCGAGGCCTAGCCTTGCAAGCAGGCCTTCCAAGGAGAGCAGCCAGGCCTCCTGTGTCACTTTTCTGCACGCTATCCTAACTGATGAGACATTCTAGTCCAGTTGAGATTTTGACATTTCTCATTCACTCACTGGGCGTCTGCCCTGTATCAGGTCTCGTGGGGGCCCTGGGGATATAGCAGGGAAGAAACAGTCCTGCCCTCTTGGAGTTGATGGGGAGGTTGAGCCAGGATGAACATGGGAATGACTGAATAATCCGACAAGGCATAGGCAGTGTTGGCAGAGAACTCCTGGTGACCCAGTAGTGAATACAGGAGACTGGACAGACACTATGAATTGACATCTAATGAGGGACCTCAACAGTTGAGTGACGTTGAGCCACATGGGAATAACAGGAAAAATAAAAACCTGGGGGAAGCTGGTCCTGGCCCTGTAGGGGAGAGCTTGGCTGCTCATTGCACTGAAACGAGGCTGGGTGGTTGGGGTGGAGGAGTCGGGATCGTGGGAGGAAATGAAGCTGCCAGGAAGCTACCCAGTCGTCCCCAGATACCTAGACACCCAGACACCCACCCCTGCTCTTAGGCCCTAAGGGTCATGGTCAGGAGTTGAGATCAGAGGCCCTTAAAATCCAAACATGACAGGGGAATATGATTCAGCCATAAAAAACAGAGTGACATACTGATAGATGTAGCAGTGTTGTAGATAGATGCACTTTGCTAAGTGAAAGCGCCCATCGCACACAGCGCATGAGTCTGTTCGCAGGAGCTGTCCAGCAGGGGCAGGTCCGCAGAGACGGAAAGCAGAGTGGCTGCCGGGGGCTGGGGGTAGAGGGTGGGGAGCGATTGCTTAGTGTGTACAGGGTCTCTTTTGGGGGTGATGAAAATGTGCTGGAACTATATAGAGGTGGCGGTTACATAACATTGTTAATGTGCCAAATGCCACTGCATCGTTCACTTTGTTTTGTTTTTGTTTTTTGAGATGGAGTCTGGCTCTGTCGCTCAGGCTGGAGTGCAGTAGTGTGATCTCGGCTCACTGGAACCTCCGCCTCCCAGGTTCAAGCGATTCTTCTGCCTCAGCCTCCTGAGTAGCTGGGATTACAGGTGCCCACCACCATGCCCGGCTATTTTTTTTGTATTTTTAGTAGAGATGGGGTTTCACCATGTTGGCCAGGCTGGCCTCAAACTCCTGACCTCAGGTGATCTGCCCACCTCAGCCTGCCAAAGTGCTGGGATTACAAGCATGAGCCACCACGTCTGGCATTATTTATTTATTTTTGAGACAGAGTCTCCTCTGTTGTCCATGCTGGGGTGCAGTGGTGCGATCTTGGCTCACTGCAGCTTCTGCCTCCCATGTTCAAGTGATTCTCCTGCTTCAGCCTCCCGAGTAGCTGAGACTACAGGCGTGCACTACCATGCCTGGCTAATTTTTGTATTTTTAGTAGAGATGGGGTTTTGCCATGTTGGCCAGACTGGTCTTGAACTCCTGGCCTCAAGTGATCCACCCACCTCGGCCTCCCAAAGTGCTGGGATTACAGATGTGAGTCCCTGCGCCCAGCTGAATCGTTCACTTTAAATGGTTAAACAGTATGCTTTGTTATGTGTATTTTGCCATAGAGCAGGAATGGCCCCCCCTCTACCAGCTGGTCCCCGAGAGTGGAGCAGAGAGGTGGCTGATGATGATTTTTGTTACAGAGCCATTGTGGTCTTTATGCCTTTAGATCTCAAGGTCCTTGTATTATGGACTTTTCCTCATAAACTTCAGCTCTCAGACCTGGAGAGGTCCGTTTCCATCCTGACCCCGTCCACACCTTCTTTTGTTCTTTCACACCCGCAGATGTTGGCCGATGATGCAGAAGCAGGTGCCGAGGATGAGAAGGAGGTGGAGGAACTGAAGAAGCAGGGCATCAACCCCCTGCCCAAACCGCCCCCTGGTGTGGGCCTCCTGCCCACCCCTCCTCGGCCCCCTGGCCCGCAGGCTCCAACCTCTCCCAACGGCAGGCCCATGCAGGGTGGCCCCCCGCCCCCGCCCCCTCCCCCTCCCCCACCGCCCGGGCCCCCTCAGATGCCCATGCCGGTGCATGAGCCACTGTCCCCGCAGCAGCTGCAGCAGCAGGACATGTACAACAAGAAGATCCCCTCCTTGTTTGAGATCGTGGTGCGGCCCACGGGACAGCTGGCTGAGAAGCTGGGTGTGAGGTGAGTGCCCTGGACCCCCGTGACAGGCAGTGGGCGCTGTCCTGGGCCCAGCCAGGCTCCTCTTGTTAGGGCAAGCCTGGCTGTGGGAGAGTCCTGCCTCTCTCCCCAGCTGTGGGAGTCCTGGTCTGGGGCCCATGACCTTCGGCTCTGCAGCCCTCCGCCTCTCCTCTGGGGTGTGGCCACTGCCCTCCTCGGCAGCTTCCGTCACAGGCACCTTTTCCCTCTTCTAGGTTCCCTGGACCCGGTGGACCCCCAGGGCCAATGGGCCCTGGGCCCAACATGGGACCCCCAGGGCCAATGGGCGGTCCAATGCATCCTGACATGCACCCCGACATGCACCCGGACATGCACCCTGACATGCACGCAGACATGCACGCAGACATGCCGATGGGCCCTGGCATGAATCCTGGCCCACCCATGGGCCCTGGCGGCCCTCCAATGATGCCCTACGGCCCTGGAGACTCCCCACATTCTGGAATGATGCCCCCTATCCCGCCAGCCCAGAACTTCTATGAAAACTTCTACCAGCAGCAGGAGGGCATGGAGATGGAGCCCGGACTCCTGGGGGATGCAGGTATGCGGGACTCCAGGTGTGGCTGCCTGGGGCTGCAGGCTTTACCCAGTGGAGCAGAGTTGGGGAGATGTGATTTTTCTTCCTTCGTCCAAGTCTCTTTGAAAGCATGACTCCATCTCTGTCCCATTTAATGGTTGAATGTTTTCAGTGACATAGGATGTATTCTGTTGAAGAAGAAAGGAGTATTCTGTGTATTACCAATATAGGTTATTTCTTTTTAATTTTGCAAGCTGTGCCTGGAATCGGAAGCATGGGAAGTTAGAGGGACGAGTGTGCAAGGGTGTGAGGCTGAGAGGCTGGTGGGCCCATCAGGACTCAGTTAGTGGCCTGGCCAAAACCATCTCTTTCCGGGCAGTTCTCGGCTTGGAGCAACCAGTGTCCACCCCAGGACTCTGCGGGTTCTGTGCCCATTACCGGCCGTTTTCCTGCCTTTTTTTCCTTTTGCATTGGTAACAAATGTCCAGTGAGCAGAGGGGTTTAGATGACGCTGCTGCAGCCATAGGAGATGTGGTGTGCAGCCCTCTGGAGGAGGGCCAGGCACGAGAGGCCACCACTGTCCTCGCTCAGTTGCATCTTGGTGGAAACAAGCAGGTGGCAAGCGTGTAGATAGAGGAGTTGGCTCCTTTCAGCATTGGCCATTCTTAGAAGAAAAGGTGGGGAACCGTGGCGGTGGGCCAGAAGGCTCAGTGCCTCAGTGGGGATAGTCACAAAAGTCTCTTTGAGAAGTGAAGCGGCACTCACAACGTGAGGAATGATGGGACCTCCGAGGGCAGCGGGTGGGGGCGCTGTGTTGAACTGGGGGAGCTGCTGTGGCAGCTGCTGGGGGCTGTCCCTGGGCAGAGGCAGCAGGGCGGCCACTGGAGTGCAAGGCAGGGCTTCGAGGTTTGGACACGGTGCCGTGGGGCAGTGGGAGCCCCGTGTTTGTTTTGCAAGGTGGGCAGGAGCGGCATTGAGGATGGGGCGCTGGACGTGCGGCATAGTCACTCTAGGGTGCCTGCCCCTCCGACGGCCATGTGGAAATTTTGAGGGGGTGGTTTAAGGGGCATTGGGAGAGGCCCAGGCTAGAGATCAAAATGTGAACGTGGGCTTTGGCTTTAGGTGGTGCATGGACCTGGGAGAGCAGGTACTTGGGTGAGAGTGGGTGCTTTAGAAAGAAAGACGAGAAAAACAGGCTGCCACAGTAGGTGCTGGGGTTCTCAGCTCCTCCCCCTTCAACAAATGCGTCTAAAAGGTGCACGGGAAAAGCTCTGCTGGCGGGGCACCAGAAGTCCGTCACGTTGGTAGCAGTAGGTGTCTCTAGAATAATCCCATTTCATAAAATCCTCCCTCTAACATGTATGGTCATTGGTTTCTGGTGTGTGCACAGACTGTGTGTGAAGGGGGACCCTCGGCTGTCTGGTTCATGGAGTGGGTCCCAGCTCTGCGCTGGGATGTGTCATAGAGCAGGCTGGCCCATCAGGTTCACTTGACGAAGTTGAAATTAATGTAAGCTAAGTTACAAGTGCACTTTTCTAGACACCACGTTTTAAATGCTCAGCTGCCCCAGGAGGATCTAGGCGGCCACATGTTGCCCTGCAGATCTAGAACATTTCCATCACTGCAGAGCGTTCTGTGGGGCAGCACTGACTCCAGACGCCCCCCCCTCCGTTTCGGTGATTCGATGTCTCCCATGCTCACATGTGTCACACACGCAACATGCAGGAGGCGTCGCCGAGCCTGCCCTCCCCTCTACGCCTGCTGCGTCCCCACGTCAGCCTGTGCTGCTGCCCACAGCTCTTGGCTCAGGCACTGGGGGAGTGTGTGGGGTGAGGTGGCTGGTGCCAGTGCCCACGCTGCAGGAGGTGGAGGCCCCGTGCTTCCTGAGACACCCCCTAATGCTGTGGAGTGGGCAGGGAGGCACTCTGGAACTGCTGTTGACCTGTGGCCAGAGCAGCACTTGACCCGTTTCATTCTCTTTTCCTGGCTTTTAGTGTTGAACATGGTCGAGTTCACTATGAGATGCATGGTGTTTCCTTACTGATTGTTAGAAAGAAACCGTGCAACTCCTATCCATCCAAAATAATTTAAAAGTACAGGAAAGAGTACAGAAATCCCTGGCCTCTCCAGAATCTGTGTTCCAGAGGGACTGTTTCTGTGTGTCTTTTCAAAGCTTTCTCCTTGCGTCTTACAAACGTACATCCAATGTTCCATCCTGTTTCCACCTCATAAGCGTTTGCCCGCATCACTCAACCCTCTCTGTGAACCTCATTCTTCATGTAGGCGGGGCTACCCATGGGCCGCTCTGTTCCCCTGAGACCTGGGGAGGGCAGGCAGGGGCAGGCTGTGCGTCCTTCTCCATCGCCATCGGTGTGGGTTTGCAGTGAGGGGCAGGGGGGCTGGAGTTGGCACCTGGAGGCCCTTCCCGACATGAACCCTCGGTTCTTCCCTGCCACAGAGGACTACGGGCACTACGAAGAGCTGCCAGGGGAGCCTGGGGAGCACCTCTTCCCTGAGCACCCTCTGGAGCCCGACAGCTTCTCTGAGGGAGGGCCCCCAGGCCGGCCGAAGCCAGGCGCCGGTGTCCCTGACTTCCTGCCCTCAGCCCAGAGGGCCCTGTACCTGAGGATCCAGCAGAAGCAGCAGGAGGAGGAGGAGAGAGCGAGGAGGCTGGCTGAGAGCAGCAAGCAGGACCGGGAGAATGAGGAAGGCACGTGTCCGCCCCAGGGGCCGGGGCACAGGCCCCAGGCCGCTGTGCAGGGGAGCGGCGGTGGTGGGGTGTTCCAGGTTGGGTTTCCTGTCAGGAAGGAGCCCATGGCTAGGGAGGACCCCTGTCCAGGGCCATGAAGCCGGGCTGGGGCTGCTGCATGTCCCTGAGAAAACTGGCAGTCAGGGGTGGCTTTCTGTGTTGGGTTCAGGAGAGACCCTGATCCCATGGAGTAGGATGGAGGGCTAGTTCCTGGAGGAGACAGTGGCCAACAGGATTGACCGCCTGTGCCCTGCCAGAGGAGGCTTTAGGGAGACCCTCACAGCCCCTGTTTTCCTACCGTGTTCTCAAGGAGCCAACAAACAAGAGCTAGTCATTGAAATTAACCAGTAATAATCATAGTCACGAGCCACCGAGTCTCAGTTGCTGCATGGTTGACTTAGTGGTGTCCACTTTGGGGTAAAATGACAAGTGGTGTCTAGATCCTGAAGCCAGAGGCCACAGGTGGCCCTGACTGTAGCGCAGGAGCCAGTGGGACAGCAGGAGGAGGGGCCGCTCCCCTGATGGCCCAGGCTGTACTGGCCTAGGTTTTGCTTGAGCCCATGTCTGAGTCTGCCCAGCCGGCCCTGCCTCTTATCAGCTGGTGACTGCGGTTGGTCCACACCAGCCCCTCCCTGGGACATGGGGACATCACGAGCCGGTTTGGGGTCAAGTGTCTCTGAGCCCCAGGCCCAGCCAGAACTGAGTCAATGGTGTCTGCTACCAGGACCTCCAGAAAGAGGTGCCCACAGCTGGACTTGCCACAGTGGGGGCTGAACCAGCCCGGAGGTGGGCGGGAGGAAACAGCAGAGCTCTGGGTTAGGAGTCCTAGCCCGATCCTGGCCCTGACTCCAATGTAACGGCACTGTGCTTCTGTTTTCACATCTGTCAAATGGGCATGATAGTATCACTACCTCCTGGGGTGGTTGTGAGTTATTTAAATAAAACAAACTACTTAGTGCAGTGCCGCCACTGAGGAGAGCTGGGGAGCATGGCATAAACCGAGCGCCTTAGCTCTCTGGGTCTCCTCAGCCGCCCACTGTGGGGAGGGAGCCTTAGAGAGGAGGACCTGAGGTTCTGAGAGGCACAAGCAAAGGAGCTGCTCACGGTGGGCTGCTGTGGGATCCAAGAGGGCGGGTGGTGGATGCGCCCACTCACCCCTCCCTGCTCCTCTGTTCTTTCCCAGGTGACACCGGAAACTGGTACTCAAGTGATGAGGATGAGGGTGGAAGCAGTGTCACCTCCATCCTGAAGACCTTGAGGCAGCAGACGTCCAGCCGACCCCCGGCTTCAGTTGGGGAGCTGAGCAGCAGTGGGCTGGGGGACCCCCGCCTCCAGAAGGGACACCCCACAGGAAGCCGGCTGGCTGACCCTCGCCTCAGCCGGGACCCCAGACTCACCCGCCATGTGGAGGCTTCTGGCGGGTCTGGCCCAGGTGATTCGGGACCCTCCGATCCTCGGCTGGCTCGCGCCCTGCCCACCTCCAAGCCCGAAGGCAGCCTTCATTCCAGCCCTGTGGGCCCCAGCAGTTCCAAGGGGTCTGGGCCGCCCCCAACGGAGGAGGAGGAAGGGGAGCGGGCCCTGCGGGAGAAGGCCGTGAACATTCCCCTGGACCCACTCCCCGGGCACCCTCTGCGGGACCCACGGTCACAGCTGCAGCAGTTCAGCCACATCAAGAAGGACGTGACCCTGAGCAAGCCCAGCTTCGCCCGCACCGTGCTCTGGAATCCCGAGGACCTGATCCCCCTACCCATCCCCAAGCAGGACGCAGTGCCCCCCGTGCCCGCGGCCCTGCAATCCATGCCCACCCTGGACCCCCGGCTGCACCGCGCTGCCACGGCAGGGCCCCCCAACGCCCGGCAGCGCCCGGGCGCCTCCACGGATTCCAGCACACAGGGCGCCAACCTCCCCGACTTTGAACTTCTGTCTCGCATCCTCAAGACAGTCAATGCCACCGGCTCCTCGGCCGCCCCCGGTTCCAGCGACAAACCCAGTGACCCCCGGGTGCGGAAGGCCCCCACCGACCCTCGGCTGCAGAAACCCACAGACTCTACGGCCTCCTCCCGGGCTGCCAAGCCCGGCCCTGCTGAGGCGCCCTCTCCCACCGCCAGCCCGAGTGGGGATGCCTCCCCACCAGCCACCGCTCCCTACGACCCCCGCGTGCTGGCGGCCGGTGGACTGGGCCAGGGCGGAGGGGGCGGGCAGAGCAGTGTGCTGAGCGGTATCAGCCTCTACGACCCGAGGACTCCCAACGCGGGGGGCAAAGCCACAGAGCCGGCTGCTGACACGGGTGCCCAGCCCAAGGGTGCTGAGGGCAATGGCAAGAGCTCGGCCTCCAAGGCTAAGGAGCCCCCGTTCGTCCGCAAGTCTGCCCTGGAACAGCCAGAGACAGGGAAGGCCGGTGCTGATGGGGGCACCCCCACGGACAGATACAACAGCTACAACCGGCCCCGGCCCAAGGCTGCTGCAGCCCCCGCTGCCACCACCGCCACCCCACCCCCCGAGGGTGCCCCACCCCAGCCCGGGGTGCACAACCTGCCCGTGCCCACCCTCTTCGGGACGGTGAAGCAGACACCCAAGACGGGCTCAGGAAGCCCATTTGCTGGGAACAGTCCGGCCCGCGAGGGTGAGCAGGATGCGGCATCCCTGAAGGATGTTTTTAAAGGCTTCGACCCCACGGCCTCCCCCTTTTGCCAGTAGTGTCCAGCCAGAGCTGCGGCTCCAGCCACCCTTCCTAGGGTGGCATTCAGGGCAGCACCCAGGGTAGGGAACTTGGGGGCAAGGGGAGGCAGGCTGGGTGTTCCTTTTTTCTTTTCTTTTTCTTTTGCTTTCCGTCTCTTTTATTTTTTTTTAAAGTAGTACTTTCTTTGAGATTTGTAAATTGTATATAACCATCTTAAGTTCTGGTCAGTGTGGCGGGCTCAGGGGCTCCTGCTGAGCAAACCGACTCATGCCCGCAAACCTGTGAACTTTCGCCAGTGCCTGGCCTCAGACTCTGTGGGCTCTGCGTGGCCGGGCCTTGCTGGAGGCCCAGTGGGTTTTCTGGGCAAAGCATGGCCCCTTTTCCCCAGGACAAAGGGAACAGTTGGTGTCTGGGAAGGTATTGAACGCTCCTCACCCTGTGCCCGAAGAGACCCGGAACCAAGACCATGGCAGGGCCTGCGTGGAAGCAGGTCCAGGCGTTTCTAGAACCCTAGGGTGCACCATCACTGTCTTTTCAGTGCAGGCTGTAACAACCCACTCAGGAGACAGTGAGAGTGAAAAGGTATTAAGGAAAAAGCCCCCAGCGGCACTATGGGGGCTCCCTGGCGCATGCCTGCTCCTGTCCCTGGATTACCACACGTGCCCTCCCTGCCACCCTCCGTCTAGAGCAAGCGGATGCCCCCCAGCCTGCAGCAGAAGCCTCCACAGTGAGAACTGGACCCAAAGGTAGTGGGGGCCGGTGTGGGGCAGAGTCCTGAAGAGCCACCTCTAGGAGGCAGCCCCTAGGAGCACGCACGTTCTGTCAGTATTACCCCACCTGTCCTATCAGGTGGGCCACACCCTGCTTGCCCACACCAGGGTCTGTCCTGGTCCTCAAGCCACGCACCCGCTATGCCTGCACTGCAGCCCAGCCCCGGACAGCTCCAGGATCCGTGCAGTGGCTGCGCCGCCAGGCCCCAACAATGGGGACCCTGGGGTGGCTCCTGGCCAAGTGTTCTCTGTTTTCCTCGCACCTCCTTACACTGTGTGACCTGCAGGGCATGAGGTATTGATGTGTTCGGGTTTCCTTTCCCAAGCCAGCAGATGCAGGTGTTCCAAGGTGTGTTGCTCTGTGGGATTTGTGGACACTTAAGAAACGGACTGAGTGGGAACCCTGCAGCCAGGGGATGGGGAGCCTCTGCTCCCCCCATGCTCCCACCCTGGCTGAGGGCCAGCCTCATCTGCAGAGCCCTGGAGGAGGCCCACCTATGGACACAGCCCGAGAGATGGGCGCAAGGGGTGCTGGGGGAGGCCTGCTATCCTGCCTCTGGGCCACTTGAGGGGCCTCAGGAAGTGTGTGCTTGTGGCTGCATCTGCCCGTCTCCCTGGCCCACCATGTGGCTGCAGGCCAAGCTCTTCATTGCTGACCATGAAGAGACCTAGTTACCTGCCAAGGGATTCCCCTTCCCTCCTCCTCAGGGTGGGGTGAACAAGGCTCCTATCCCACCCCACCCCAAAAAGAGAAAAATGAAAAACTCATAGTTTGGAGCCAGGAGGCAGGGTGTCCTACAGGGCTGCACAGCCCTGAGGGGTCAGTGCTGGGATCTGGTTGGTTGGTTTGTCTTTTTGTCTTTTTTTTTTTTTTTTTTTTTACACAATCATTAATGAGATTTGTCTTCAGCCACCAGTGTTGGCCTTGAAGCAGAGGGCACAGCCCTTGGTGTTTGTAAAATAAGTATGAATACACAGTGTGGCAGTGTTGTGGTTTTTGTTGTTGTTTTTCCTCTCCTTTTGAGAATTTTCTTTTGTAAAAGAAAAATATTTTTTAAACCGAAATCTGTGGATGAAATAGAAGCTGGAGCCCTCCTCTTGGAATATTCAGCCTAAGAACCTCATAGGACTATGAATTCACCCGAAATTCTCATTTGCCATCAGGCCGAGCTTTTAAAGAAAAATTGTTCTCTAACCAGGATTGTAACAAAAGTGTAAATACTGTTTCAGAGTTGAGAGTTGGTGGTGCAAATATGTATATAATGAACTGTATTTTTACAATGATCGCCGCATGACTATTTCACACCCTTTTTATACTCCATATCTGTCTTCCAGAAACGTCACCTGCCTTTCTCCTGTGGTCTCTTAATCCAGTAATTGTATTACTGCCATTAAAGGATGCAGTTATTTTAAAAAGCTTGTGGGTCTGGTCTCTCCAGGCTGCCCCAGACCATCCCTTGCCCTGGGAATTAACGAGGGTGGAAGGTGGCTGGGGGGTGAAACAAGGACCTATTCTCTCAGCGGTCGGCCTCAGGGTAACATGAGGACACTGAGGGACAATTTGTGCCTCCAAACAGTGTCAGCTGTCCTCAGTGGATGGCAGTAGATCACCTACTAGCAACATCCCAAGGTCCCTGAGCTTCTGTGCGGGCCACGCTCAGCATTTGGGATCCAGGGGTGACCTGCACAGTCCTGGATCTGCCCCTGCAGTGCTCATAGAAAGACCATTAACACAGACAGGACAGCTGGGCTGGCTTCCAGGGACGGGACGAGCTTTAGCAGGCACCCTACCCATGTGATAGCCAGGGGTATCCTCTGAGGAGGGGTCTGTTGTGATGTTGGAACTTACTTTGAAATGCATCAACAAATATGAAGGATGGGTGGATAGATGGCTGAATGCATGATCAATACAGTTTGGGCGCAGTGGCTCACGCCTCTCATCCCAGCACTTCGGGAGGCTGAGGCAGGAGGATCGCTTGAACCCAGTAGTTCAGGCTGCAGTGAGCTACATCACTTTCCTGCACTCCAGCAGGCCAGGCAACAGAGTGAGACCCCTGTCTCTTAAAAAAAATAAAAAAGGCTGAGACCCAAACCCAGCAAACAAGATAGAGGGTTTTCTTGGAGTTTACATAAAGGGGAGGGAGTCCCTCAGCAGCAGGATGGGCAGAAGAACTGCAACAGCTTTAAAAACGCATGCAGTTGGCCGGGCGCGGTGGCTCATGCCTGTAATCCCAGCACTCTGGAACGCTGAGGTGGGCAAATCATGAGGTCAGGAGTTCGAGACCATCCTGGCCAACATGGTGAAACCCCCATCTCTACTAAAATACAAAAATTAGCCGGGTGTGCTGGCGGGTGCCTGTAATCCCAGCACTTTGGGAGGCTGAGGTGGGCGGATCATGAGGTCAGGAATTTGAGACCAACCTGGTCAACATGGTGAAGCCCCGTCTCTACTAAATACAAAAATTAGCCAGGTGTGGTTGTGGGCGCCTGTAATCCCAGCTACTCTGGAGGCTGAGGCAGGAGAATCACTGGAACCCAGGAGGCAGAGACAGTGCCACTGCACTCCAGCCTGGGTGACAGAGCAAGATGCCGTCTTGAAAAAAAAAAAAAAAATAGAGCTGCAAGAGTGGACCATGTCGCTCAGGAAGTGCGTGGAGCCTGAGGAACATCTCCATTGGAGGAAGGTATGGAGGCTGAGGGAGGGCAGAGATGGCCACCAGCACCAGGATGTGGTCGAGCTTTCCACAGCCCAGGGTTACCTGGACACTGGGACCAACAACTGGTGCCAGGTGCTCTTTGAGTACCTGCCCTGATCCACTGCCCAGATTCTACAGGTGTTAACTGTTTCCTGTATTTTCTTGTTTTTTGTTTTTCTTTTCTTTTTTTGTGGCAGGGTCTCAATCTGTCCGCCAGGCTGGAGTGCAGTGGTGCTATCTTGGCTCACTGCAACCTCTGCCTCCCCAGTTCAAGTGATGCTCCTGCCTCAGCCTCCTGAGTCACTGGCACTACAGGTGTCTGCCACCACACCCAGCTAATTGTATTTTTAGCAGAGATGGAGTTTCGCCATGTTGGCCAGGCTGGTCTCAAACTCCCAACCTCAGGTGATCCACCTGCCTCAGCCTCCCAAAGTGCTGGGATTACAGGTGTGAGCCACTGTGCCTGGCCGGCTGGTTGCATTTTCTAAATTCCATTTTGGCATTCCATTGGTATTAGAGCCCCAGGGCTGCCTACGTATCTCCACAGACTGGGCGGCTTAACATGACAGAAATTTGTTCTAGAGGCCAGAAGTGCACCATCAAGGTGTCCACAGGGCCAGGCTGCCTCTGAGGCTCTAGGGAGAATCCTTGCTTTCCACTCCTGGCTTCTGGTGGCCATGGACAATCCTGGGCTTGTGGTGACATCGCTTCAATCTCTGCCTCCATCTTTTCCCAGAGCTTTCTCCTCTGTGTCTGTGTCTTCTGTCTCTTAGAAAGACTCAGTCGGGCGCGGTGGCTCACGCCTGTAATCCCAGCACTTTTGGAGGCCGAGGTGGGCGGATCATGAGGTGAGGAGATCGAGACCAGACCATCCTGGCTAACACAGTGAAACCCCATCTTTACTAAAAATACAGAAAAAACAAATTTAGCCAGGTGTGGTGGCAGGCACCTGTAGTCCCAGCTACTCGGGAGGCTGAGGCAGGAGAATGGCGTGAAGCCGGGAGGCGGAGCTTGCAGTGAGCCGAGATCATGCCCCTACACTCCAGCCTGGGCAACAGAGCAAGACTCCATCTCAAATAAAAAAAAAGACTCTTCACTGGATTTAGAACCCAACCAAGTAATCAAGAGTAATCTCATCTTAAGATCTTTCATTAAATATCCTGTTTCCCAGCCAAGTGTGGTGGCTCACGCCTGTAATCTCAGCAATTTGGGATGCAAAGGCAGGAGGATTGCTTGATGCCAGGCGTTCAAGGCCAGCCTGGGCAACATAGGAAGACCCCATCTCTACAAAATACAGGAAAAATTAGCTGGGTGTGGTGGGCGCACCTGTAGTCCCAGCTACTTGGGATGCTGAGGCAGGAGGATCCCTTGAGCCTGGGAGGTCAAGGCTGCTGTGAGCTGTGATCACACCACCACACTCTGGCCTGGACAACAGTGAGAGCTTATATATGTATATTTTTTAAAGACCCTGTTTCCAAATACAGTTCATTAGTTCATTTACAGGTTCCAGGGCTTAGGATGTAGAAATATGTTTTTGGGGACAACAATTAACCCTGTTACCCTGCTCTCTCTTTTTTTTTTTTTTTTTTTTTTTTTTTGAGATGGAATCTCACTCTGTAGCCCATGCTGGAATGCAGTGGCACGATCTCAGCTCACTGCAACCTCTGAGGCAGGCAGATCACCTAAGGTCAGGAGTTCAAGTCCAGCCTGGCCAATATGGTGAAACCCTGTCTCTACTAAAAATGCAAAAATTAGCCAGGTGTGGTGGCAGTCGCCTGTAATCTCAGCTACTTGGGAGGCTGAGGGAGGAGAATTGCTTGAACCCAGGAGGCGGAGGCTGCAGTGAGCTGAGATCACACCACTGCACTCCAGCCTGGACTACAGAGTAAGACTCTGTCTCAAAGAAATAAATAAAAATAAATAAAATTATTACATCTGAACCATCATTCCATCTACTTTCTTTTCTTTCCTTTTATTGTTTTTTCTTCACCCTCCCTTCCCCACCCTTCTTCCTTTTACTTTCCTCTGTAGACTTCTCACATCCTCACAACTATATCCATTGTTGGGTTTCATAACTGTATTCTCTGTTGCCACTGTAACAAATGACCAAAAACCTAGTGGCTTAAAACAACACAAATGTATTCTACTTATTTATTTATTATTTATTTATTTATTTTTGAGACAGAGTCTTGCTCTGTCGCCCAGGCTGGAGTGCAGTGGCATGATCTCAGCTCACTGCAACCTCCATCTCCTGAGTTCAAGCAATTCCCCTACCTCAGCCTCCCTAGTGACTGGGATTATAGGCACCCACCACCATGCCCAGCTAATTTTTGCATTTTTAGTAGAGACGGGGTTTCACCACGTTGGCCAGGCTGATCTCTAACTCCTGACCTTGGGTGATCTGCCCACCTCAGCCTCCCAAAGTGCTGGGATTACAGGTGTGAGCCACCGCACCCGGCCACAAATGTATTCTCTTACAGTTCTGAAGATCAGAAGTCTAAAAACCAAGATGTAGCCAGGTGTTGTGGCTTACATCTGTAATCCCAGCACTTTGGAGGCCAAGGTGGGAGGAGCTCTTGAGCCCAGGAGTTCGAGACCAGTCTGCACAACATGGCAAGATACTGTCTCTACTAAAAAATCCAAAAATAGGGCCGAGCATGGTGGCTCACACCTGTAATCCCAGCACTTTAGGAGGCCGAGGCAGGCGGATCACAAGGTCAAGAGATTGAGACCATCCTGACCAATATGGTGAAACCCTGTCTCTACTAAAATTACAAAAATTAGCTGGGTGTGGTGGTGGGTGCCTGTAGTCCCAGCTACTCAGGAGGCTGAGGCAGGAGAATCACTTGAACCTGGGAGGCGGAGATTGAAATGAGCCGAGATCGTGCCACTGCACCCCAGCCTGGCAACAAAGCGAGACTCCGTCAGAAAAACAAACAAAAAAAAAATTAGCCGGGTATGGTGGTTCACTCCTGTAGTCCCAGCTACTCCAGAGACTGAGAGGGGAGGGTCACTGGAGCTGGGGAGGTCTAGGTTGCAGGGAGCCATGCTCGCGCCACTGCACTCCAGCTTGGGTGACAGAGTAAGACCCTGTCACAAAAATACAAATTAAAAAAATAAAACGGCAGGGTGCAGTGGCTCACACCTCTAATCTCAACACTCTCGGGACCGAGGTGGGTGTACGGCTTGAACCCAGGAGTTTAAGACCAGCCTGAGCAATATGGTGAGACCCCCAACTCTACAGAAAATACAAAAATTAGCTAGGTGTGGTGGTGCATGCCTGTGGTCCCAGTTACTGGGGAGGCTGAGCCCTGAAAGCCGAGGTTGCAGTGAGCCGAGATGAAGCCACTGCACTCCAGCCTGGGTGACAGAGTGATACCCTGTCTTAAAAAATTAATTAAAAGTAAAAAATAGGCCAGGCGCGGTGGCTCAGGCCTGTAACCCCAACACTTTGGGAGGCCGAGGTGGGCGGATCATGAGGTCAGGAGATCACGACCATCCTGGCTAACATGGTGAAACCCCGTCTCTACTAAAAAACTACAAAAAAATTAGCTGGGCGTGGTGGCGGGCGCCTGTAGTCCCAGCTGCTTGGGAGGCTGAGGCAGGAGAATGGCGTGAACCCAGGAGGCGGAGTTTGCAGTGAGCGGAGATTGAACCACTGCACTCCAGCCTGGGAGACTGAGCAAGACTCTGTCTCAAAAAAAAAAAAAAAAGTAAAAAATAAAATAAAATAAATACATAAATAAAACGAAAATGTCAGCTGGGTTGTGTTCCTGCTCAGGGGACTCGGAGGAGAATTCATTTCTTTATCTTTTTTCAGCTTCTGGAGTCGGCCTGCATTGTTTGGTTCAGTGTAATGAAGAATTTAACCTTCCCCAAAGAGAGGTAAGACCTTTGTCCTCAGTGCCTTTGAGGTCATCTCCTCTAAATCTCTGGAATGTCGTTCCTGATAAGATTATCTTGGTTTACCTATCAGCCTTGGGCCAACTAGGCTAGTAACAATGTGACTCAGGGTGGGGCCCTGGGGTCACAGGGTATCAGCTGACCTCTGGAAGGGCTGGCGCCTGAGGTCACCTCAGTCTCACGGAGGACGACTGGGTTTACGCGTCTCAGGGGTAATGAAGGTTCTGGACAGTGAGGCTTCCGAGAGCTTCCCTGGTCAACAAAGCTCCACATGTACCGTCACACACTGTTGCTGGGTAAAGTGAGCGCTGTCCACATTCCATGGGGACAAGAGGGCTGGAAGCCTCAGGATGGGACCCCGCCCCCAGGCTCTGCCGAATGCCCGTCTTCCCTGGGCTGATTTTCACCTGTATTCTTGCACTGTAATACACCATAACCGGGAGCACGGCAGCTGTCAATGAATTCTTCTTCTTTTTTTTTTTTTTTGAGATGGAGTCTCTCTCTGTTGCCCAGGCTGCAGTGCAGTGGCGTGATCTTGGCTCACTGCAACCTCCGCCTCCCGGGTTCAAGCAATTCTCCTGCCTCAGCTTCCCAAGTAGCTGGGACTACAGGCGTGTGCCACCATGCCAGGCTAATTTTTTTATTTTTAGTAGAGATGGGGTTTCACCGTGTTAGCCAGGATGGTCTCTATTTCCTGACCTCGTGATCTGCCCGCCTTGGCCTCCCAAAGTGCTGTGTTTGCAGGCGTGAGCCACCGTGCCTGGCCTTTTTGTTTGTTTTTTGAGACAAGAATCTCTTTCTGCTTCCCAGGCTGGAGTGCAGTGGTGTAATCTCAGCTCACTGCAACCTCCGCTTCCCAAGATGAAGCGATTCTTGTGCCTCAGCCCCCCAAGTAGCTGGGACTACAGGCATGTGCCACCACACCTGGCTAATTTTTGTATTTTCAGTACAGACAGGGTTTCAGCATGTTGGCCATGGCAGGTCTTGAACTCCTGGCCTCAAGTGATCTGCCCACCTCAGCCTCCCAAAGTGCCGGGATTACAGGCATGAGCACTGCACTCCGCCCAGTTCCGTGAATTCTGCTAGCAAATTAGCAAACCTCTAGAGTAGCTCAGATTACAGGTGTGTGCCACCATGCTCCGTTGGCAGAGATTGCAGTGAGCCGAGATCATGCCATTGCACTCCAGCCTGGGCCACAAGAGTGAAACTCTGTCTCAAAAAAGAAGAAAGAAAGAAAAGAAAACAACATATCCAAACTTAAATACTGAGAAACTTCATAAAGTTTGTTGCATTAGGGAGAATGTCCTAGTCTCAGAAATCTGCAAGCATCTCAAAACCAAACAAAAAAAGCCATTCATTTTCTATGTTAAGGGGGCTTTGCAGTCTGGGAAGGTTGGGCAGATGACAGGGACTAAGCCGACTGCATCATTCAACAGGAAACAGGGCTATGTGGGGTCAGGCAGTTCTCAGGATAAGCTAACCAGGAGGCACCTTCCACATTTCATTGCTTGCTCAGACTTGAGGGTGAGCTAGAAGTTCAGGGGCCCATGGAAGGAGATAAACCTGACTCAAGTTTGCTCTAGTCAAAGCAGCAGTCAGATGGGGGCAGCTAGGCTAGGCAAGGTGGCTCATGCCTATAATCCCAGCACTTTGGGAGGCTGAGGCAGGAGGATCGCTTGAGCCCAGGAGTTTGAGACTATCCCAGGCAACGCAGGGAGACCCCGTCTCTACAGAAAATGAAAATAAAAAACAAGAAAAGGGCAACTGTGAACTCTTGATCAGAAAAAAATGTTAAAGCCATGTGTGGTGGCTCATGCCTATAATCCCAGCACTTTGGGAGGCCTGGGCTGGTGGATCACTTGAGGTCAGGAGTTCAAGACCAGCCACGGCCAACATAGTGAAACCCCATCTCTACTGAAAATACAAACAATTAGCTGGGTGTGATGGCGGGTGCCTGTAGTCCCAGCTACTAGGGAAGCTGAGGCAGGAGAATCGCTTGAACCCGGGAGGCAGAGTTTGTAGCAAGCTGAGATCTCACCATTGCACCCCAGCCTGGTCAACAACAACAAAACTCCATCTCAAAAAAAAAAAAAAAAAAAAAAAAAATTGCCTGGCATGTTGGCACATGCCTAAAATCCCAGCTACTCAGTAGGCTGAGGCAGGAGAATTGCTTGGACCCGGGATGCAGAAGTTGCAGTGAGGTGAGATGGTGCCACTGCACTCCAGTCTGGGCGACAGAGCAAGATTCTGTCTCAAAACAAACAAAAAACGAAATGAGGTTTCATTTTGTTGCCCAGGCTGGTCTTGAATTCCTGGCCTCAAGCCATCCTCCCACCTCAGCCCCACAAAGCACTCGGATTACAGGCATAAGCCCCTGTGCTCAGCCTCGAGGATCCTCTAAATGTGCATCTGGTAATGTTGCTCCCCAGCTTAAACCCACCAATGAGAGGAAGATGTTCCAGAGCCCTCCACTGCCCCTTTGGACCTTGGCTACAAAGCCTGCTGGGCCAGGCCCCTCTTAAAATCAGCTCCTTTATCTTTCACTAAGTAAGGCTTGGATTGTTTTTTTTCTTTTCTTTTTTTTTGAGACGGAGTCTCACACTGTTGCCCAGGCTGGAGTGCAGTGGCACGATCTCGGCTCACTGCAAGCTCTGCCTCCCGGGTTCACACCATTCTCCTGCCTCAGCCTCCCGAGTAGCTGGGACTACAGGCGCCCACCACCATGCCCGGCTAATTTTTTGTATTTTTAGTAGAGACGGGGTTTCACCGCGTTAGCCAGGATGGTCTCGATCTCCTGACCTGGTGATCCGCCCACCTCGGCCTCCCAAAGTGCTGGGATTACAGGCGTGAGCCACTGCTCCCAGCCGTTTTTTTTTTTTTCTTTTTTTGAGACAGAGTCTCACTCTGTCACCCAGGCTGGAGTGCAGTGGCGTGAACTAGGCTCACTGCAAGCTCCACCTCCCGGGTTCATGCCATTCTCCTGCCTCAACCTCCTGAGTAGCTGGGACTACAGGCGCCCACCACCACGCCCGGCTAATTTTTTTTGTATTTTTTAGTAGAGACGGGGTTTCACCATGTTAGCCAGGATGGTCTCGATCTCCTGACCTGGTGATTTGCCCGCCTAGGCCTCCTAGAGTGCTGGGATTATAGGCGTGAGCCACTGCGCCCGGCCATTTTTTTTTTTTTTAAGATGCAGTCTCGGCCGGGCATGGTGGCTCACGCCTGTAATCCCAGCACTTTGGGAGGCTGAGGCGGGCGGATCACGAGCTCAGGAGATCGAGACCATCCTGGCTAACACGGTGAAACCCCATCTCTAGTGAAAATACAAAAAAAATTTAGCTGGGTGTGGTGGCGGGTGCCTGTAGTCCCAGCTACTCGGGAGGCTGAGGCAGGAGAATGGCGTGAACCCGGGAGGCGGAGCTTGCAGTGAGCCGAGACTGTGCCACTGCACTCCAGCCTGGGCGACAGAGCGAAATTCCGTCTCAAAAAAAAAAAAAAAAAAAAAAAGATGGAGTCTCACTCTGTCGCCCAGTCTGGAGTGCAGTGCAGTGGCACTATCTCAGCTCATTGCAACCTCAGCCTCCCAGGTTCAAATTGTCAGGCCTCTGAGCCCAAGCCAAGCCATCGCATCACCTGAGACTTGCAGGTATACATCCAGATGGCCTGAAGTAACTGAAGATCCACAAAAGAAGTAAAAATAGCCTTAACTGATGACATTCCACCATTGTGATTTCTTCCTGCCCCACCTAACTGATCAATGTACTTTGTAATCTCCCCCACCCTTAAGAAGGTTCTTTGTAATTCTCCCCACCCTTGAGAATGTACTGTGTGAGATCCACCCCTGCCCGCAAAACATTGTTCTTAACTTCACCGCCTATCCCAAAACCTCTCAGAACTAATGATAATCCACCACCCTTTGCTGACTCTCTTTTCGGACTCAGCCTGCCTGCAGCCAGGTGAAATAAACAGCCATGTTGCTCACACAAAGCCTGTTTGGTGGTCTCTTCACACGGACGCGCATGAAATTTGGTGCCGTGACTCGGATCGGGGGACCGACCTCCCTTGGGAGATCAATCCCCCATCCTCCTGCTCTTTGCTCTGTGAGAAAGATCCACCTACGACCTCAGGTCCTCAGACAGACCAGCCCAAGAAACAACTCACCAATTTCAAATCCGGTAAGCGGCCTCTTTTTACTCTTTTCCAACCTCCCTCACTATCTCTCAACCTCTTTCTCCTTTCAATCTTGGCGCCACACTTCAATCTCTCCCTTCTCTTAATTTCTATTCCTTTTGTTTTCTGGTAGAGACAAAGGAGACACGTTTTATCTGTGGACCCAAAACTCTGGCGCCGGTCACGGACTGGGAAGGCAGCCTTCCCTTGGTGTTTAATCATTGCAAGGACGCCTCTCTGATTATTCACCCACGTTTCAAAGGTGTCAGACCACGCAGGGACGCCTGCCTTGGTCCTTCATCCTTGGTGGCAAGTCCCGCTTTTCTGGGGGAGGGGCAAGTTCCCCAACCCCTTCTCTGTGTCTCTACCCCTTCTCTGCTTTTCTGGGGAAGGGACAAGTACCCATCAACCCCTTCTCCTTCACCCTTAGTGGCAAGTCCCGCTTTTCTAGGGGTCAAGAACCCCCAATCCCTTATTTCCGCACCCCAACCTCTTATCTCTGTGCCCCAATCCCTTATTTCCATGCCCCGACCCCGCTTCCTGCTTTTCTGGAGGGTAAGAACCCTGAACCCCTTCCCTCCGTGTCTCTACGCTCTCTTTTCTCTGGGTTTGCCTCCTTTACTATGGGCAAACTTCCACCCTCCATTCCTCCTTCTCCCTTAGCCTGTCTTCTCAAGAACTTAAAACCTCTTCAACTCACACCTGACCTAAAACCTAAACGCCTTATTTTCTTCTGCAATGCTGCTTGACCCCAATACAAACTCGATAGTAGTTCCAAATAGCCAGAAAATGGCACTTTGAATTTTTCCATCCTGCAAGATCTAAATAATTCTTGTCATAAAATAGGCAAATGGTCTGAGGTGCCTGACGTCCAGGCATTCTTTTACACATCACAGTCCCTTCCTAGTCTCTGTGCCCAATGCAACTCGTCCCAAATCTTCCTTCTTTCCCTCCCACCTGTCCCCTCAGTCCCAACCCCAAGCGTTGCTGAGTGTTTCTAATCTTCCTTTTCTACAGACCCAACTGACCTCTCCCCTCCTCGCCAGGCCAAGCTAGGTCCCAATTCTTCCTCAGCCTCCGCTCCTCCACCCTATAATCGTTTCATCACCTCCCCTCCTCACACCCGGTATGGTTTACAGTTTCGTTCCGTGACTAGCCCTTCCCCACCTGCGCAGCAATTTATTCTTAAAAAGGTGGCTGGAGCTAAAGGCATAGTCAAGGTTAATGCTCCTTTTTCTTTATCCCAAATCAGATGGCGTTTAGGCTCTTTTTCTTCAAATATAAAAATCCAGCCCAGTACATGGCTCGTTTGACAGCAACCCTGAGACGCTTTATAGCCCTAGACCCTAAAAGGTCAAAAGGCCGTCTTATTCTCAATATACATTTTATTACCCAATCTGCTCCTGACATTAAATAAAACTCCAAAAATTGGAATCTGGCTCTCAAACCCCACAACAGGACTTAATTAACCTCGCCTTCAAGGTGTACAATAACAGAAAAAAAGTTGCAATTCCTTGCCTCCACTGTGAGACAAACCCCAGCCACATCTCCAGCACGCAAGAACTTCCAAACGCCCGAACCGCAGCAGCCAGGCGTTCCTCCAGAACCTCCTCCCCCAGGAACTTGCTACACATGCTGGAAATCTTGGCCACTGGGCCAAGGAATGCCCGCAGCCTGGGATTCCTCCTAGGCCGCGTCCCATCTGTGTGGGACCCCACTGAAAATCGGACTGTTCAACTCACCTGGCAGCCACTCCCAGAGCCCCTGGAACTCTGGCCCAAGGCTCTCCGACTGACTCCTTCTCGGCTTGGCGGCTGAAGACTGACGCTGCCCGATCACCTCGAAAGCCCCGTAGACCATCACAGACGCCGAGCTTCGAGTAACTATCACAGTGGAAGATAAGTCCGTCCCCTTAATCAATACAGAGGCTACCCACTCCACATTACCTTCTTTTCAAGGGCCTGTTTCCCTTGCTTCCATAACTGTTGTGGGTATTGACAGCCAGGCTTCTAAACCTCTTAAAACTCCCCAACTCTGGTGCCAACTTAGACGATACTCTTTAAAGCACTCCTTTTAGTTATCTCCACCTGCCCAGTTCCCTTATTAGGCCGAGACACTTTAACTAAATCATCTGCTTCCCTGACTATTCCTGGATTACAGCTACATCTCATTGCTGCCCTTCTTCCCAATCCAAAGCCTCCTTTGCGTCCTCCTCTTGTATTCCCCCACCTTAACCCACAAGTATAAGATACCTCTACTCCTTCCTTGGCAACCGATCATGCACCCCTTACCATCTCATTAAAACCTAATCACCCTTACCCTGCTCAATGGGTAAGGCCTTTTAAGCCTATAAACTCTCCTTACAATTCCCCCATTTTACCTGTCCTAAAACCAGACAAGCCTTACAAGTTAGTTCAGGATCTGTGCCTTATCAACCAAATTGTTTTGCCTATCCACCCCATGGTGCCAAACCCATATACTCTCCTATCCTCAATACCTCCCTCCACAACCCATTATTCTGTTCTGGATCTCAAACATGCTTTCTTTACTATTCCTTTGCACCCGTCATCCCAGCCTCTCTTCGCTTTCACTTGGACTGACCCTGACACCCATTAGGCTCAGCAAATTACCTGGGCTGTACTGCCGCAAGGCTTCACAGACAGCCCCCATTACTTCAGTCAAGCCCAAATTTCATCCTCATCTGTTACCTATCTCAGCATAATTCTTCATAAAAACACACGTGCTCTCCCTGCTGATCGTGTCCAATTAATCTCCCAAACCTCAATCCCTTACAAAACAACTCCTTTCCTTCCTAGGCATGGTTAGTGTGGTCAGAATTCTTACACAAGAGCCAGGACCGCACCCTGTAGCCTTTCTGTCCAAACAACTTGACCTTACTGTTTTAGCCTAGCCCTCATGTCTGCATGCAGCGGCTGCCGCTGCTTTAATACTTTTAGAGCCCTAAAAATCACAAACTATGCTCAACTCACTCTCTACATTTCTCATAACTTCCAAAATCTATTTTCTTCCTCATACCTGACGCATGTACTTTCTGCTCCCCGGCTCCTTCAGCTGCACTCACTCTTAAGTCCCACAATTACCATTGTTCCTGGCCCGGACTTCAATCTGGCCTCCCACATTATTCCTGATACCACACCTGACCCCCATGACTGTATCTCTCTGATCCACCTGATATTCACCCCATTTCCCCATATTTCCTTCTTTCCTGTTCCTCACTCTGATCACGCTTGATTTATTGATGGCAGTTCCACCAGGCCTAATCGCCACACACCAGCAAAGGCAGGCTATGCTATAGTACAAGCCATGAGCCCGCCTCTTAGAACCTCTCATTTCCTTTCCATCGTGGAAATCTGTCCTCAAGGAAATCACTTCTCAGTGTTCCATCTGCTGTTCTACTACTCCTCAGGGATTATTCAGGCCCCCTCCCTTCCCTACACATCAAGCTCAGGGATTTGCCCCCACCCAGGACTGGCAAATTAGCTTTACTCAACATGCCCCGAGTCAGGAAACCAAAATACCTCTTAGTCTAGGCAGACACTTTCACTGGATAGGTACAGGCCTTTTCTACAAGGTCTGAGAAGGCCACCGCAGTCATTTCTTCCCTTCTGTCAGACATAATTCCTCAGTTTAGCCTTCCCACCTCTATACAGTCTGATAACAGACCAGCCTTTATTAGTCAAATCAGCCAAGCAGTTTTTCAGGCTCTTAGTATTCAGTGAAACCTTTATATCCCTTACGGTCCTCTGTCTTCAAGAAAAGTAGAACGGACTAAAGGTCTTTTAAAAACACACCTCACCAAGCTCAGCCACCAACTTAAAAAGGACTGGACAATACTTTTACCTCTTTTGCTTCTCAGAATGCTGCAGGGTACAGCCTATTTGAGCTCCTGTATGGACAATCCTTTTTATTAGGCCCCAGTCTCATTCCAGACACCGGACCAACTTAGACTGTGCCCCAAAAAAACTTGTCATCCCTACTATTTTCTGTCTAGTCATACTCCTATTCTCCGTTCTCAACTACTCATACGTGCCCTGCTCTTGTTTACACTGCTGGTTTACACTGTTTCTCCAAGCCATCACAGCTGATATCTCCTCATGCTATCCCCAAACTGCCACTCTTAACTCCTGAAGTAAACAAATAATCTTTGCTGGCAGGACTATGCTGAATCTCCTTAGGCACTCTCTAATCAGATGTCCTAGGTCCTCCCAATTCTTAGACCTTTTATACCTGTTTTTCTCCTTCTCTTATTCCATTTAGTTTTTCAATTCATACAAAACTGTACCCAGGCCATCACCAATACTTCTACACAACAAATGTTTCTTCTAACAACCCCACAATATCACCCCTTACCACAAAATCTTCCTTCAGCTTAATCTCTCCCACTTTAGGTTCGCACGCCGCCCCTAATCCTGCTTGAAGCAGCCCCGAGAAACATCGCCCATTCTCTCTCCATACCACCCCCCAAGACTTCAACACTATTTTGTTTTATTTTTCTTATTAATAAAAGAAGGCAGAAATGTCAGGCCTCTGAGCCCAAGCCAAGCCATCGCATCACCTGTGACTTGCACGTATACATCCAGATGGCCTGAAGTAACTGAAGATCCACAAAAGAAGTAAAAATAGCCTTAACTGATGACATTCCACCATTGTGATTTGTTCCTGCCCCACCTAACTGATCAATGTACTTTGTAATCTCCCCCACCCTTAAGAAGGTTCTTTGTAATTCTCCCCACCCTTGAGAATGTACTGTGTGAGATCCACCCCTGCCCGCAAAACATTGCTCTTAACTTCACCGCCTATCCCAAAACCTCTAAGAACTAATGATAATCCACCACCCTTTGCTGACTCTCTTTTCGGACTCAGCCTGCCTGCAGCCAGGTGAAATAAACAGCCATCTTGCTCACACAAAGCCTGTTTGGTGGTCTCTTCACATGGACGCGCATGAAACGATTCTCCTGCCTCAGCCTCACAAGTAGCTGGGATTACAGGTGCCTGCCACCATGCCTAATTTTTGTATTTTTAGTAGAGATGGGGTTTCACCATGTTGGTCAGGCTGGTCTCGAACTCCTGATCTCGTGATCTGCCCGCCTCAGACTCCCAAAGTGGTGGGATTACAGATGTGAGCCACCGTGCCTGGCCCGGGCTTGGATTTTATGAAGAGGAAAAGTAGGGGAGCTAGCAAGGGGGTTACACTTGAGGAGGGAGTTCAAATGGACTGCACTGCATAGCCTGCAGGCTTGCAATGAATGTGAAGCTTTAAATGGGATTAAGTGCAAATTGAAAATATTCCAGACACATTTTTCACATTCCTGGCTAGTGAAAAGGTTTATGCTGATGAGAGAAGGCAAAGCTGAATCCCGGAATGGGTTAGGGCAAAGAAAACAAATCTGTCTTAAAGAGACAGACCTGGCCGGGCACGGTGGCTCACGCCTGTAATCCCAGCACTTTTGGAGGCCGAGGCGGTTGGATCACTTGAGGTCAGGAGTTCGAGACCAGCCTGGCCAACATGGTGAAACCCTGTCTCTACTAAAGATACAAAAATTAGCTGGGCGTGGTGGCGCATGCCTATAATCCCAGCTACTCAGGAGGCTGACGCAGGAGAATCGCTTGAACCCGGGAGGTGGAGGTTGCAGTGAGCCGAGATCGCACCACTGCACTCCAGCCTGGGCGACAGAGCAAGACTCGGTCTCGGGGCGGGGAAAAAAAAGGAAGGAGGGAAGGAAGGAAGGAGGGGAGGGAAGGGAGGGAGGGAGGGAAAAAGAAAGAGAGAAAGAAAGAAAGAAGGAAAGAAAGAAAGAGAAAGAAAGAAAAAGAAAGAAAGAAAGAAAGAGAAAGAAAGAAAGAGAAACAACCAAGAAACAACTACAATAGGTGCTCGGCATGTACTCCGTTAAAAAAGATAGAATTAAAACTACAATTCCCAGCAGACATCTCGCCTGCGACTTCTGAATATCGGCTTTCCCCGAGCGCAATGATCGCTGGGATTCGTAGTCCGGTACAAAATCAAGGAGGGACGGGCACTACCGGCCTAGATGACAGAGGAGGGAATCACTGCCATTCCGACCAATGGACAGTTCACGCCGGACCTGAGTGGCGAGCGCATAGCCAATGGGTAAGCCATTCATCCTGAGTGACATGGGTTGCAACCTACCGGAGGCCGGTGGGGCGGTACGGCGCGCGGCGGCCGTAGTGCGAATCATGGGAGGCGGCTGGTGGTGGGCTCGGGCCGCTCGCCTTGCCCGTCTTCGCTTCCGGAGGTCGCTACTGCCGCCTCAGCGGCCCCGGAGCGGGGGCGCCCGGGGGTCCTTCGCCCCCGGCCACGGTCCCCGCGCCGGGGCTTCGCCGCCCCCAGTGTCCGAGCTGGATCGTGCGGACGCCTGGCTCCTCCGAAAAGCGCACGAGACAGGTCGGTGGCTAGGGGTGGGGGCGGTGCGGATGGGACGGGGGTCCCGGGCTCGCGTGGGACCTTGATGGGGCGGGGGCTTCTGCAGGAAACGGGGCCCGGGCTCGGCTCCGAGAAGGGCTTCAGTGTGAGCGCACGGAAGCGCAGACTGCAAGAGCGCAGGTGCCCGCAGAGGGGATGGGCTTGCGGGGAGGACGAGGACCCCGGGTAACGGGGCGCCGTAGGGATTGGAGGGGGTGGTAGGGTTGCGCGAGGCAGCCTCGTAGAATCGCGCCTGCCGTGGGGAGAGGGGCTTCAGGGAGAGCTTAGGGTCTGTGGAGTTGGGTACAAGATGGGTCCATCCCGATTGCAGAGGCCACCACTGTGCAGAGAGCGGGAGTGTGGATCCCCGCAGAAGAGGGGGAAGTTCAGGATTGGAGAAGGGGACAACCAATCGGGAGAAAGCTCTCTGCTGATTGGAGGGGGAGGTGATCTAGGCTGCAGAGGGCGGGGCTTGTGACGGAGGCGAGGTCCAGAATGGAGCGGACTGGCCATGTTTGTTTTTTTTTTAATTTTATTTTTTTAATGACGGTGTCTTGCTCTGTCACCGAGGCTGGACCGCAGTGGCGCAATCGTAGCCCACTGCAGCCTTGAACTCCTGGGCTCAAGCTATCCTCTTGCCTCAGCCTCCTGCTTAGCTGGAGCTACAGGCATACACCACCGCACCCAACTATTTTAATTTATGTAGAGACGGGGTCTTGCTTTGTTGCCCAGGCTGGTCTGAACTCTTGGGCTCAGAGAATCCTCCTGCCTTGGCTTCCCAAAGTGCTGGGATTATAGGTGTGAGTCACCTCACTAGGCCAGGACCGGGCATCTAGATATAGGGTGTGGTGGGCTGTTTGTAAAGGACGTGAATGGGGACGGACGTGGGTGGGATTGGCCCAGGCCATACTCGGTAGGACATGGATGGGATTGGCCCAGGCCATACTCGGTAGGAGATGGCGGCATTTGAAGGAAAAGAAGGGCGAGGCTGAAGAGCGGCCTGGATTAGGAAACAGTTTGTCCCAGAGTTCTGAGAAAGAAGTGAGTGGGCAGGCCGTGGGGGTACACGTAGAGGGAGGGGTTTGGCCAAGATGACTCCTCAGATGGAGGTTCTGCAACTTTGCCCCTAGATTGTCCTCCACATTCTGCAGGGACTATCTTGAATCCTTTATTTTTTTTGAGACGGAGTCTCACTCTGTCGCCCAGGCTGGAGTGCAGTGGCATGATCTTGGCTCGCTGCAACCTCTACCTCCTGGATTCAAGTGATTCTCCTCCCTCAGCTTCCTGAGTAGCTGGGACTACAAGCACGTGCTACCACACCCTGCTAATTTTAACATTTTTAGTAGAGACAGGGTTTGACTATGTTGGCCAGGCTGGTCTCAAACTCCTGACCTCATGATCCGCCTGCCTTGGCCTCCCAAAGTGCTGGGATTACAGGGGTGAGCCACCACACCCGGCCCTTGAATCCTTAGTGTTACAGAGTTTGGGGGAGAGGGGCACTGAGGTGGAGGCCAGAGAGGATGTGGGGGGATATGGTTAGGTGAGCGGCTTCCTGGAAGAGGTGAGGATTTGGGATGGGCTTGCCTTGCGGCTGGATGGGATGGGGTGAGCTGAAGGGAGGCCCCTCAGTTTGACTGGGTAAGGGGGATTGAGGAGGTAGGGTTGGGGGTGATGTTAATCCCCCCATGTCCCCCTCCCTCCAGCCTTCCTCTCCTGGTTCCGCAATGGCCTCCTGGCATCGGGCATCGGGGTCATCTCCTTCATGCAGAGTGACATGGGTCGGGAAGCAGCATATGGTGAGTGCAGACCCCCCCTCTCGCCCCACGGAACCAGGGAATGCAGAGCCCCTATCACCTGCCCTGGTGAGAGTAGACTCTCCTACCCCATCCCACTCCCAGTAGTAAGTATAGAACCCCCATTCTTCCCCCACCAGAAGACACCCCTCCCATAGGCACTAGGTCCATCTGAATGGGTGGCCCAGGACATGGTTATGGTCCCCTCCCCTCCGATCTGATTCTCAAAGATGCAGGCTAGCCCCTGGCACGGCCCTGCCTCTGTTCCTGTCTCCTCAACCCTGGCTTTGCTCCCAGACCATCCCCCGACCTTGGCCCTGTTGCTACCCTGCCTCTCCCGCAGGCTTCTTCCTGCTGGGCGGCCTGTGCGTGGTGTGGGGCAGCGCCTCGTACGCCGTGGGCCTGGCGGCGCTGCGAGGACCCATGCAGCTGACGCTGGGGGGCGCGGCCGTGGGCGCGGGCGCCGTGCTGGCCGCCAGCCTGCTCTGGGCGTGCGCCGTGGGCCTCTACATGGGGCAGCTGGAGCTGGACGTGGAGCTGGTGCCCGAGGACGACGGGACGGCCTCCGCGGAAGGCCCTGATGAGGCGGGTCGGCCGCCACCCGAGTGAGCGACACGGCCGTGGGGCCTGGCAGGCGCTGGACAGCGCCCGAGGACTGGGACATTAAACCTGACCTCCCCTCCTCCAGATGCAGAGTATTGGTTCGTGTTCCTTGGGAAGGGCGGCGAGGAGCGGACTAACTGGAGAGGCAGGAGGGCGGGTGGAGGGAGAGGGGGGTGAGGACCCGGGGGAGACAGAAATGGACAGAGGAGCTCACAGCCCGGAGCCCAAACCACTGCAGGGAGAGCCGGCGTTTAATTCTCAGGGCTACGGGCAGAGCCGGGCCTACTGTCCTGGGGGACCCCGGTTGTCGCAGGGTCCGGCGCCGGCAGCTCTGCCAGTCCTCAGTCCCCCTTCCGCGGCAGCCTGGTGCCCGCGGGCCCCGGGTAGGGCAGGCCCAGGGGCGGGTAAAAGGCCTCCGGGAGCGCGGGGCCCGGACCCAGCCTCTGCAGGTGCGGGTACACCAGGCCCAGCTCCGCGGGGCCGTAGCGGATGGTGCCGGGTGTGCACAGGCCCCGCACCACCGGCGGCAGGAAGCCCGCGTGCAGGAGGGTGGGCGGGGGGTCCCCGGGAGGCGCCAGGCCCCATGGCCGCACCGGATCCTGCTTCAGGACCCCTGCCCGGATGACAGAGGTGAACTCGGGCCTCGGTGTGGCCGGGTGGCTGGAGGGATCCTCGTCGCCACTGTCCTCGGAGCCTTTGGTTTCCCTCGGGCCGGGCTCCACTTTGATGCGTTTGCCCTGGGTCTGGGGGGCCTCGTTCTCCGCTGGGGCAGCCTGCTTCCCTTCCGTCGGAGGCTCCGGCTCTGGAAGAGGAAGATGCTGAGGGCCTGTGTGTGTCCCCAGCCCTCAGTCTTCCCATCTGTGGAATGGAGCTGTGCTTAGTGGGCCAGACCTGTAGTTCTCAGCTGGGAGTGGGGTTTTTTTTTTTGTTTGTTTGTTTTGTTTTTGTTTTTTGTTTTTTTGTGAGACGGAGTCTTGCTCTGTCCCCCAGGCTGGAGTGCACCAGCACCATCTCAGCTCACTGCAACCTCCGCCTCTGGGGTTCAAGCTATTCTCCTGCCTCAGCCTCCCCAGTAGCTGGGATTACAGGTGTGTGCCACCACACCCAGCTAATTTTTCTATTTTAAGTAGAGATGGGGTGTCGCCATGTTGGCCAGACTGGTCTCAAACTCCTGACCTCAGGTGATCTGCCTGCCTCAGCCTCCCAAAGTGCTGGGATTACAGGCGTGAGCCACTGTGCCCGGCCAGCTGGTTCTGTCACCAGGAGACACCTGGCAATATCTGGAGATATTTTGGGGTGTCACAGCCCTGGGGAGGTCACCATTGGCATCTAGAGGGTAGAGGCCAGGGATGCTGTAAAATAAACATCCCACAGTGTCCCCTCCAACACAGAATCACCTGGCCCTAAAATGTCAGTAGAGCAGAGATCAAGATACCCTGGTCTAGACCTGTGCTCTTCAGTGGAAGTTTCCAGGATAGAGCTTTCTGTGGTAATGGAAATGTTCTACATCCACACTGTCCCACGAAGCAGCCACTGGCCACATGTGGCCACTGTGCATGCAATATGTGGCAGGTGTGAGTGAGGACATGGATTTAAAGTGTTTTTTGTTTTGTTTTGTTTTGCAGGGCATGGTGGCTCATGCCTGTAATCCCAGCACTTTGGGAGGCCCAGGCAGGAGAATCACTTGAGGTCAGGAGTTCGAGACCAGCCTGGCCAACGTGGCAAAACACTGTCTCTACTAAAAATACTAAATTAGCCAGGCATGGTGGTAGGTGCCTGTAATCCCAGCTACTTGGGAGGCTGAGGCAGGAGAATCACTTGAACCCGGGAGGCGGAGGTTGCAGTGAGCCGAGATTGTGCTATTGCACTCCAACCTGGGCAAGAAGAGTGAAACTCCATCCCCCTAAAAAAATAAATAAATTTGTTTGAGACGAGGTCTTACCCCGTCACCCAGGCTGGAGTGCAGTACAGCTGTCACAGCGCACTGCAGCCTCTAACTCCCGGGCTCAAGAAATCCTACCACCTCAGCCTCCCGAGTAGCTGGGACTATGGGTGTGAACCATCACACCTGGCTAAGTTTTAAAATTTTTTGTTGAGATGGGGTCTCACTATGTTGCCCAGGCTTGTCTTGAACTCTTAGGCTAAAGCAATTCTCTTACCTCAGCCTCCCAAAGTTCTGGGTTTACAGGCATAAGCCACCACACCGGGCCTGGATTTTATTTTATTTTATTTTTTTGAGATGGAGTCTCACTCTGTCACCCAGGCTGGAGTGCAGCGGTGAGATCTCAGCTCACTGCAACCTCTGACTCCTGGGTAGAAGCGACTCTCCTGCCTCAGCCTCCTGAGTAGCTGGGACTACAGGCACGTGCCACCATGCCCAGCTAATTTTTTGTTTGTTTGTTTTGTTTTAAATCTTGCTCTGTCACCTAGACTGGAGTGCAGTGGCATGATCTCGGCTCACTGCAACCTCTGCCCTCCGGGTTCAAGCGATTCTCCTGCCTTAGCCTCCCGAGTAGTTGGGATTACAGGAGCATGGCACCATGTCCAGCTAATTTTTTTGTATTTTTAGTAGAGATGGGGTTTCACCTTATTAGCCAGGATGGTCTCCATCTCCTGACCTGGTGATCTGCCTGCCTCGGCCTCCCAAAGTACTGGGATTACAGGCTTGAGTCACCACTCCTGGCCTGGATTTAAATTTTTTTTTTTTTTTTTTTGAGACAGAGTCTCGCTCTGTCGCTAGGCTGGAGTGCAGTGGTGCAATCTCCGCCTCCCGGGTTCAAGCGATTCTCCTGCCTCAGCCTTTCAAGTAGCTGGGATTACAGGCGCATGCCACCACGCCCAGCTAATTTTTGTATTTTTAGTAGAGACAAGGTTTCACCATGTTGGTCTTGATCTCTTGACCTCGTGATCCACCTGCCTCGGCCTCCCAAAGTGCTGGGATTACAGGCGTGAGCCACCGCACCGGCCTGGATTTTAATTTTAATTGTATATAAATGGCTGCATGTGGCTAGTGGCTTCTGGAATGGACAGCCAGGACCCAAAGGTTCCTTGGAGCTTCCCAGGGGCCAAGGTGGGAGGTGGGGCTCACCTGTGGGCTCTGGCCCCGGGCTGGATGCCTCCTCACAGGCCACGCTGGCTGGAAGCTGGAAGGCATCCAAAGGAGTTTGGCCACCCTCGGCTTGGCTGGGGAGAAGATGGATGCGGTTAGGAGCCAGGGGTCCTTGGCCTCTCAGGACTCCCTCCTGCTTTACCCAACTTGTGGCAATGTGTGGACACTCCCACGGGGAAATGTGGAGTCCCCACCCTGAGGCACTTACAAGGCTCAACACCAGATCCCTAAACTCCGGGTTGACTTCTAGCCCAGCGTGGCCCTCGCTCCTAAGGCCAGACCTGGATAGCCGGTGGCCACCTGGATGTCACCACCTGGGTGTCCTCTGGCACCTCATGCCCATCTGATGTCTACATCTTCCTTTCAAACCTGCTGTTCCTCTCAGGAGCCCAAATCCGGGCTCAGCAAAGCCAGAGACCTGGGCAGAAGATGGTCTCCTCCCCTCCTCCCCCATAGAGTCTGGCACTTCCCAGGACTGGCCCCAGCCTCTGCCCTGGTCCTCCAGCGCCCATCTTGTCCCTCAGTGCCTCCTTCATGGCAGCTAGAAGGGTTTTTTTGTTTGCTTGCTTGTTTTTGAGATGGAGTCTCACTGTGTTGCCCAGGCTGGAGTGCAGTGGCATGATCTTGGCTCACTGCAACCTCCACCTCCCGGGTTCAAGTAATTCTCCTGCTTCAGCCTCCCGAGTAGCTGGGATTACAGGCGTGCACCACTATGCCCAGCTAATTTTTTTTAAATTTTTAGTAGAGATGAGGTTTCACTGTCTTGGCCAGGCTGGTCTTCAACTCCTGACCTCGTGATCCACCCACCTCGGCCTCCCAAAGTGCTGGGATTCCAGGCGTGAGCCACTGTGCCTGGCCTAGAAGGGTGTTTTTTCCTTTTTTTTTTTTTTTTTTTTTTTTTTTTGAGACAGGGTCTCACTCTGTCGCCCAGGCTGGAGAGCAGTGGCACGATCACGGCTCACTGCAGCCTCGACCTCCTGGGCTCAGGTGATCCTCCCACCTCAGCCTCTGCTGTAGCTGGGACCACAGGTGCGTGCCACTGTAACGGGCCAATTAAAAAAATTTTTTTTTAATAGAGATGGGACCTCACTTGGTTGCCCAGGCTGGTCTTCAGCTCCTGGGCTCAGGCAAACCACCTGCCTTGGCCTCCCAAATTGTTGGGATTACAGGCATGAGCCACCATGTCCGGTCTAGAGCAGTCTTTCTAAAAAGCAGATCTGACTATGATCCTCTCCAGCTCTAAAGCTTTCTATGACTCCCCAGTGCCCCTGAGCCAAAAGGCCAGGCCGTCATCTTCAGGCTGGTTTCTCACTGCTTTCTACTCCAGCCCAAGGCATTACCTTTAGGGTCAGGCTGTTGCTTGGAGCCCTTCCTCTGCTTGGAACACCCCTCCCTGCTTCTTTCCATTAGTTGCTGTGCTCTGTGGGCCTCCCCTGGTAAGAGCCTGCCGTGGCTCGCCAGTGCCCCAGAGTCAAGAGTCCAGACCCTCCACCTGAGCCTGAGGAGGCTGTGAGCCTGCCCCTGCCTTCCTCAAAGATACTGTCCCCCTCCCCCTGGCGACTCCTCTCTGTCTCCTGCCAGCAAGACCGTTCCACTCTGGGCCTCTGCTCTCACCATCCTCCCCTCCTTCCCCTTCGTGTCTGCAGACCCCCTGGGCTTGTCCCATTCTAGAAGCCCTCCCCAAAGCACCCCCACTGGAGGTGGGGAGAGACAGCAGGGCCCTGAGTGCCCTGCAGGAGGGGTGGGCACAGCCCTCACCTGAGCACGTGGCTGACCCAAAGCACATGGTGCTCCCCGGGGCTCTTCCCGCTCCCAGCCACTGTGGCCACAGACTGCAGCCACACGAAGCCCCCGGCACGCTGCAGCCAACGGTAGTAACCAGTCATCACCTGACCCTTGTCCAGCACTGGGCCCAGCCCAGGGAGAGATGGGAAGGGGGTGGGGTGGGGACAGGGGCAAGACAGAGAGCCAGGTAGACAGGAGGAGACAGGAGGAGTGAGAGCAGGGGAGTGGGCAGGGAGACGGTGGGGAGAAGAGAAAAAGGTGAAAGCACAGAGAGGCAGAGTCAGAGAGACTGAGAGGTAGCCCAGCAGCGAGGCCTCTTGGGTGTTTTGGAGACCCCACAGCCCCCCAGACCCCCCCCCCACACACACATCCTGAGGCATCACTCAGTCTCCTTGCTGCTCTTCCAATGCTAAACGGAGTCCCTGGAGCTGTAGGTGCAGCAGGAGGGACTGTGGGCAGCCCTGAAGAAGGACTTCCAGGGACCAGGGAGTGGGATGCTCGGGTCTGGGGGGTGGTAGGCAGGCTTGGTGGGTGGAGGTGGGTCTCACAGTCCACGTGGCTCTGGCGGATCCTCGTGGCGTCCTGTCCGTGGACAAACTGGTAGCAGCTGCGGCCCACCAGCTCTGAGGGCCCCAGGTCCATGTGGTCGCTGACTCTGGGGGGTGACAGAGAAGAGGGGAGGAGTCCAAGACCACGGGGTTGGGGGAGAGGCAGAGTTGGCTCCAGAGTCCCCTGGGGTTCACACCCTTGCTGTAAAATGGGTGCAATAACAGTGTTGGCAGGCGCGGTGGCTCACACCTGTAATCCCAGCACTTTGGGAGGCTGAGGCGTGTGGATCACTTGAGGTCAGGAGTTCGAGACCAGCCTGCCTAAGATGGTGAAACCCCGTCTCTACTAAAAATACAAAAATTAGCTGGTTGTGGTGGTGCACGCCTATAATCCCAGCTACTTGAGAGGCTGAGGCAAGAGAATCACTTGAACCCGGGAGGTGGAGGTTGCAGTGAGCTGAGATTGCGCCACTGCACTCCAGCCTGACAGAGTGAGACTCCATCTCAAAACAAACAAACAAACAAACCACAAAACAGTGTCTCTCCCGGGGCAGCTGCGAGTATTCGCGTGGATGCTAGTGGCAAGGCCCTAGGCACCCTGGACACCTCAGAGCATGGGACTATTTCAGCACTTAATTTGCCTCCACTGCGGGATGCAGGAGAGGAAATGGATGAGAGATGAAAGACCAGAGAAATGAGAAATGAAAGACCAGAGACGGGCCAAGATCTGCAGCCCCAGAAGGAGGGCCCGGACCCAAGACACAGCCCCTCTTCCATCCCCGAAGGCACCCCTGGGCTAGGCCTCCGCCCTGGTCCCCTGCCTTCCCTCCCTTCTCCCCATCACCCTGTCCCATCCATTGCTGTTCCGCCTCCCATGGCTCCCCAGTGCCCTATCCTGCAGACCCAGCACTCCCTCTGACTCCCCATGTACCCCCAGATCTCCATTGTGCCCCCAATCCACCCGCCACAGCCCCCAACCCCGGTACCTGCTCTCACAAGCAAGGATGGTGAGACCCAGGCTGAGACGGAAGACGATCATGTGTCCATGGAGTGGCAGCTCAGCCAGGGGGGCCGGGGGCAACGTGTGCCCGAGGGCCACAAGGCCCAGGGCGTGGGCCCGAAGGCGCCCAGTCACGTGGATGACCTGCTGGTGGTGGGCATGGTTGGAGGAGGGACAAGGCGGGCCAGTGGGGGCAAGAGGACCATCACTGGGCTGGGTTCCCTCTGTCCCCCACAGGTGCTGGAGGACTGGACACTGTGTGACCCCCCCAGTCCCATTCCCAGACCCAGTTCCCTAAGCCACCTGCAGCCAGTGAAGCCACCAGCCTGGTTCCCTCGGTCACCCTCAATCTGGGGACATGGCTGCCTGGAATACAGGAGCCTGACTGCTCACACCCACCTTGTACCCTGAGGCCTTGACGTGCAGCCCCCTCTTGGTGAGCGTGGATTTCATGCGGACAAAGAAGGAGCGCTCCTGGACCAGGGAGGAGGGGGGCACCTTGGTGAGGCTGGCCTCTGGGACAGAGAGTGAAGGAAGGTTATGGGGTCCTGAAGAGGAAACACACAGGCCACCCTGACCCTTGCAGAGCCAGCCGGACATAGACACAAGATGTCCGCTGGGCCACGGCCGCACTCAGAGGCATGCCTGATGATTTTGAAAGCTCATGGGGACAGTATGTGGGCTCCCCTATGTGGCAGCCATCCGCATCCTTTCTTTTTTTTTTTGAGACTGAATATCACTCTGTTGTCCAGGCTGGAGTGAATGGCGCAATCTTGGCTCACTGCAACCTCCGCCTCCTGGGTTCAAGTGATTCTTCTGCCTCAGCCTCCCAAGTAGCTGGGATTACAGGCACATGCTACCATGCCCGACTAATTTTTGTATTTTTAGTAGAGACGGGGTTTTGCCATGTTGGCCAGGCTGGTTTTGAACTCCTGACTTCAAGGGATCTGCCCTCCTTGGCCTCCCAAGGTGCTACGATTACATGTGTGAGCCACCATGTCTGGTCCCATCCATGTCTTTTTTTTTTTTTTTTTTGAGCTGGAGTCTCGCTCTGTCACCAGGCTAGAGTGCAGTGGCACGATCTCGGCCTACTGCGACCTCCGTCTCCCCAGTTCAAGTGATTCTCCTGCCTCAGCTTCCTGAGTAGCTGGAATTACAGGCACGCGCCATCATGCCCAGCTAGTTTTTGTATTTTTAGTAGAGACGGGGTATCGCCATGTTGGCCAGGATGGTCTCAATCTCTTGACCTCGTGATCTGGCCGCCTCGGCCTCCCAAAGTGCTGGGATTACAGGCGTGAGCCACTGCGCCTGGCCCCATCTACGTCTTTCTAATGCTCAAACGTGCCTCCACCCTCCCCTGCTCTGAACCTGCCATAGCTTCCTGAGGCCTTGAGAGGAAAGCCCACCTCTCAGGACCCATCCTCCAGGTCTCAGCACAGACTTCTCCTCCTCCAAGAAGCCCTCCCTGACCCTCAGGCTGGGTCAGCCATCCCCTCTGGGTTCCCCTATCCCAGCCCTGCCCCATCTGGGTTGCCACTGTCTGAGGACAGGTTGGTCTCCCCTCACTGGACTGGGAGCCCCAGGTGGGTGGGGCTGGAGCTGTCATGGTCACTCCTATGTCACCAGGACAGGGGCTGGCCCAGAACAGGGGATTGGGGAATAGCAATAAATAAGACTCACAAATCCAGATCCTTCTGTAACCCCTACAAAACGGTCTTAAAAATATGCTCACACACAGATGACCCTGTGCCTAAAACTCAGGTACAAACACAGTCCCACTCCCCAACAGCCTGCACGTGTTGCAGACTTCGCCCCACGCTTGCAAGCACAGCTGATGTCTCAGATGTTTTTGGTGTTAAGCAAACCCAAGATTGGAAAATCCTATTTACAGGATAGTTAGCCTCATAGGCCCCCAACATCTCAGAGCTAAAAAGAGCCGGCAGGGTAATCTGCAGCACCCTCCCTCCCATACACAGTGGGAGTGGAAATTTCCACTGGAGAGAAGGGTTAGGCGTGCTGACCCCGGAACAGACAGACCTGGGCTAGAATCCAACTCAATCACTTATAGCTGTGTGACCTGGGGGCAATTAACTTAACCTCTCCGCGCCGTGCCTCAGTTTTCTGATGTAAAATGGAGATAACACTTCTTGCATTGTGGGCCTGCGCTTAGGATCTAATGCAATTTTTTTTTTTTTTTTTTTTTTTTTTTTTTGGAGACGGAGTCTCACTCAGAGTGCAATGGCCTGATCTCGGCTCAGTGCAACCTCCACCTCCCAGGTTCAAGCGATTCTCCTGCCTCAGCATCCTGAGTATCTGGGATCACAGGCACCTGCACCACGCCCGGCTAATTTTTGTATTTTTAGTAGAGATGGGGTTTCACCATGCTGGCCAGGCTGGTCTCGAACTCCCGACCTCAGGTGATCCGCCCACTTCGGCCTCCCAAAGTGCTGGGATTACAGGCGTGAGCCACCGCACCCAGCCTTTTTTTTTTTTTTTTTCCAGACACTGGCTCTGTCACCCGGGCTGGAGTGCAGCAACGTGATCTCCTCACTGCAACCTCTGTCCCCAAGGCTCAAGCCATCCTCCCACCTCCCAAGTAGCTGGGACCACTGGCATGTGTCATCATGCCCAGCTAATGTTTTTTTCTTTCTTTTGTTGTTGTTGTTTTTTTTGGAGACAGTCTTGGACTCGCCCAGGCTGGAGTGCAGTGGCACAATCTCTGCTCACTGCAACATCCATCTCCTGGGTTCAAGTGATCCTTCTGCCTCAGCCTCCCGAGTAGCTGGGACTCAGGCACCCCCCACCATACCCAGCTAATTTTTTTTTTTTTTTTGTATTTTTAGTAGAGATGGGGTTTCACTATGCAAGCCAGGCTGGTCTCAAACTCCTGACTTTAGGTGACCCACCCGCCTCGGCCTCCCAAAGTGCTGGGGCTACAGCTTTGTGCCACCACTCCTGGCCTTTTTTGTAATTTTTGTAGAGATGAGGTTTCACTATGTTGCCCAGGCTGGTCTCCAACCGAGCTCAAGTGATCCGCCCCCCTGGGCCTCCCGAAGTGCCGGGGTTACAGGCGCGAGCCGCCGCGCCCGGCCCTAACGTAATTATGTAATGTGATTGTGCACTTACAGACACAGCCGGTGTATATTCCCAATAAGCCTGCCTTGTTATTTACCTAAGCCTCTCCCAACTCCTTTCAGCAGCCAGGGGGGTCTTTCTGTAGCTCGAATCTTTGGGAGTTTGGCAAGCTTAAGGAACCAAGTCTCACCGCCTCAATTTATACTCCGATTCCTTTTGCAAAGATTCGTTCTACACAGTTCTAACTTCACTGCTATTTGTATAAACGCGGCATGGCTGGATACAGTACAGCGGGCGTCCCCCGATCTACCCTCAGACTTCATTCTTTAGGAGCCCTTAGAATTACCGATCTCGGGGGTATCTGCAAGCGAAGAGGAAGAGGAGGAGGAAGAGGAGACGGAGGGCGGGGTTGGGGGGCCGGGCGTCGGCGTCCGCAGCCCCAGTTGCTCCAGCACCTCTGAGTGGTCCCCAGGGTGAATGTAGTCGAAGACGCTGCTGCCCGTCATCTCCACCTGCCGGCGAAGGAGGGGAATGCAGGGGGCGGGTGAGGTGCGCGCGCAGTAACTCGCTCGCCCTCTGGGCTCAGCCTTGCCTCATTTGCCTGCACGCAGGTGCGCTTCATGCCAGTGTGTTTTTTTAAGAAAAGAAAAAAACAAAAAACAATTACCTTTCAAACGGAAGATACAAACTTAGACTCTTCTCGCTTCATACCCAGTGATTAGTAAGGATTTTTCCCCGCCCACTCTATTAAGGGGCTGTGTGTGGGAGTGGGGCGTGGGTGGGAGGTGTCAGAACCTCCGTTTACCCAACTCCTGCTTACTCACTACCACCCCCATACAGCAAACAACTGTGCCCTGGCATGAATCACTGGGTGTCCCAGCAGGAATGAGATTCAAGATACAAACAGGGGAGTGGTTTTTAAGCTCTTAAAGAGTTAGAGCTTTTCAATCAGACACTTTTACATTCAATTCTACCCGTAAATCTCTCTCCTAGCAGTCCCCTTCTCTCCCTGCCTCCCTCAATGCAGGCCCCCATCTTCTCCCCACTGTGTTTCTGCCCCCGCGTCCTCACTGGTCTTCTGACCTACAGTTCAAAGATGCCTCTGCAAGTTACTTACCTGACCACCATGGCTGCCATGACTCCCATTGCCCCTCAGCTTGGAGGTCACATGCTTCCCTCAGTCCGTTATCCCTCTGGGCTCCGCCCCCTCATTAAATCCTCCCCCACGCCAGCTTCAACAGCTTCAAGCCTTTCCTTCTTCTTCTTCTTCTTCTTCTTCTTCTTTTTATTTTTTTAGACGGAGTTTTGCTCTTGTTGCCCAGGCTGGAGTGCAATGGCGCGATCTCGGCTCACCGTGACCTCTGCCTCCCAGGTTCAAGCAATTCTCCCGCCTCGGCCTCCCAAGAAGCTGGGATTACAGGCATGTGCCAACACACCTGGCTAATTTTGTATTTTTAGTACAGACGGGGTTTCTCCATGTTGGTCAGGCTGGTCTCAAACTCCCGACCTCAGGTGATCTGCCCGCCTCAGCCTCCCAAAGTGCTGGGTTTACGGGCATGAGCCACCGCGCCTGGACTTTTTTTGTTTTGTTTTGTTTTTGAGATGGGGTTTTGCTCTCGTTGCCCAGGCTGGAGTGCAATGGTGCAATCTTGGCTCACTGCAACCTCTGCCTCCTGGGTTCAAGTGATTCTTCTGCCTCAGCCTCTGGAGTAGCTGGGACTATAGGCATCTGCCAGCACACCCGGCTAATTTTGTATTTTTAGTAGAGACTGGGTTTCGCCATGTTGCCCAGGTTGGTCTCGAACTCCTGACCTCAGGTGATCTGCCTGCTTTTGCCTCCCAAAGTGCTGGGATTACAGGCGTGAGCCACCACACCTGGCCAAGCTTTTCCTCCACTCTTCCTCCCTCCCGTCCTCTTGTCCAAATTCCCCTCCTTTTGGTGTCTTCCTCCTCCAGGAATCTCACTGAAAAGGTACTCACAAGTTGCCAATGCACTGAATTTCCTAAATTTCCTATTTGTGAAAAATATTTGTAAAAATGATCAAAGTTGATAGCAATTTGTATTGGAGGGACTGGCAAAGCTTAAGGTGCTGTGAGATGCCAGGGCTCCAAGGATGGGGCTTTCAGTAGGTCTTCCTGCCCTTTTTTTTTTTTTTTTTTTGAGACGGAGTTTTGCTCTTGTTGCCCAGGCTGGAGTGCAATGCCACGATCTCGGCTCACTGTACCCTCCACTTCCTGGGTTCAAGTGATTATCTTGCCTCAGCCTCCCGAGTAGCTGGGATTACAGGTGTCTGCCACCACGCCTGGCTAATTTTGTATTTTTTGTTTTTTAGTAGAGAGACGGGGTTTCTCCATGTTGGTCAGGCTGGTCTTGAATTCCCAACCTCAGGTGATTTGCCTGCCTCGGCCTCCCAAAGTGCTGGGATTACAGGCGTGAGCCACCGCGCCCGGCCCTTTTTTTTTTTTTTTTTTTTTTTTTTTTTTTTTTTTTTTTTTTTTTAAGGCATAGCCTCACTTTGTTGTCCATGTTGGAGTGCAGTGGCTTCATCATGGCTCACTGCCACCTTGACCCTATGGGCTCAAGCGATCCTCCCATCTCAACCTCCTGAGTAGCTGGGACAACAGTGTGCCACCATGCCTGGCTAATTTTTAAGTTTTTTTGTAGAGATGGTGGGGGTGGGGGTGGTGGGGTGTCTCACTATGTTGCCCAGGCTGGTTTTGAATTCCTGGCCTCAGGTGATCCTCCTGGCTCAGCCTCCCAAAGTGTTGGGATTACAGGCATGAGCCAGCGTGGGTGGCCTCTAAACCTTTAAAATTGTTAAGAAGAAACAAGTGTTGGCAAATATGGTGCATCTGGCCCGCCAGTCATTGGCAAACTGATCTTTCAGTGAACCTGCTTTCCTCAGATCTACTTGTTACTTTAATAGCCCCCTCAGGCTGGGCGCGGTGGCTCACGCTGTAATCCCAGCACTTTGGGAGGCTGAGGCAGGCGGATTGCCTGAGATTGAGAGTTCAAGACAAGCCTGACCAACATGAAGAAACCCTGTCTCTATTTAAAAAATACAAAGTTAGCTAGGCGTGGTGGTGCATGTCTGTAATCCCAGCTACTCGGGAGGCTGAGGCAGGAGAATCGCTTGAACCCAGGAGGCAGAGGTTGCAGTGAGCTGAGATCGTACCATTGCACTCCAGCCTGGGCAACAAGAGGGAAACTCCAACTCAAAAAAAAAAAAATAGCCCTCATCAGCCAGGACAGTGGCTCACACTGTAATCCTAGCACTTTGGGAGGCCGAGGCAGGTGGATCACGAGGTCAGGAGATCTCAACCATCCTGGCTAACATGGTGAAACCCCATCTTTACTAAAAATACAAAAAGTTAGCCGGGTGTGGTGGGCGCCTGTAGTCCCAGCTACTCAGGAGGCTGAGGCAGGAGAATTGTTTGAACCCGGGAGGTGGAGGTTGCACTGAGCGAAGATCGCACCACTGCACTCCAGCCTGGGTGATAGAGCGAGACTCCGTCTCAAAAACAAACAAACAAACAAACAAAAAACAATAGCCCTCCTCTGCCTTCAAGGATGAACCATGCTGGGTGCCATGTGGGGTGCCAAGGAACACACTTTGGGGACCACAGAGATCCAGTCCATTTTTCTTGCTGCTATGGTGAGACCAGGAGAGAGGAAGGATATGCATAGGCCTGGCAAGGGAGATGGTGGCTGAGCCAATCCAGGTCCACTGGGGGTCCCTTACCTGTGAGAGACCCAGATAGATGGAGACTGTCTCTGAGATGTAGAGGAATTTTCCTTCCTGGTTCAAGGCGAACACAAAGCCATCCAGGGACTAGAGCCGGGAGAGACAGGGAGGGGGAAGGAGAGGACCCGGTGTCCCTCTGTCCAGCCGCCAAGTGGTAAGAGGTTCTGAAACCTGGGTCTCCACCTGAGGTGGACTGTTTTGGTGGGGAGGGGGCTTCAGTGGTCCTCGGAAGGGGCAGGGAGTGGAGGGATCTTGAGCATTCGCCTTCCCAGTCCAGGTACCCCCCACAATAGATGGATGCTGAAGAGGCTGCTGTTCTCCAGAGGCGGCCGCTAGGTGGTAGCAAGGAGCGGCAGGCAGGGAAGGGGCCTCACTCACCTGCAAGATGTGACCTCCCAGGTGCTGCTCGAAGACTTCGGAGACCAGCGCTGCGGGGCCGCGGCGGCCTGGGGCTGGGGCAGATGGAAGGATGAAGCCTGTTAGTCTGGCTGACCCTGCCCAGGGCAGGTCCCCCGGGAGCCAGTCTACAAACCTCCCTCTCTTCCCCTAAGGCTTGTAGACATCTTGGGGTATCTGGGCACCCATGGGGGAGAGACCTGGGGCGTGGGACACACAGGTGGGTGGGACAGTGAGTGACAGACTGACTCACAGAGACAGACGGGCCAGGGGGTGCATAGAGGGACTCATTCATTCATCCACCCATTCACTCACAAAAGCTCCCTGAATACCTACCCTCCCTATGTCCTGCACTAGGCATTGCTGGGAGTGCAACGGTGACCAGGACAGCCCAGCAACCCCTGCCTCCTGCTGGGCTCTCAGACCAGGGGCAGTTGAACAGCAAGCAAGAAACTAACATCTCTGCTTAGGGATCCCATAAAAATAAATAAATAAGAAACCAACAGGCTGGGCGAGGTGGCTCACACCTGTAATCCCAGCACTTTGGGAGGCTGAGGCAGGCAGATCACAAGGTCAGGGGTTCGAGACCAGCCTGGCCAATATGTTGGATCCCCATCTCTACTGAAAATACAAAAATTAGCCGGGTGTGGAGGTGGGCGCCTGTAGTCCTGGCTACTCGGGAGGTTGAGGCAGGAGAATCGCTTGAAACCGGGAGGCAGAGGTTGCAGTGAGCCGAGATCATGCCACTGCACTCCAGCCTGGATGACAGTGCGAGACTCCATCTCAAAAAAAAAAAAAGAAAGAAAGAAAAAAGAGAGAAAGAAAAGAAACCAACAGGCTGGGCGAGGTGGCTCATGCCTATAATCCAAGCACTTTGGGAGGCCGAGGAGGGTAGATCACTTGAGGTCAGGAGTTTGAGACCAGCCTGGGCAACATGGTGAAACCGTCCCTACTAAAAACACAAAAAAATTAGCTGGGCATGGTGGCGTGGGCCTGTAATTCCAGCTATTTAGGAGGCTAGGTAGGAGGATCGCTTGAACCTGGGAAGCGGAGGTTGCAGTGAGTCAAGATCGCGCCACTGCACTGCAGCCTGGGCAACAAAGTGAGACTCCGTCTGTTTAAAAAAAAAAAAAAAAAAAACACACACACACAAAGAAACTAACAAATATGGAATTACCCTTTGTGGCCAGTGCTATGGAGAATGAAATAGGTGGTGCAAAATGGAGAGTAATGGAGTTAGGGCTGTTGAAGGAGGGGACATTTGAGCAGACCTGAAGGATGAGAAGGAGGCAGAGAGGAGACTGAAAGACAGAGACAGAGGGATATAAAGGAATAGAAAGAGATAGAGATTCTACAACTCAACAACAAAAAGACAATTCAAAAATGGGCAAAGGGGCCCAGTGTGGTGGCTCACGCCTGTAATCCCAACACTCTGGGAGGCCAAGGTGGGTGGATCACCTGAGGTCAGGAGTTCGAGACCAGCCAACATTATGAAACCCCATCTCTACAAAAATTAGCTGGGCATGATGGCGGGTGCCTATAATTCCAGCTACTCGGGAGGCTGAGGCAGGATAAATCGCTTGAACCCAGAGGCAGAGGTTGCAGTGAGCTGAGTTAGGGCCATTGCATTGCAGCCTGGGCGACAGAGTGAGACTCTGTCTCAGACAAAAAAAAAAAAAAAAAAAAAAAAAAAAAAAGGCAAAGGGCCAGGCACGGTGGCTCATACCTGTGATCTCAGCACTTTGGGAGGCTGAGGTGGGAGGATTGCTTGAACCCAAGAGATCAAGACCAGCCTGGGCAATGCAGTGAGACCCCCATCTCTACAAAAAATATATTTTTAAAAATGGGCAAAGGACTTGAATAGATACTTCTCCAAAGAAGATACACAAATGGCCAATAAGCACATGAAAAGATGCCCAACATCATTAGTCACTAGGAAAATGAAAATCAAAACCACTATGAGACACCACTCCACACCCGCTAGGATGGCTAGCATCAAAAAAGTAGAAAGTGGCCAGGCGCCGTGGCTCATGCCTGTAATCCCAGCACTTTGGGAGGCCGAGGCGGGTGGATCACAAGGTCAGGAGTTTGAGACCAGCCTGGCCAACATGGTGAAATCTTATCTCTACTAAAAATATAAAAATTAGCTGGGCGTGGTGGCGTGCACCTATAATCCCAGCTACTTAGGCGGCTGAGGCAGGAGAATCCCTTGAACCCAGGAGGTGGAGCTTGCAGTGAGCTGAGATCACACCACTGCACTCCATCCTGGGTGACAGAGCGAGACTCCATCTCAAAAAACAAACAAACAAAAACAAAAACAAAACAAAACAAAAAACACAGAAAGTAAGTGTTGGTAAGGATGTGGTGAAATTGGAACCCTCATACATTGCTGGTGGGAATGTAAAATTGTACAGCCACTGTGGAAAACAATTTGACGGTTTCTCAATAAGTTAACATGGAATTATCATACGAGTTAGCAAATCCACTTCTGTGTATGTAATCTATGTAATCAAAAGAATTGAAAACAGGCGTTGTAGCATGTACATGCGTGTTCATAGCAGCATACTTCACATCATTCAAAAGGTGGAAAGCACACAAATGTCCAACTCATGAATGAGTAAATAAAATGGGGAGGCCGGGCACTGTGGCTCACACCTGTAATCTCAGTGCTTTGGGAGGCGGAGGTGGGTGGATCACCTGAGGCCAGGAGTTCAAGACCAGCCTGGCCAACATGGTGAAACTTTGTCTCTACCAAAAATACAAAAAATTAGCTGGGTGTGGTAGCATGTGCCTGTGGTCCCAGCTATTCGGGAGGCTGAGGAGGGAGAATTGCTTGAACCCGGGACGTGGAGGTTGCAGTGAGCTGAGATCCCACCACTGCACTCCAGCCTGGGCAACAAGAGTGAAACTGCATCTCAATAATAATAATAATAATAAATAAAAATACTAAGGCCGGGTGCAGTGGCTCACGCCTATAATCTCAGCACTTTGAGAGGCTGAGGTGGGCAGATCACCTGAGGTCAGGAGTTCGAGACCTTCCTGGCCAACATAGTGAAACCCTGTCTCTACTAAAACTACAGAAAAACTAGCCGGGCGTGGTGGTGTGCACCTGTAGTCCCAGCTACTCTGGAGGCTGAGGCAGGAGAATCACTTGAACCCGGGAGGCAGAGGTTGCAGTGAGCCGAGATTGTGCCATTGCACTCCAGCCTGGGCAGCAAGAGCAAGACTCCATCTCAAAAAAACAAAAATAAAAACAAAAACAAACAAACAAACAAAAACTAAAAAAAAAAATAGACATGGAGAGACAGAGGAAAAGAGATGCAGAGAGAGACAGAGATGGCAACTGAGACCAAGACAAAGTGAGACCTGTGCCCCCTGCCCCATCCTCCCTACAGTCAGGAGCTAGGACCCTGGACCTTGTGCTGGGGGTAGGCAGAGACCTGGGGGTCCCGGAGCCTGTCCCCACCCAGGACCCCTGGGTGACCCTGACCCTGCAGAGGACAACCCCCGAGGGAGCTCCAACCCAGTGCTGAGAGTGGGGAGCCAGGGGAGAGACTTGGTGACCTTGAGGGTCCCCAAGTGCCTTTTTCCTATGGGGCTAAGGGGCCAGGTCTCCTGTCAGGCCCCAGCGCTTCCCCTCCCTGGCTGTGTGCCCTGGGACCAGCCTCTCTGCCGCTCTGTGCCTCAGTTTCCTCCTCTGTCAAGCGGGTTTGCCAGGAGCGGTGACTCCCCAGGCTGGTTACGCATTCAGTCCACTTAACAGACAGAAGGGCCTGGCTGGGGCCTGGCAGAAGCAGATGCTGCAGCACAGAGCCGGGACTGGTATTAATAGTGTGATTACTATTGTTATTACCCGACCATCAAAACACCAGGCGGCGAAACCCCGCCCCTCCCCCATGGGCGCGCAGCCCCCGCCTCCCCAGCCCCCTAGTGTCTGGGCTGAGCTTCCTCCTCCCAGGAGTACCCCACACCCTCCTGGCTGTTCCTCCCTGCCTCCACCTCCGCCTGGAGCTCCAGGAACAATTACTGGGGGGCTGGGGGGTTGACGGGGACCCCCTCCCTCAAGATACAGCTCGGAACCAGCCGGGTGACAGGCAGGAACAATGCTGCCTGCTAATTGTCGCAATTTTCCCCTGTCATTTTTGCTAATTCCTTCATTTTCCCTCTCCCAGGATCAGCCTGGGTCAGACTGAACCGCTGCAATTAACAACATTAATGGGCACGTCGGGATTAGGGGGTGTGGTGGTGGGGGGGCTTGGGGACCTGCTCTTCCCCATACACGGGTCCGGTCCCCTGTGAAAGGGACCCCCAGAGTCTCCTGATCACTGACTGATGTGTCTTTTTACCCCCAGCCTCCACCTCCCGATCCCACCAACTCCCCGATGCCTCCCGCTGTTTCCTCCTCTCCCTCTCCCCTCAAAATGTCCCCACTCCTCTGTCCCCCACATTCAGCAGGAGACTTTTCACCACTTCCACATCCGCCCTCCCATGTCCAGAACCCAAACATCACTCATCCATTTAACAAACACTTGCTGTGGTTCTTATCACAGCCTGCTCAGTGTCCTCATCTCTTGCGCAGAGAGGGAGCACGAGGAGCAGAGAGACGGGAGACCAGGGGCAGAGAGAAGGGGACCAGGGGCAGACAGACAGGAGACCAGGGGCAGAGAGAAGGGAGACCAGGGGCAGACAGACGGGAGACCAGGGGCAGAGAGACGGGAGACCAGGGGCAGAGAGACGGGAGACCAGGGGCAGAGAGAAGGGAGACCAGGGGCAGACAGACAGGAGACCAGGGGCAGAGAGAAGGGAGAACAGGGGCAGAGAGATGGGAGACCAGGGGCAGAGAGACGGGAGACCAGGGGCAGAGAGACGGGAGACCAGGGGCAGAGAGAAGGGAGACCAGGCGCAGAGAGAGGGGGACCCAGGGGGCAGAGAGAGGGGGAAACCGGGTGCAGAGTGTGGGGGGACCTGGGGCAGAGAGAGGGGGGACCTGGGGCAGAGAGAGGGGGATCCAGGGGCAGAAGGCAGAAGCCAAGGCCTCTTCCAAGTTCCCAGATCTCCCCCGTCACCTGCCCTTCTCAACTGCCCTGAAGGAATGTGCTGACCCTGGGTCCTGGAGAGAAGAGGCTGGGGCTTCATCACCCAGGGAAGTCGGGGAGAGGGGTCCCTCACATGCCCCATCGTCAAAGCGCCGCAGGCCTGAGGGCTGCATGGGGGCAAGCACCATGGGGTGGGGCAGTGCCGGGTCACCTTTGCCTTTACTTTCCTCAGCCTCATCTGTAAAATGGGTCTACAGTGATAGAGTTGAATGGGCTAGTGCATACAGTAGGTGCCTAATACTGGGAGTCATGCCACCATTCTCTCTCTCTCTTTTTTTTTTTTTTGAGACGGCATCTAGCACTGACACCCAGGCTAGAGTGCAGTGGCAGGATCTCAGCTCACCGCAACCTCTGCCTCCTGGTTCACGTGATTTTCCTGCCTCATCCTCCCAAGTAGCTGGGAGTACAGGCACCACCACCATGCCCGGCTAATTTTTGTATTTTTAGTTGAGACGGGGTTTCACCATATTGGTCAGGCTTGTCTTGAACTCCTGACCTCAGGTGATCCACCTGCCTCGGCCTCACAAAGTGCTGGGATTACAGGTGTGAGCCACCGCCCCGGCCGCACTTTTCTTTTCAGTATGACTACAGATAACATCAGGGCACCACTGCCTTTTCGGGCGGTTTCTTGGAGGCCGCCCTCTGTGTCTCTCACACCCACATGCATTTTAAGCAAGTCCCAGGGGTTGGACCTGACCATGTCACCTGTGTTCCACCACCCATGGCCCCAGCCCAGTCTAGCTGCCCTGGCTGGACCACCACGTCCTCATCCTCACTGGGCTCCTACTTCCGCCCTCACCACCTCTGTGGCTCCCCTCTCACTGTGGGTAACAGCCAAACCCCTACCACAGTGCATGAGGCTCTGCACCCAGCAAGCTGATCCCCACCTGCCTCAGGGCCTTTGCACCTGCTGTTCCCTCTGCTGAGTCACTCTCTTCCAGCTTTTCTCACAGCTGCTCCCACACCTCCTTGGAGCCTCAGCTCAAAGATCACTTCCTTGGCTGGGCCCAGTGGCTTACACCTGTAACCCCAGCACTTTGGGAGGCTGAGGTGGATGGATCACCTGAGGTCAGGAGTTCAAGACCAGCCTGGCCAACGTGGCGAAACCCTGTCTCTACTAAAAATACAAAAATTAGCTGGGCATGGTGGCGTGTGCTTGTAACCCAGCTACTTGGGAGGCTGAGGCAGGAGAATCGCTTGAACCTGGGAAGTGGAGGTTGCAGTGAGCTGAGATCGCACCACTGCACTCCAGCCTGGGTGACAGAGCAAGACTCTGTCTCAAAAAAAACAAAAAACAAAAACAAAAAAACGTTACTTCCTCAGCGAGGATGTGCCTGACCTATGAGCTAAGAAGTCACCCCTTGGCTGGGCACAGTGGCTCATACCTGTAATCCCAACACTTTGGGAGGCCAAGGTTGGCAAATCACTTGATCCCAGGAATGTGAGAGCAGCCTGGGCAACATGGTGAGACCTCGTCTCTTAAAAAATGCAAAAAGTAGCTAGGCGTGGTGGCGTGTGCCTGTAGTCCTGGCTACTTGGAAGGCTGAAGTGAGAGGAACTCTTGAGCCTAGTAGGTGGAGGCTGCAGTGAGCCAAGATCGCACCACTGCATTCCAGCCTGGGCGACAGAGCAAGACCCTGTTTCAAAAAAATTTAAAAAGGGCTGGGTGCGGTGGCTCACACCTGTAATCCCAGCACTTTGGGAGGCTGCGGCAGGCGGATCACCTGAGGTCAGGAGTTTGAGACCAGCCTGACCAACATGGAGAAACCCCATCTCTACTAAAAATACAAAATTAGCTGGGCGTGGTGGCGCATGCCTGTAATCCCAGCTATTAGGGAGGCTGAAGCAGGAGAATCGCTTGAACCCAGGAGAAGGAGGTTGCAGTGAGCCGAGATCATGCCATTGCACTCCAGCCTGGGCAACAAGAGCAAAACTCCGTCTATAAATAAATAAATAAAGATGTCACCCCTCCTTCCCTCAACTGCCACAGTCACTCAACAATTTAGTAAGCCTTCATTGTGTCCCAGATGCTACTCCAGGCTCAGCAACCAAGAGGCTGTTGGTGAATGACACAAAATAACAAGATAAATACAGAGAGTGTCAGATGACAATAAGTGCTATGGGAAGAAAGAAGGCTGTAAAAGCCGGGCACGGCGCCTCACGCCTGCAATCCCAGCACTTTGGGAGGATAAGGAGGTCAGGAGTTCGAGACCAGCCTGGCCAACATGGTGAAACCCCATCTCTACTAAAAATACAAAAAATTAGCCAGGCGCGGTGGCAGGCGCCTGTAATCCCAGCTACTCGGGAGGCTGAGTCAGGAGAATTGCTTGAACCCAGGAGGCGGAGATTGCAGTGAGCAGAGATTGCAACACTGCACTCCAGCCTGGGCAACAAGAGCAAAACTGCGTTTCAAAAAAAAAAAAAAAAAGCAATAGGGAATGCTGACATGAGATTTGGGCGGTCTCCTCTCCAGACTCAGAGGCTCAGGGCTAGACTTGAACATCTGTTGTCCCATTTCACAGATGGAGGACTGAGGCCCAGAGAGGCAGAGACCTAGAACCCATCCCTGTAGACCTACAGACCACATATGATGGTTGAGAGGCGGCCTTTGGGGCAAGGTCATCTGTGTTTGAATCCCAGCTGTGCGACCTTGGGCACACACTTCTGTAACTTGGGAATCATAATAGTGCCTCCCTCTGAAAAAGAAAGTCATTTTATCTTTTGTTGTTGTTGTTGTTTTTCCTTTTTCTGGAGAACGGGGTCTCGCTATATTGCCGAGGCAGGTCTCGAACTCCTGGGCTCAAGCTATCCTCCCGCCTCTTGCCTCCCTGAGAGCTGAGATTACAGGCGTGAGCCACCGCACCCGGCCAAGAAAGTCATTTTGTATACAGGGCTTATCCCAGGGTCTGATGCATGCATTCTATATGATTACTATTATTGTTATTATTTTAGATACTGAGTCTTGCTCTGTTGCCCAGGCTGGAGTGTAGTGGCATGATCATGGCTCACTGCAGCCTCGACCTCCTCAGCTCAAGCAGTCCTCCCACCTCATCCTGTTCAGTATCAGGGACTACAGGCGGGTGCCACCAAACCTGGCTAATTTATTTATTTATTTTTATTTTTATATATTTTTTGAGATGGAGTCTTGCTCTGTCACTAGTCTGGAGTGCAGTGGTGTGATCTCGGCTCACTGCAATCTCCGCCTCCTGGGTTCAAGTGATTCCCCTGCCTTAGCCTCCGGAGTAGCTGGGACTACAGGCACACACCACCACGCCCGGCTAATTTTTTGTATTTTAGTAGAGATGGGATTTTACCATGTTGGCCAGGATGGTCTCGAACTCCTGACCTCGTGATCTGCCCGCCTTGGCCTCCCAAAGTGCTGGGATTACAGGTGTGAGCCACCGTGCCCAGCCAATATTTTTATTTTTGTAGGGACATGGTTTTGTTATATTGCCCAGGGTTTTGCTATGTTGCCCTGGCTGGTCTCGAACTCCTGGCCCAAAGCTTTCCTCCCACCTTGGCGCCCCAAAGTGCTGGGATTACGGATGTGAGCCATGGTGCCCGGCTTATTACTGAGGAGGGCATGGGAGTCCCCTCCCCTTCAGAGAGTGTGACTGACAGTGCTCTGCTCTGTGGCTTCAGCTAAAATGCTGTCCTCAGCTCCTCCTCTGAACTATGGAAGCAGGTGCTTCGCCTCTTGTTAGGGACCCTGTAGAGCTAGAAATGCCTCTGTCCCCCGATTTCCCAGTTTTGGGACTATAGGAGTCCACGCAGTACCAAGCCCCCCCACACTGTCCTGACCCTACTTCCACTTGGCACCGTGGTCGAGGTGGGATCGATTAAGTCCATGCTCTGCCACGTCAGTGCTGTGACCTCAGCCAGCCCCTGATGCCTCTGAGCCCCGGAATGCTCATCCAGGTAATGGGGGGCTGGACGCCGCCGGGGCTCTCTTAGCCCCCCCTTTCCCCCCCTTCAGCTCGGGGACAATAGACAAGATGTTTATCCCCCGCCGGCGCACATGTTGTTCGCGGTAATGACAGTAATCAGCGGCGCTAATGCCGCATTCTCTCCGCGCCAGTCAATTCGCCTAATTACCGCCTGGGAAGCCGGATTATTTAAATTTAAATGGTGATTTATTGCGAGCTTAATCAATGCTATTTTCTCTCCCCCCTCTTCCCCTGGGACGGGGCAGGAGGGGAATTGGAGCCCCTCCAACCCCACCCTAAGGACACCCTCTTCTCCTGGAGGGGTGGGGACAGGGGTAGCCTGGGGTGCCCTGAGACTTCAGATAAACACCACTCACACTGCCTTATCCTCATCACCGCAAAGCTGTAACAAACACATAAAATAGAAGTAATAATAACATAACAGCACTTCTATGTCTCAATAATAAAGTCTGAGTAATAATAATAAACTTAGATATTTATCTGTATCTTACAGAGTTTATATTTTTACATATTCTAGATTATATTGCTTTGCCTATTTCTTTATTGCGTCTTGGCCACTAGGATGCCAGCCGCTCCGGGGCAGGGACTTTTGTCTAGATTGTTTCTCCTGCTCAATCCCAGCGCTCAGAAAAGTGCCAGACAGGCAGGAGATGCTCCAAAAGCGACAGCCCCCCCGCCCCCTCCTCCATGCCCCGAACCCCTCCAGCAGCCCTGCAAGGTTACTGCTGATAACAGCATTGGCCGCATAGCGGTGGCTTGCTCTGAGCTAGGCACTTCCAGGGACTTTGCAAATATGACCTGGTTGATTCTCTGCTCAGCCCCCTGGGGGAGGTTGGACCGTTTTTTCCCACTTCACATTAAGGCACAGAGAAGTGAGGCGACCTGCCCGGGGTTGCAAAGCTGGGAGGTGGCTGCGCGGCGACAGGAACCCTGGGGCATCTTCCTGAAGTTCCCCATCTCATCCGCCACATCATACTGTCTCCCTCTTGCTCCTCCAACTGGGGGCTCAGACTGTACAGTCCTTGCGTTCCCGCCGGGGCCCCTCAGGTCTGGATCCAGGGTATCTCGCCCATTAGCGAATGGGCGTCCCAAGCCAGGGTGAGTCCCCTCTGTCCCGCTCATGCAGCTGGGAGTTTCTTTGGTTGTAATAATGATTCCTCTCCTCTAATAAAAATATAGGAATAGCATTTACCAGTGACCACTAGAACTGCCAGGGCCTTGTTTAGGGCAGAATTCACGAAATCTTCCCAACCTCTTGCGCCCATTTGACAGTTTAATAAACTGAGGCTTGGAGAGCAGAAGCCACCTGATAGGGACACGCAAAGGTCCTGGCTGACTCCAGAGACAAGCATCTGGGCGAGGGCAGGCCCGCAGCCCGGATCTGGGCTGCAGTGACTCCGCCTGGAGGGCCCCGGGACCCTCGCCCCGCGCATGAGCACTCACCGAGGCCAGCTGGCGGCCCCGCGGCTCTCAGCCCCCAGGGCGGCGCCCCCAGCGCGGCGAACCGGCGCAGGCGGAGGTAGGTGACGCTGAGGCGCACGATGGAAGCCTTGTCCAGCTGGCTGGAGATGGCGCCGGGCAGCGGGAGAAGCTTGGCCAGCTCGAAGAACTCCAGGTTCTCCTTCCCGCGCCGCGAGCGCGCCGCGTTCCGGGACTTCTCCTTGCGCTGCGCCTGCAGGCTGGGCGGGCGGCGCGGAGGAGGTGTCGGCGGGGCCCCGGGGCTCAGGGGCTTGGGAACTGGGGGCGAGCCCCGCCTCCCGGGGCCTTGGGAACGGGACGGGACGTTGGGAGTGGATTCCACATCTCTGGAGGTGGGAGCAGACCGGAGTGTGGATTTTACACTCCGACCCAGGGACAGAACCTCGAGTGTCAATTCTGGTGGGAAGGAGGAGGAAGGGCGAGAGATTAAAGATGTTGGGCGTGAATTCTGAGGACCGGGACTAGAAGCAGAACGCAGGGGACCGGGCTCAGGACGGTAGTTAACTCAAGGTAAGACCTTCTAGCCCTAAGGGGCGGGTCAGGGAGCTGGGTGTGAACTGCCCCTTGGCACGGGGACAGAACATCGGGTGTGAATTGGACCCGGGGGGGGGCCCGCGGCCAGGGGGGCGGGGCTTTGCTCACCACGGTCCGGACGGCGCCTTGACCATCAGCCCGGGTAGAAAGTCCCAGGGGACGCTGGCGCCGCGGCCTCCCACGCATTTGACCTCGCTTCCGCCGCCACTGCCGGGATAGGGGGCCGCCATCTCCGGGGGGCTCGCTCAGGCGGGCTCCGAGCCCCGAGTCTCCTGCAGCGGGAGGGGGCCAGGGGCAACGCTTAGTGCCCTCGGGAGACCTTCTAGGGAAACTGAGATCCGTGCAGGGCTCAGGGTCCCAGCAAGGAGCTGGGGGGGGGGGGGCCTGGATGATGCCTCAGTTTCCCCTACCTGGAGGCCTCAGCTCCCACCCTAGCCGGCCCGGGGCTGGCGCTCCGGGTGAGGACGTGCCCCGCCGCCGCCTCCCCCGCGCCGCCCGCCAGCGCGCCCGCCTCACGCCCGCGCCGGGCCGGCTCCCGCATACCAATGGGCGCACGCGGCGCGCATACGGATCGAACCGGCCCGCGCGCTGCGTGCCAAGCATGCCCAAGCCGGGCGGGGGGCGGGCGCCTCCCGGGCCAGGCACGCACGCCCCAGCCCCCGGAGCCCTCTGCCCCGAGGACCCGCCCCCCAAGCCCATCCCCGGTGTCTGACTCCCCGGATCTGCACCCTGTTTTCCCGGCTGGGCTAAGGAGGCAGGGGGCAGAGGGCAGGGACCCCCATCCTGTGTCCTGCCCAGGGATCCCCCCAGCCTCTCGGGATGGCGCCACGTGTTCGGACCGCCACATCCCCACGACCACAACTTCCTCCCTGAAGACCCCGGCGCGCGAGCCCCAGCCCCGGACGCAGCCGCCGCAGCCTCTGCCCCAGGACGCCCCCAGGATTGACCCGACACTCGGGGCCCAGGTGTCCTGGTCTCCTGATCCCCTAACGTTTTCAGTTAGGTCTTCATTCCTCCAGGACCAGGCGTTCAGAACACCCCCTAACCCCAGGAACCAGGCCGCCCCCAAACCTCCCAGCCAGGTGTCCAGATGCCCCAGACCCCCGTGTCCAGGTCTCCCAACCCCAGATTTCTCCAGGACTCAAACATCCGTGCGCCCCTTCCCCCAGGCTCGGGATACCCTCGTCCCACCCCCTATCCCCCAGGACACTGGAGTTCCAGCCCCCCATTCCTCTGGGACCCAGAAGTCCCCCTCCTGCCAGCCCGCAAGCTTCCCCTACCCGCAGGACCGCCAGTCCGATTACTTGGCCGCAGAGCAGGCTCCGGGCGCGGCGTGGGGCCGGCCGGGCGGCGCGGAGGGGCAGCTCCATAGACCCCGGGGCGCGCGGGGCGCAGCGGGACGCGCGGGCTGTGGCGCCCAGCTCTCGGCGCCCACCTCGGCCTCGCAGACTTGGAGACGCGCGACCAGCGCTGCGGGCGGGGGCGGGGTCTGCCGGAGCCCCGCCCGCCGCGTCTCCGCCCCCGGACCCGCCCTGCTCGCCTTTCCCTGGTAGGGGGCCAAGCTACCCTGGGGTCCGAGTTCCCTTGCCCCACGGTAACGTCGGGGGTCAGAATGTAGCACCTCGGATCGGAGCTACCCCACTCCAAAAGGGGAACAGCGGAGTCCGGGCACTGTCTACACCCCTTCAGGAGGCAGTTAGTGCCCCAGCAGCCCCTCGGGACAAGACAGGTACCCTGCAGCCGAGCCCCATGTACGAGTGAAGACTCACGTCAGTGCTTCCTCCAGGGACACAAATCCAGAATTCGAGACCCTCCCTTTCCGGGAGAGAACTCCTGAGTGTCAGCACACTCTCCCCCCACAGGGCTGGGACTTCGCATCCAAACCCAACCCGCCTTAAAAGGGGGACATACACCTCCCTCGTCAGGGACCAGGATCCAGCTCTCTAAGGAGCTCCAGAGACCAGGATCCTGGCGTCTTATCTCCATCCCCCGCCGCAGGGACGGGAACCCTTACATCCAAGCTCCCCATTAGATCATAAATGGGAACTCAGGGGTTGTAGTACCTCGCACAGAGGACGGGAACCCAGGCGTCCAAGCCAGGCCTTCCCCAGTCTGATAGGAGGTCCTACAGTTCCCCTAGCTCCTTCTCTCCATGCAGCCCCCACTTCCCGTTCTCAGGGTCCTCCCTGGCATGGGGGTCTCCAGGCACTTAAAAGCCTCTACATGACCTTAACATGGGGAAAGAAAATGGAGCTGGGGCCGGGCGCGGTGGCTTACACCTATAATCCCAGCACCTTGGGAGGCCAGGGCGGTTGGATCACCCGAGGTCAGGAGTTCAAGGCCAGCCTGGCCAACATAGTGAAACCCTGTCTCTACTAAAAATACAAAAATTAGCCGGGTGTGGTGGTGGGCGCCTGTAATCCCAGCTACTCGGGAGGCTGAGGCAGGAAAATCCCTTGAACCTGGGAGGCGGAGGTTGCAGTGAGCCGAGATCCCGCCACTGCGCTCCAGCCCGGGTCAGAGAAGGAGAGTCCATTTCGAAAGAAAAGAAAAGAAAAAGAAAATGGAGCAGGGAGTCTTAGAAGAGGCATACAGTCAGGGGCTTGCAGGGAGCACGCGCTGGCCTTTGGTTGGGCAGATGGGGAAACTGAGGCACACACAAACACCCGTGTGCATTTGCTCACAACACACAAACTCATTCATGATCCTCATAGTTAACACTTAAGGGAGTGCTTGTTTTTTGCTAATACTTTATTTTATAGCAAGATTCTGAGATGGGCTCTGTTACTAGATGCATTTTACAACTAGGGAAACCGAGACATGGGGAAGTGATATAGCCTGGTGATAGTGGCCTCTCAGACAACAGATCCTTATTTATCCCCAGAGAGACTTGCTAGAGTTTCAGGGCAAGGAATCAAGCTCAGATCATGGGCTCCTGTCTCCTGACAGCACTTCCTGGCTGTGCAGCCTGGGCAGGTGCTATGCCAGCCATGAGAGGTACACTTGTGCCATTAATTAATTAATTAATTATTTTTGAGACACAGTCTTCTCGCTCTGTCACCCAGGCTGCATGATCACTACTCACTGCAGCCTTGAACTCCCAGGCTCAAGAGATTCTCCCACCTAGCCTCCTAAGTGGCTGGGACTACAGGTATGCACCACCCCACCCAGCTATTTTTTAAAAATGTTTTGTTGGCCGGGCGCAGTGGCTCATGCCTGTAATCCCAGCACTTTGGGAGGCTGAGGCGGGTGGATCACCTGACGTCAGGAGTTCAAGACCAGCCTGGCCAACATGGTGAAACCCCATCTCTACTAAAAATACAAAAATTAGCTGGACACAGTGGCGTGCACCTGTAGTCCCAGCTACTCAGGAGGCTGAGGCTGGAGAATCGCTTGAACCTGGGAGGCGGAGGTTGCAGTGAGCTGAGATCACGCCACTATACTCCAGCCTGGCAGACAGAGCGAGACTCCGTCTCAAAAAAAAAAAAAAAGTTTTGTAGAGAGAGGGTCTTGCTATGTTGCCCAGGCTGGTCTTGAACTCCTGGCTTCAAGCAATCCTCCTGCCTCAGCCTCCCAATGTGCTGGGATTATGGCGTGAGCCAGGTCGCCCAGCCTGGCCTGTATTTATTTATGATTGCACATACACACGGATTTTTTTTTTTTTTTTGAGATGGAGTCTCGCTTTCTCACCCAGGCTGGAGTGCAGTGGCAGGATCTCGGCTCACTGCAACCTCCACTTCCCAGGTTCAAGCGATTCTCCTGCCTCAGTCTCCTGAGTAGGTGGGATTACAGGTGCGCACCACTACGCCTGGCTAATTTTTGTATTTTTAGTAGAGATGGGGTTTCACCATGTTGGTCAGGCTGGTCTCAAACTCCTGACCTCATTGTGACCTGCCCGCCTCAGCCTCCCAAAGTGCTGGGATTACAGGCGTGAGCCACCATGCCTGGCCTACACATGGATTTTGTGAGGTTAAGAGTAATTGGTGGTGTTGAAACCTCAGCTCTGCCATTTACTGCTGTATGACTCTGGGCAAGTAACTTCACCTCTCTGGGCCTTCGTTTTCTCCCTTGTAGAATGAGGATATTTTAATTCTAGTACCCACCTCATAGCATCATAGTGAAGATAAAATAAGTTTATTTTAGAAGGTCTCAATGTGACCTGAGAACTGGTCTCTTCGGTGTGCTGGGTCAAATTTTCATACCGAGACATTTTCTGCCTTTTTCACTTCATTCTGTTGTCTGGTGGAGATTTCCAGATGCTGTGTGATGTGTGATATCACAACAGACCAAATGCAGAAGCAGCCGTGAGGCCCAGCCATCTTCTTCTTACTGTTATTCCTTCCTTCCTTCCCTTCTTTCTTTCTTTCTTTTTCTTTCTCTTTCTTTCTTTCTTTCTTTCTTTCTTTCTTTCTTTCTTTCTTTCTTTCTTTCTTTCTCTCTCTCTTTCCTTTTCTTTTCTTTTCTTTCTTTCTTTTTCTTTCTTTTTTTTTTGAGGTCTTGCTATGTTGCCCAGGCTTGTCTTGAACTCTTGGCCTCAAGCAGTCTTCCCACCTCAGCCTCCCAAAGTGCTGGGATCACAGGCGTAAGCACAGTGCCCAGCCCAAGGTCCAGCCATCTTCTATAAAAGCTGGACGTTAAAGAGATTTGCAAAAATGTAAAAGAATGCCACTCCCTTCACTAACTTTTTTTTTAATTGGAAAATATATTTTTCATAAAATATTTATGTTGGCCTGTAATGGGCTTATAATTATTATTTTAATTTTAATTTAATTTAATTTAATTTAATTTTTCGAGACAGAGTCTTACTCTGTTGCCTAGGCTGGAGCGCAGTGGCACGATCTCGGCTCACTGCAACCTCTGCCTCCAGGGTTCAAGTGATTCTCCTGCCTCAGCCTCTCGAGCAGTTGAGATTACAGGCATGCACCACCATGCCCGGCTAATTTTTGTATTTTTAGTAGAGACGGGTTTTCACCATGTTAGTCAGGCTGGTCTCAAACTCCTGACCTCATGATCTGTCTGCCTCAGCCTCCCAAAGTGCTAGGATTACAGACTGACTGATTCTCTTTCACAGCCTCAGAAAGAGGCTGGGCACGGTGGCTCAAGCCTGTAATCCCAGCAGCTTGGGAGGCCAAGGTGGGCGGATCACTTGAGGTCAAGAATTCAAGACCAGCCTCGCCAATACTGGGAAACACTGTCTCTCCTAAAAATACAAAAATTAGCCAGGCGTGGTGGCTCACACCTGTAATCTCAGCTACTCAGGAGGCTGAGGCAGGAGAATTGCTTGAACCTGGGAGGTGGAGGTTGTAGTGAGCCGAGATTAAATCACTGCACTCCAGCCTGGGCAGCAGAGTGAGACTCCATCTCAAATTAAAAAAAAAAAAAAAAAAAAAAGCAACCAGCCCTGCCGACACCCTGATTGATCTCGGACTTCCAGCCTCTGGCAACTGCGAGAGAAGACACTTCTGTTGTTTCAAGCCGCCCAGTTTGCGGTCCTTGGTTTTGGCAGTCCCAGCAAACTAATACCGGGGAATGGAGAGTGACTGCTAATGGCTGCATGCTTGCTTTTTGGGTGATGAAAATGTTCTAAAATGGACTGTGGTGATGGTTGCGCGTCTGTGAATACACTAAAAAACCCCTAACTCTGCTAAACACAACTTTAAACGTGTAAAATGTATGGCGTGGGAACAATCTCAATAGAGTGCTTATTCACAGATAAATAATAGGAAAACAAGCCCCAAGGCATTCCTCGTGGAGTTGCTGTCAGCATTCAATGAATTCATTCAACAAATATTTATCGGCCAGGTATGGTGGCTCACACCTGTAATTCCAGCACTTTGGGAGGCCGAGGCGGGCAGATCACCTGAGGTCGGGAGTTCGAGACCAGCCTGACCAACATGGAGAAACCCCATCTCTACTAAAAATACAAAATTAACCAGGTGTGGTGGCTCATGCCTGTAATCCCAGGTACTTGGGAGGCTGAGGCAGGAGAATTGCTTGAACCCAGGAGCGGAGGTTGCGGTGAGCCTGAGCTGAGATGGTGCCATTGCACTCCAGTCTGGGGCAACAAGAGCAAAACTCCGTCTCAAACAAAACAAAACAAAACAAAACAAAAAAACAAAAAACCAGCCTGGCCAACATGGCAAAACCCCATCTCTACTAAAAATACAAAAATTAGCTGGACATGGTGCCACACATTTGTAATCCCAGCTACTTGGGAGGCTGAGGCAGAAGAATCGCTTGAACCCCAGAGACAGAGGTTGCAGTGAGCCGAGATCGCGCCACTGCACTCCAGCCTGGGCAACAGAGCCAGACTCTTGTCTCAAAAAAAAAAAAAAAAAGAAGGTTGGGTGTGGTGGCTCATGCTTGTAATCCCAGCACTTTGGGAGGCTGAGGCAGGCGGATCATGAGGTCAGGAGATCGAGACCATCCTGGCTAACACGGTGAAACCCCGTCTCTACTTAAAATACAAAAAAATTAGCCGGGCATGTGCCTGTAGTCCCAGCTACTCGGGAGGCTGAGGCAGGAGAATGGCGTGAACCTGGGAGGCAGAGCTTGCAGTGAGCTGAGATTAGGCCACTGCACTCCAGCCTGGGCAACAGAGCAAGACTCCATCTCAAAAAAAAAAAAAAAAAAAAAAAAGAAGAAAAGGGCTGGGTGAGGGGTGAGGTGGTGCATGCCTGTAGTCCGAACACTTTGGAGGCCAAGGAGGGAGGATTACTTGAGCCCAGGAGATCGAGACCAGCCTGGGCAGCATGGTGAAACCCTCTCTACAAAAAAATACAAAAATTAGCTGAGTGTGGTGGTGCACCCCTGTAGTCCCAGCTACTCAGGAGGCTGAGGCAGGAGGGTCCCTTGATCCCAGGAGATTGAGGCTGCAGTGAGCTGTGATTGTGCCACTGAACTCCAGCCCTGGGAGACAGAGCAACACCCTGTCTCAAAAACAAAACACAAGCCTGGTGCAGTGGCTCACGCCTGTAATCCCAGCACTTTGGGAGGCTGAGGCGGGTGGATCACTTGAGGTCAGGAGTTCAAGACCAGCCTAGTCAACATGGTGAAACCTGTCTCTACTAAAAAAATTACAGAAATTAGCCAGGCATGGTGGCGGGCGCCTGTAATCCCAGATCTCAGGAGGCTGAGGCTGGAGGATCGCTTGAACCCGGGAGGCAGAGGTTGCAGTGAGCCAAAATCATACCACTGCACTCCACCCTGGGTGACAGAGCAAGACTCAGTCTCAGAAAAAAAAAAGAAAAAGAAAAAGAAAAAGAAAAAGAAAATTGATGGTGAAAAGCGATTAAAACAAGGCCTGCTATCTCGTAAGGGTCCAATGATTGTTAGCTTTTATTAATTTAATATTACTTGTATTTTTTTTTTTTTATGCAGGGTCTCACTCTTTCACCGAGGCTGGAGTGCAGTGATGTGATTACGGCTCACTGCAGCCTCTACCTCCCGGACTCAGGTGATCCTCCCATGTCAGCCTCCTAAGTAGCTGGGACCACAGGTATGCGCCACCACTCCTGATTAACTTTTTGTATGTTTTGTAGAGATGGGGTCTTGCTCTGTCTCCCAGACTGGAGTGCGTAGCACAATCGTCGCTCACTGCAGACTCGAACTCCTGGCCTCGAGCAATCCTCCCACCTCAGCCTCCCAAAGCACTAGGATTACAGGTGTGAGCCTCCGTGCCCGGCCAATATTATTTGTTTTGCTAACATTTATGTTAATTGCATGCTCTTCAGGCCCACCTGGGAGGCAGGTTGGCTGTGAGCTTGCATGTCCTGAATCTCTACTTTCTTCCCCTCCTCTCAGCTCCTGCAAATCGGACCCAGTCTTGTCTCCCCAGTGCCCTCAGGACACACTGAGTTTCTCACCCGGCTCTGCAAGGCCCTGAGTGGCCTGTGACTGAATGGTGGAATAAATGGGTGGATGGATGCAGTGACAGAAACAGTAGCTCATTCCCCTGCTTCTCGGCCAGCTCCTGGGACACTTCGCTTCCAGCCCCATTTCTCAGAACCCGCCTCCTCCTCAGTCCCTGCTGCTTCTCCTTCTAATCCGGCCTTACTTCCTAAAAAGCCGCCATCCGGGCTTTCTACTCTTCCCGGGATGGCCATGGCTGGGCAGGGCGGCGCTCTGCTGACCCCTGGTGGCCGCGCGGAGTAACACAGCTCATTCTCCACCAGGGCAGTTGGCCTGGAGCCCTGGAGCGAATGCTGGGTGCTGGCTGCGGCTTGGGAGGCACAGCTCCCGCCCTCGTAGGTTTCACAGGAAAGTGGGGAAGACAAAGGATAATCAGATACTCACACTGTCGTATGCGGCAACCCTGGCGTCATCTGCACCTTCTCTCTGCCCCAGTCTCATGCCATCTTCAACAAATTCTGTAGCCTTGACCTTCAAGATACCTGGAATTCCCTGTTCTTTCCACTATCACCGTCCTTCTCTGGTCTAATCCGCCACCGTTTCACTCCTGGACTATCGTAGTTACCTCCTTGCTGGACTCCCAGAATCCAGGCTCAGTCTTAACTGATTTCTCCTTTAGCCTCAGGCTCCAATGTGACTCACTTGACACTCTTACTGATTCGTCTTTATTTAAAATATTGATAGTTTGTTCATCATGGATTTGGTTTTTTTGCACTAATTTTGATTTTTTAAACAAGTCTCTTTTTTTGAGATGGAGTTTCGCTCTTGTTGTCCAGGCTGGAGTGCAATGGTGCCATCTCGGCTCACGACAACCTCCGCCTCCTGGGTTCAAGCCATTCTCCTGCCCCAGTCTCCCGAGTAGCTGGGATTACAGGCATGCGCCACCACACCCGGCTAATTTTGTATTTTTAGTAGAGACGGGGTTTCTCCATGTTGGTCAGGCTGCTGTGGAACTCCTGACCTCAGGCGATCCACTCACCTCGGCCTCCCAAAATGCTAGGATTGTAGGCATAAGCCACCACGCCTGGCCCAAAAGACTTTTATTTATTTATTTTGAGATGGGGTCTCACTCTGTCACCCATGCTGGAGTGCAGTGGCAGAATCTTGTCTTAATGCAGCCTCAACCTCCTGCGATCTTCCCACGTCGACCTCCTGAGTAGCTGGGACTACAGGCATGTGCTGCCATGCCCAGCTAATTTTTTTTTTTTCTTCGAGAGGGAGTTTCCCTCTTGTTGCTGAGGCTGGAGTGCAATGGTACAATCTTGGCTCACTGCAACCTCTGCCTCCTGGGTTCAAGCGATTCTTCTCTCTCAGCTTCCCGAGTAGCTGGGATTACAGGCATGTACCACCATGCCTGGCTAATTTTGTATTTTTAGTAGAGACAGGGTTTCACCATGTTGGTCAGGCTGGTCTTGAACTGACCTCAGGTGATACGCCTGCCTCGGCCTCCCAAAGTTCTGGGATTACAGGTGTGAGCTGCCGCGCCTGGCTTTTTTTTTTTTTTTGAGATGGAGTCTTGCTCTGTCGCCCAGGCTGGAGTGTAGTGGCATGATCTCGGCTCACTGCACCCTCCACCTCTCAGGTTCAAGCGATTCTCCTGCCTCAGCTGCCTGAGTAGCTGGAACTACAGGCATGCGCCACCACACCCAGCTAATTTTTCTATTTTAAATCGAGACGGGGTTTTGCCATGTTGGCCAGGCTGCTCTCGAACTCCTGAACTCAGGTGATCCACCCGCCTCAGCCTCCCAGAAATGCTTGGATTACAGGTGTAAGCCACCTCGCCTGGCCTGCTCAGCTAATTTTTAAAGAATTTTTTTGTAGAGTCGGAGTCTCACTCTATTGCCCAGGCTGGTCTCAGACTGCTGGGCTCAAGTGATCCTCCCATCTTGAACTCCAAAGTGCTGGGATTACAGGCATGAGCCAGTGCACCCAACCAAGACAAACAATTTTTTTGGTTTGTTTTGTATTGTTTTTTTTTTTGAGATGGAGTCTTGCTCTGTCACCCAGGCTGGAGTGCAGTGGCGTGATCTCAGCTCACTGCAACCTCCACCTCCCGGGTTCAAGTAATTCTCCTGCCTCAGCCTCCCGAGTAGCTGGGACTACAGGCGCACACCACTACGCCCAGCTAATTTTTGTATTTTTAGTACAGACGGGGTTTCACCATGTTGGCCAGGATGGTCTTGATCTCTTGACCTTGTGATCCGCCTGCCTAGGCTTCCCAAAGTGCTGGGATTACAGGCATGAGCCACCACGCGTGGCTGACATTTTTTTTTTAGAGCAGTATTAGGCTAACAGCAACTTTGCTTTTTGAAAACATTGTGCTGAAATATTTTTATGTTGATGACTGAAGTCTCTTTCGTGTTCTGTTAAGTTTTGCAACTGAGGCAAGTGCTCCCAACAACTGAATCCTCGTTAACTCCTCGGTCCTGCCTAAATAATGGCCACATTCATTTGTTTACTGTGTTCCTTCCACTAGGATGTCAGCTCCGGGCAGGGATTTGTTTAATGTCTGTGTGCCCCAGCCTGAATGAATAACACACCGAGAAAAGTACTTTTTTTTTCTTTCTTTTTTTTAGACAGGGTCTGGCTCTGTTGCCCAGGCTGGAGTGCAGTGGTACGATCTTGGCTCACTGCAACCTTGAACTTCCTGAGTTCAAGTGATCCTCCCACCTCAGCCTCCCGAGTAGCTGGGATTACAGGCATGCGCCACCACGCCTGGCTAATTTTGTATTTTTTTTTTTTAATTTATTTATTTTTTATTGATAATTCTCGGGTGTTTCTCACAGAGGGGGATTTGGCAGGGTCATAGGACAATAGTGGAGGGAAGGTCAGCAGATAAACAAGTGAACAAAGGTCTCTGGTTTTCCTAGGCAGAGGACCCTGCGGCCTTCCGCAGTGTTTGTGTCCCTGGGTACTTGAGATTAGGGAGTGGTGATGACTCTTAACGAGCATGCTGCCTTCAAGCATCTGTTTAACAAAGCACATCTTGCACCGCCCTTAATCCATTTAACCCTGAGTGGACACAGCAGATGTTTCAGAGAGCACAGGGTTGGGGGTAAGGTCACAGATCAACAGGATCCCACAGCAGAAGAAGTTTTCTTAGTACAAAACAAAATGAAAAGTCTCCCATGTCTACTTCTTTCTACACAGACACGGCAACCATCCGATTTCTCAATCTTTTCCCCACCTTTCCCGCCTTTCTATTCCACAAAACCGCCATTGTCATCCTGGCCCGTTCTCAATGAGCTGTTGGGCACACCTCCCAGACAGGGTGGTGGCCGGGCAGAGGGGCTCCTCACTTCCCAGTAGGGGCGGCCGGGCAGAGGCGCCCCTCACCTCCCGGACGGGGCGGCTGGCCGGGCGGGGTGCTGACCCCCCCACCTCCCTCCCGGACGGGGTGGCTGCCGGGCGGAGACGCTCCTCACTTCCCAGACTGGGTGGCTGTCGGGCGGAGAGGCTCCTCACTTCTCAGACGGGGCGGCTGCCGGGCGGAGGGGCTCCTCACTTCTCAGACGGGGCGGCCGGGCAGAGATGCTCCTCACCTCCCAGACCGGGTCGCAGCCGGGCAGAGGTGCTCCTCACATCCCAGACGGGGCGGCGGGGCAGAGGCGCTCCCCACATCTCAGACGATGGGCGGCCGGGCAGAGACGCTCCTCACTTCCTAGATGTGATGGCGGCCGGGAAGAGGTGCTCCTCACTTCCTAGGTGGGATGGCGGCCGGGCGGAGACGCTCCTCACTTTCCAGACTGGGCAGCCAGGCAGAGGGGCTCCTCACATCCCAGACGATGGGCGGCCAGGCAGAGACGCTCCTCACTTCCCAGACGGGGTGGCAGCCGGGCAGAGGCTGCAATCTCGGCACTTTGGGAGGCCAAGGCAGGCGGCTGGGAGGTGGAGGCTGTAGCGAGCCGAGATCACGCCACTGCACTCCAGCCTGGGCACCATTGAGCACTGAGTGAATGAGACTCCGTCTGCAATCCCGGCACCTTGGGAGGCCGAGGCTGGCGGATCACTTGCGGTTAGGGGCTGGAGACCGGCCCGGCCAACACAGCGAAACCCCGTCTCCACCAAAACCAGTCAGGCGTGGCGGCGCGAGCCTGCAATCGCAGGCACTCCGCAGGCTGAGTCAGGAGAATCAGGCAGGGAGGTTGCAGTGAGCTGAGATGGCAGCAGTACTGTCCAGCTTCGGCTCGGCATCAGAGGGAGACCGTGGAAAGAGAGGGAGAGGGAGACCGTGGGGAGAGGGAGAGGGAGACGGAGAGGGAGAGCTCCTAATTTTGTATTTTTAGTAGAGACGGGGTTTCTTCATGTTGCTCAGGCTGTGTCTTGAACTCCCGATCTCAGGTGATCTGCCCGCCTCGGCCTCTCAAAGTCCTGGGATTACAGGCGTGATCCACTGCACCTGGCCCCAAGCTGCTAATTAAAAAAAGAAATGTTTTGTAGAGACAAGGTCTAACTTTGTTGAACAGGCTGTTCTTGAATTCCTGGGCTCAGGTGATCCTCCTCTCTTGGCCTCCCACAGCACTATGATGACAAGTATGAGCCACCATGCTCAGCTCAGAAAGTACTCTGAAAGAACTTATTTTTTTCCTTTGAAAGCACGGAGAGTCTACGGCCATACACCCTGAACCCACTCGATCTCATCTGAAAGCAAAGAGACCCATCTTGGCTGGGGGAGTCAGGGAGGGCTTTCCCTGTGGAGGAGTCTGAGGAGCTGAAATCTGAAGGACCAGGAGAAAGTTAGCAAGGTGGGATGGCCTCAAGGGAGGACAGTCTTGGAGGAGGAGGGGACAATACTGCAAAATGCCCGAGGTGGGCAGGCCCCAGGGGAGTTGGAGTATCTGGACCAGAGTGCAAGGAAAGGCTCCTGGGAGGTGGGCGGGGTCGGGGGTGGGACCCTGTGGAAGAGTTCAGGCTTCCTCTAAGGGCATTGGAGATCCCTGGAGGATGTTACGGGAGGAGACACATGGCTAGATGTGAGATCTGATCTGCCCTCATGGAGATGGGAGTGGGTGAGCATGGAGGGCAGATGTCTTGGTGAGATCAGACAGGGCTGGGGTGCAGGGAGCAGGAAGGGGAGTGTGCTGGAAGGCAAAATGGAACTGGGAGTTGTACCTGGTTGACTGGAAGGGAGAGAGACACCCCAAGGGGGCCCCCAGGGTCTCTCTCTGGCTTGAGGGGGGGATCCTGGGGAATGGACCTGTTTGGAGAAAGGGTCAGGAGTTTGGCTGTGGGTGTGTCACAGTGGAGTCCCCAAGTAGAGTGTCATAGACAGGTGGATATGATGTTTTGCTTGCAGCGGAGGTCTAGGCTGGAGTCACGTGGGAGAGGGTGGTTTACAGATGGGGCAGGTCAAGGGCAAGGTTGAGACCACCGCGTTCGAAAAACCGAATGAAGGCTTACCACGCATAAGGCATCTTGTTGGGCCTCCTGGGGTGGCCTATCTGGGAGCCGCGAAGCTGCCCCCCAAAGCTCTCAACGTGGGTGCTGGTGGTTGTGAGGCTCGTGTTTAGAAAGCACACAAGTCTTGAAGAGCAAGAGCGAGAGAAGGCTGAGCACAGGGGCTCACGCCTGCCCTCCCAGTGCTTTGGGAGGCTGAGGTGGAAGGATTGCTTGAACCCGGGAGGTGGAGGCTGCAGTAAGCTGAGATCACACCACTGCACTCCAGCCTGGGCGACAGAGCAGGACTTTGTCTCAAAAAAAAAAAAAAAAAAAAAAAAAAAAAAGTCCGGGCATGGAGGCTCATGCCTGTAATCCTGTAATCCCAGCGTTTTGGGAGGCCGAGGCGGGTGGATCACGAGGTCAAGAGATCAAGACCATCCTGGCTAACATGGTGAAACCCCATCTCTACTAAAAATACAAAAATTAGCTGGGCATGGTGGCGGCACCTGTAATCCCAGCTACTCGGGAGGCTGAGGCAGGAGAATCACTTGAATCCAGGAGGCAGAGGTTGCAGTGATCCGAGATCGCGCCATCACACTCCAGCCTGGGCAACAGAGGGAGACTCCGTCTAAAAAAAAAAAAAAGACACTCCTTGGCCAGTCAGCACCCAGAGCCCACTGCCTATCTGGTTCTGGTCTCTCCCTCAACCCAGCTTAGCACAGAGCGGGGCCCCCAGATGGCTCAGCCTTTGCCCAAAGAAGGGAGGAACAGGCCGGGCATGGTGGCTCATGCCTGTCATCCCAGTGCTTTGGGAGGTCGAGGCAGGAGGATCGCTTGAACCCAGGAGCTCAAGACCAGCTTGAGCAATAGAGCGAGATCCCATCTCTGAAAAAAAAAAAAAAAAAAAAAAAAAAGCCAGATGTGGTAGCATGTGCCTCTGTAGTCCCAGCTACTTGGAGGCTGAGGTGGGAGGATTGCTTCAGCCTGCGAGTTCAAGGCTGAAGTGAGCCGTGTTTGTGCCACTGCATTCCAGCCTGGACAACAGACTAAGAAAAGGAAAAAAAAAAATAGAGAAGACAGGTTTCTGTCAGCACACATTGAGTACCAACTGCACACCAGGAGGATGTAGAGATTTAATTCAAAAAAACAAAGGAGAAACCCTGGAGCGCTCACGGGGAGTGACATAAACCCCCAGCAGGTAAATCCCAGCTGCAGGGTGAATCCGTGAGTGGAGAGGGTCAGGGATGTTTCTGGAGAAAGACTGGCTTTGAAGAACAGGGTAGGATCTGATGGGCAGGCTAGAGGTTTGGGGAAGGGTGGATGGAAGGAATTTCAGGCAGAGGGAAGTGCTCAAAGCAAGGATCTGGAAGCAGAAAGCAGCCAGCTGCACTCAAAAGAATGAGACTCGGCCAGGCGAGGTGGCTCACGCCTCTAATCCCAGCACTTTGGGAGGCTGAGGTGGGCGGATCACCTGAGGCCAGGAGTTCGAGACCAGCCTGGCCAACATGGAGAAATCCCGTCTCTACTAAAAATATAAAATTAGCCAGGTGTGGTGGTGCATGCCTGTAATCCCAGCTACTCAGGAGGCTGAGGCAGGAAAATCCCTTGAACCGGGGAGGCGGAGGTTGTAGTGAGCCTAGATCGAGCCACTGCACTCCAGCCTGGGCAACAAGAGCAAAACTCTGTCAAAAAAAAAAAAAAAAAAAAAAAAAAAAAAAAAGACTAATTTTGACTGATGTTGGGGAGTTGGGTTAGAGGAGTGGGAGAGAAGAGCAGGATGGATCCAGACAGAGCGTGGGGTTCTGCATGGATGCCAAGGAGCCTGGGCTATGGTCAGTAGGCATCTCCGTTTGTTTGCCTGCCTGGCTGAGGCAGTGGCAAACAGACGTCATCTCTGGTGCCAGCCCCTATTGATTGGCAGTGGCTGCCTGGAGAGGGGTGTGGCAGAGTGCGGTGATCAGCTAGCCATGTCTGCTATGGGCACAGGCAGGGAAGGATGCATCTTGTATGCTGAATAGTTCACTCTTCTGCCATGAATATTGAGGGCAGGGGGGCCATTCAGTGTGTGGGGGTGTCTATCAGAGTCTAGTGAGCTTGAATTCAGGTCTAGGCTAGAATGGAGGCAGAGGGAACAGCAGAGTCACGCTCAAGTGACATTTGGGATCTTAGAAGCAGTCAGGGGTAAGTAAGGAGGGGGCCAAGGATAGAGCAAACTTGAGCCTGGGAGACTGGAAAGAGGAAGATATTCCTAACGAGAGTTTTTTAGGGGGTGAGCAGAGAGGAGGTGTTTTTGGTGGCAAGGCTTCTTTGGGAAGCAGCCCACCTCCGTCCCTGGAGGTGCTGTCCTGGATGACGGTGGTGACGGTGGCTAACTCTGGCATAGAGCCTGGGTCTCTGACCCCAGGGCCAGCACCAGGGAGTGAGTGTGACCTTAGGCTCTCCCCTCTCAGAACTTCAGCCCTGACCCCTCCCTTGAGAAGGGTCTGAGGTCGGCCACCTCCTGGCCACAAGCCTGCTCATGACCCTGCCCCTGGAACTCACCCAGGAAGTGAACAGGGGCATCTGACTCCCGGTACCACCCGCGTGGCCTCAGGCCGGAGGGGAGTGGGAAGGAAGGTCAGGAGCGGCACCTCTGGCATCCCCTCCCCACGCCTGCCTGCAGCTCCTGCGGCCATGGGGGTTTGTGGGAGGCACTTTAGGTGATGCTGAGAAACCACAGGAATGACGCGGCCTTCTGGGAAGCTGTGCTGGAGAGGAAAGCAGGTGAGAGCCGGGAGGGGGGGCTCGTGCTGGCCGAGGCCTCTCCTGTGGGAGCCTCCTGCTTCCCCCCCCGGGCGCCTAAGCCTGTGAAACCCTGGTGTGTGCTGCACTGGCCCGGTAAGGAGGAGGCCCCCCTTCACTTCTCTCAGGTTTGGTTTTTTACAAGATTCATTTATTAACTATGATACAGATCACATAAGGCCTTTTGTTTTTTACACCATTCCCATTGAGACAAGTACAATACTTTGTAGCAAATACATGATTTTAAAAAACAAAACCAAACAAAAACACCTCAGTCAGAGATGCCTCAGCCTTCATTGAGGGCTGACCATGCACTAATCAGGTTGGAGCCTCAAAAAACCCACGATGTGTTTTTAAAAAAAAGTCTGGAAATTAAGCAAACATTCCTAACACCAGCTAGACGATGTTCCGGTTAAAGCCCCTAAAATACAAAGAAATAATTGTTATACTTTCTTTACATACAGGTCTTCACTTTTGCTGCGAAACAGAATTTTGGGCACACAGCCAGACTACTAACACATTTCAATACCATTAATATGTTTTGTTTTTTCTCAGAAACTCAAAATATTTGTTAATTCAACATATATAAAGATCATTTAACATGTGAAAATACAAGTACCAGAAAAATAAGCTGGCAGCAGCACTATTCCAAATTTTCAAACAAGTTTTATTTCCATACAATTCTGACATTTCCGTTTTTTTGTTTTTTTCTTAAATGTACACAGGGAACATGATTCTTTTTATGCAAACAATAACTTAGGCCTGTAGCATCGCTGCCGGCTCCGCCACGGGAGGGCTGGGGGAGGCCAGCCCAGGTCAGCAGTGGCCGAGGTGACAGACCGCCTCCTGCTCTGTCCCCCGCGCGCGCCGCGCATTGGCCACGCTGCACCGACCGCACCGCGGCCGCGCCCCCACCGGACCCGCGACAGAAACTGCCCCCTTCCTGGGCCACTTTCTGACCTGGACACAGACGATGTCCTCCGAGGGAGGGAGCCCACCCCCGTTACACCTCAGAGCCACGAAGCCGGCGCCCGCTCCCTGCCGCAGCTTCCCCGGATCCCTGCGCTGCCCTCGGGAAAGCAGCGACTCAACCAGACCCAGCCCCCCGCGCGGCAGGGGCCCTCCTGGCCACCGCACCCTACTTTTTCTAGCCGGCGCCCCCAAAGCAGTGGCTTCTCATAGGAAAGGATGGGAGGGGGGCGCAGCTGAGGTGACTCTTGATGACAAGTCACTGCAGCTGGCCTGCTGTGAAGTTTTGTGTGTGTGTGTGTGTGTGTGTGTGTGTGTGCGTGTCCAGAATGCCTGGTGGCCTGCGGGGGTCTTTACCAAGGGGATGCTGGCTTGACCCAGGCCTCCTTTCCCTAAGAGCAGCAGGAGCTGAGTGAGGCACAGGGATGCCCCCATCCCCTTCTGGCCAGCGAGCTGCTCCTATGATGTCACCCTCTGTCCACCGTGACAAAGACAGACACATCCTGCAGAAGAATCTGGGTCGCAGCAGGTGCCCTGCCTCCAGCAGGAAGCAAAACCAAGGCGGTGGAGGCAGGAGAGCACGGAGACAGACGCCCCGAAGCTCTCTCCCTGTTCCTCCCCAAACGCTAGGCGATGGGAAAGACGGGGACAATGCAGAGTAAATGTGTGCCGTGACACCCAGTATGCGACACAAGCCAAGAATTCTAAGTGGATTCACGAGCCACGCCACCCAGCCTTGGGTCTTCCCTCTTCAGCCGTCAGAGCCAGGATCAGTCTCTGGCTTTGCACCAAGGGCTGCTGTCCCCTCACACGGTGTCTGCGCTCTCGCTGGGCAGGGGTGGCTGCCCCACGTCCCCATTCTGGACAAGCCAACGCCCTCCCACCCAGTGCTGAGAGCTGCATGCGAGTCCCATGAGCACCCTCTGTGCACACACCTTCCAGAACTTAGAGCCCCAACAAAAGCGGGAGTGGGGGCAGCATGGTCCCAACAATCCCCAGGGACGCTCCTCTGTGGCTCCCATGCAAGTGCCCATTTGGGCTGCACGCTTCCCTGACCGGACGCTGAAGGCCGGCCTGCCACGACTGGCCATGCCCCTCAAACGACCGAGATGTCCTCTAGTCCCTCAGCCCGGAGCAGCAGATGAGAGGCTGAAGTTAGCGGGGGAAACAAGAGGAACCCTGTGGCTTCCTGTGCATGGGGGCTCCCTTTGGACATAAGCTGCCACAGTCCCTGCCTGCCCACCTTGGCTGACAAGGCGCTGCATTGGGAGTGCCCCAGACCTAGTTTCAGGTACTTCTGTGAGGAGAGGGGTAGAGAGCCCAGGTGCTCCTCCTCACCACCCCCTCCACACTCCTGGGGAAGTCACTGGCCGCACATACATCTGTGGAATCGGGCCAGGTGGCTTGGGACGTGGCTTTTGTGCTCACACAAAAGAGGTGGCAGTGTTAGCTCAAGCAGTGAGGGGGACTGGGCTGCTTTTGCCTGCGTTCACACAGGGACGGCCCAGGGCACCACCATGCTTTCCCTCCACCCCCAATTACGTGAGGAGCTGACCAGGTGAGCATAACCTCGAAAAGGGGGCGGGGTCAGTAAATGGGGCCGTTTCCTCATCTGCTGGGGTCCAGGGCTGGGGGAGTTTGGGAACGTTTCTGCCAACCTCAGCTAAAACGAAACACAGATGTCACCTTCCAGCCAACCCTGGGCCTACAGGGCCAGGCACAGCTCCACCAGAAGAGACAAAAATTCATCATCCAACATTCACAGAAAACACGCCTGAACCCTGGGTTTGTTCTCCGATTTGTGTTCCTCAAAAGGCGGTAAAACTTGCAAGGTTAGGTGTTTCCAAGCACCTTCGTTGGCCATTGAGAACTGGAGACAGTGAGCCAGCCGTCCCCAGAGGGAGCTCGGGAGCCGAAGGGCCACTCCCGTCTCCAACCACTGCAGGCGGGCACGGGCAGGGCAGCTGCAGACGCCCGGGAAAGGTGTCCATCAGGCCCCCTGGAATACACCACAGATCCTATTTCTTAAAGTGCAACGAGCCCCAAGGGCTGTCTGGCATGGGGCCCTCTGCACCCCACTAGCTCTCGCCTGGGGGGTGCCTAGTGTCAGGCTTCCTGGCCGCAGAGGCCACAGCCCAGCCATGCAAGTTTGAGGTGCTGGGGGGCAGAGGTGGCCAGGAGAAGAGCTTTTCCTGGGGCAGTGGGAAGGCTGGGCTAGGGTGGTGGTGGATGATATGCAGGCACAGCGCCTCTGGGTCAGCGAAGACCAGGAAGGATGCCCCTTCGAGGGCACCAGCAGACCGCCATTCCTTCAAAGTGCCCCACCTCGCCCACATCCCCATGAACACTCCTGCTGGTGGCCTCCATGGCTGGGATGAAACGATTCCACTTCAACACCCAACACACCAACCCCAACCCCAAGTGCACCTGGCACCTTCCAGCTGTCCCCAACCCCCCACCAAGCGCCCACACACACTCACACTCACATGTGCACACACACCCCCACCCCACGCACATGCTCAATTAGTGTTTCTATCGTAATGGACTGTGTTCTGGGGCAGCCCAGGTTCCAGCCTGCACTGCCATCTCCCCAGCTGTCCCCACCAAGGGCTCGAACCCTCTTCTTGGGAAAACGGGGGATCTAGCGACTAGACCTAAGTGGGTGAGTGGGACCCCAGCAGGCCCTCAGGCCACAGCTCCAGGCATCCTGGTTTTGCTGCCACAAAGACGAGGGTCAGCTCCACCTGTGTGCCTCCCTCCCTCCCGGCAGAGGCGGGCACAGAGTGGAATCTTGAGGTCTGTAGTTTTCTTTCTGTGGTTTCTTCCTTTTTAATTACTGGAAGGGTTTTTCCATTTTTTCTCCTAGTGTTCCTTTGTTTGCCAGGGAATGTTTCGGGAAGGCTGTGGAGTGGGACGGTGGGGATGAAGCGGGGAGTCCCACACTCTCTGGGTCCAGGCACAAAGCTATCCTCCGTTGTTCTGATCTGCAGAGCCAGCGCCCTCAGCAGGTACCTAGTGGTGGCAGAGCCGTGGCCTACACGTTCCCAAGGAGGCCGCCAGCCGGGCTGTACCCTTACCTTGGGGGTGTGTGCAGATGGAAGGTGGGAAGAGACAGACCAACAGGAAGTGTTCTCTTCAGGGGTTGCCAGCCCCACCCTGAATCTCAGAGCATCCTCCTCCCCGGCAAAGGCCAGGGCACTGTCCCGACCATGGGCTCTGTACAAGCAGAGGGAGGCACCCGGAGGCTGGTGTGAGCAGCTACGTGGGGTGGTGGTCCAGGGAACAGAGGGAGGGCACTGGAGCCATTGCCTGCCTAGTTCAGTCCTCAAATGGGTCCAAGCCAGCTCAGGTCTGCAGCGCCAGGCCCAGGGTACCTGGCAGCCCAGCCGATGGTACCATTGGCTGGTGCTCCCACTGAGGTCTTGAGAAGGTAATGGGGAGAGCCACTTGCCCCTGCCTCTGTCCCCAGTGGACTTGGTTTTGTTCAAGGCCAAATGCCACCCCGTCAGAGAGAGGACCGGTTCTCCTGTCGCCCCAGGTCTTGGTGGCTCACAGCGTGTGTTCGGCTTGAAGCTGGGAGGGAAGCAGTGGCTGCATTGGGGACTGGGGGGTGGGTGGAGGCGACTGTGGGGGCGACGGCTGACTTGTGACAGGCGTGGAAGTGAGGAAGGGGACGGTGGAAGCCACGGCAGAGGGGGAGCTGGGCCTGGCGCCGGGGGGCTCGGTGATGGGCCGATTGTAGAAGAAGAAGGGGCACTGCTGGATAAAGAGTTCAATGATTGTCTGGTAGGTGCGCGTGGCTGTGAGGGCGTCCATAGTGCTGAAATCAGGTCTCATCAAGGTGGGCCAGAAGCAGATGGAGAGGTTCTCGCTGGTCATGAGATTCACCTTGTTGTTGTGGCTGACCCTGCGGGCGACACCAAACTCAATGGTCAGAACTGTGCAGGGCCCCACCTGGCCCTGGGCGCTCATGGTCTTCAGCACCCAGGCTGAGCCCACCTTTCTTCCCTCAGGTGGAGCAGAAAAGGCCATGCGCAGCTCTCTGTACCCTGCCCTGCCTGGGAGGCTGCGCCCTCAGTGTCCTCTCCCCTCCAGCCCAGTGCCTCTACATGGCCAACCTCGGAAAGGCTGCCTGGAGCCCCGCAAACCCCTGGGGGTGGATGGACCACCTCAGGGACTCACTCTGCAGCCAGCCAAAGCAGTGGCGGTGCTCCGGCTGTGACGAGGGAGGGAGGCTGAGTGTCCTAAGCCAGAGCGCCATCAGAGGCCACTCGGCCAGCAGATCTCCTCCACACACATGGAACTTCAGGGAACAACCATACGGCCTCCCGCCTGCGGCTGTGCTCCATGCCGGAGGCTGGCTGTCTCCTGCAGCACATCTCTCGAGGTGCAGTGTCCCGGTTCTCCCCAGCTGGGAACGTGAATGCTGTGAGAGGACTTTCAGGGACTCTGAGGTGTTTTTGATTCAGGAGAAGATTTCTGGAGCATCAGTACCAACCAGAAGATCTTCTCTCTCTGCCAGCTTTGGGACACAGGCCTACAAGAGGCCCCATGCCCGCTGGAGCTAAGTGCCCTATCTGGTGTTAGGCAGGTTTGAGGCCACGTGGGCTGCCCTCAGACAGGAGCAGGAGGGAGGCCTGAGGATGGGCGAGAGGCAGAGGCTCTGGGCACCGAGACCAGCGGGCACCATGGGAGGCCAGCCAGCACCCCTTCCAGGCCAGGGCCTGAGGCTTCTACTGGCTTGTGGACAGAGCCTTGTTCTGCGACACACTGACCCTGGCTGTCAATTTTCAGGAGGAAAAACCAACCAGAAGGCCCTGCGACTTACTTGTTTAGGTGAGAGATGACATACTTGAAGACTTCGTGGTTTTCCTTTGGAAATTTCTTTAATACCTCCTTAAGGGCATGCAACTTCTGCTCCCGGTCGTTGATTTCTGAGGAGAGAGAAAACCAAAGCCTTGCCTTTCATGGCCGAGGCTGGTGGCCACCCCAGGGCGTGCTCTGTGATGGGCCTTCTCTGAGGACAGCCCAGGGCTTTTGGATGACACTAACCCCACTCTTTCCCCCAAAGCCTGTGCCCAAGGCTGGCACACCTGGCAGTGGCACTGGCCCAGGGGTCTGGCCCACCTCTGTGTCCCAGGCCCCCGCTGAAGGGCGGCACTGTGTGCCTGGGGCTTCCTGGCCCCCACCACCCAAGACAGAACAATCTGGAGACACTCCGCCATAAAGAACACCATTCTTTGCTCATCCGGTTGCCCCTGGAGACAGGCATCCCTACGCAGAAAGCCTGCTTGCTTCCTGACCAGATGGAGACGGGCGGCCGCTGCCACCCACCCACGCCAACAGGCCTTCGAGGGAGGGAGTCAGTCGGTCATGAGACCAAGGCTCTGTCCTTTTCCTAGAGACACAGGGACCGTCCACACATCCCCGTTGGAGGGGCTGATGGAAACAGTGGGGGAATTCTTATGCACTTCACCAAAGGAACTACGCACCCCCTTTTCCCCCAACGCCCACACTTTGCCTATCATGGAATCCTAATGTCCTGGGGGAGGGAAAACAACTGCCTGGAATGCAGCTTGTAACCCGCGCCAGGCCCAGTTCCATGAGTCCCCACAATCGTGTGAGGCAGGAACTCGTCACCCCATTTTGAGGATGAAGTATCTGAGTTTAGAAGTTGCAGAGCTGGGACTGGCTGTGGGGCCTGAGCTGTGGCCACTGGGCTTGCCATCCCCGAGTGGGTGTGGCCCACCTTGACTGGGAAGGGCATCGGGGCTGGTGAGGCACAAACGTCCCAGAGCCCACCTGGAGCCCAGCTGGCTAAGACAGATTTCTCTGTGCAGGGAAAGATGCCCCCATGTTTCCTTCGTGGACTCCAGGGCTCAGAAGAACCACAGGAGGGTCTCACGAAGGAGATGGCAGCGACCTCACAGCTGGCGGCTGTGGGGGTGGTGAAGAGAGGCCTGTTAAAGCGCAGATGATTGCTAATGGGCCCGGGGGCTCGGGCTCCTTTGGGATAGATGATGGTGCCAGACCGTCTCGGCCGGAGACATATGTGTGCCATTCTGCTGATGAATCCGGGAGGGGTGCGGACTCCCTGAACCAAGTATTCTTTTCTTTCTTTTTTCTTTTTTTTTTTGAGACGGAGTCTCACTCTGTCACCCAGGCTGGAGTGCAGTGGTGCGATGTCGGCTCACTGCAAGCTCCGCCTCCTGAGTTCACACCATTCTCCTGCCTCAGCCTCCCAAGTAGCTGGGATTACAGGTGCCCGCCACCACGCCGGCTAATTTTTTCGTATTTTTAGTAGAGACGGGGTTTCACCGTGTTAGCTAGGATGGTCTCGATCTCCTGACCTCGTGATCCACCCACCTGAGCCTCCCAAAGTGCTGGGATTACAGGCGTGAGTCACCGCGCCCAGCCCTGAAGCAAGCATTCTTTGGGAAACCCATAGCTTCCTAGTCACCTTGCAGCAGGTGACGTACCCAGAGGGTCAGAGTTGGGGGAGTTGCACAAGCACCCTGGTGAGAGTGAGACTTGGAAGAGCAGACAGAATGCCAATGACGGGCACGCTGAGCAGGGAGGAAGGTCCTGTGGTGGTCTGGAGTCCAGATCCTGACTCAGATGGCCCTGGTACAAATCCGGCCTCTCGCGTCAACCGTGTCACCTTGGGCAAGTGACACCTTAGGGTGAGTCTCCTTGTCTGTAAAAGGGGCTGTGGACAGTGCCTCCTTCATTCGGTGACACCTGGCAATTAAATGAAGAGTTCACAGCTGGACACAAAATAAGGGCACCTGGGAGCCAGTCTACTCGCAGGAGCCTGTGGGGAAGGGAGGCCGCAGGGCTGGAAGGGACAGAGCTCCAGGAGCTCTCCCGGGCAGCCTAATGAGGAGGAATGAAACCTGGCAAATCTGTGGCCTTGAGAGTGTGACTTGATAAGAGCAGTGTCTTGGTAACATCTGTCTATCAGAAATGACTAAAAAAGTCCTGGGAGCTAGTTATTGGGCTATGAGCAGCTTCATCTCTCTGAATCCAAGGTTTATTTTAAGGGTTCCACCTCAAGGGCACTTTCTTTTTTTCTTTTTTTGAAATGGAGTCTCGCTCTGTTGCCCAGGCTGGAGTGCAGTGGCGTGATCTCAGCTCACTGCAACCTCTGCCTCCCAGGTTTAAGCGATTCTCCTGCCTCAGCCTCCCAAGTAGCTGGGATTACAGGTGCCCACCACCACGCCTGCTAATTTTTGTATTTTTACTAGAGACGGGGTTTCATCACGTTGTCCAGGCTGGTCTGGAACTCCTGACCTCAGGTGATCCACCCGCCTCGGCCTCCCAAAATGCTGGGATTACAGGCGTGAGCCACCGCACCCGGCCATGGGCACACTCTTTTCTACGACCTTGAGTCTTCAAACAATTCATTGTCATTTTACAATAAAATGTTTACATAAACAAAGTAAACTGCTGTAGGGAGGACAGAAGACCGTATTAGAAAACACAAGCAGCATGTGTGTGGTGTAAAGCTTCACTTAATAAAATCGTCATGCCCCCTTCCAGCTGCTAGCTTGGCACAGGAGGACACAGGTCTCTCCGTAGGTGCCTGCACGACCCAAACACAGCTGTGTTTGTCTTAATTAGGCATCGAGTGGTAGCACCTTTACATAAGAGCTGGGTCTCATCCCGTCCTCTGGCTGGAGGCAGGAAACGGGGCTGGCAAAGCCTAGGTCTGCCAGAGATGCCTGCTCTCCTTCCTATCTGATGAGTAGCAAGGCGGGTGGTTTTGTTTCTTCTTCAGGGGGTGGGGAGGGGCAGGGGTGGGAGTTACAAAGCCTGCATTGATAATAATTTAGGGGCCGGGCGCGGTGGCTCAGGCCTGTAATCCCAGCACTTGGGAGGCTGAGGTGGGTGGATCACTTGAAGTCAGGGGTTTGAGACCAGCCTGGCCAACATGCCAAACCCCATCTCTACTAAAAATACAAAAATTAGCCAGGTCTGGTGGCGTGTGCCTATAATCCCAGCTATTTGGGAGGCTGAGGCAGAAGGATCACTTGAACTTGGGAGATGGAGGTTGCAGTGAGCCAAGATCGTGCCACTGTGCTCCAGCCTGGGTGACAGAGCAAGACTCCATCTCAAAAAGAAAAAAAATAAATTTAGGGGCTGCCCCCTAGAATCCCAGCCTCCTTCTGCATATGCACCTCAGCCGAACGCCTAGTGAGGAGCGGGTGGCCAGTCTCCTCGCCTGCTCCCCTCCCCACTGGCTGCCTGGTCCAGGTGCTCCTGAGTACTGAGCAGCACTAGGAGCTCGCTGGGCAGAGGTCAAGGAGGGCGAGAGGCCCTTCTGCTCAAGTCTGGCCCACACTAAAAGCAAGGTCGACCTTGTGAACATCCTTTGACTCAGCCCCATTCACCTCTTTCCTTAAGCAAAGCTTGCCCTCACCCCTCTAGGGCCTCTCTGGGGAGGGACCTACTCTAGGCTCCAGCTGCAGCCTCTTCACATGGCAAAGGCACCAGTAGCTGCTTAGGTTTGGGTGCTGCCCAAGTGCTGGCAGGACAGCTTCACAGTGCTCTGTGCATGGCCCTGACCGCAGACCCGAGTGGAAGGTGGGGCTGGGCGTTACCCATATGGTGGCTGAGAAACCCACTCCAGAGGCCAAGAGAAGGCCACAAGGCTGGTGATGGCAAAGGTGGATGGGACCCAGGCCTGTCTCCCAGCTTAGCCCATCTGCTCTGGGTCCCCGCCTCCCTGCACGCGGCAGAGCCCTCTCTGACTGTAGTAATCCTCTGACAGGACAGGGGATGGGGGGCCTCCAGGGTGCTGGCTTCACCAGCTAGGACACTTTTTTTCTTTTTGTGAGATGGAGTCTCACTGTATTGCCCAGGCTGGAGTGCAGTGGCACGATCTCGGCTCACTGCAACCTCCACCTCCCAGATTCAAGCAATTCTCCTGCCTCAGCCTCCTGAGTAGCTGGGATTACAGGCCCAGCTAATTTTTGTATTTTTAGTAGAGACGGGGTTTCACCGTGTTGGTCAGGCTGGTCTCGAACTCCTGACCTCATGATCTGCCCGCCTTGGCCTCCCAAAGTGCTGGGATTACAGGTATGAGCCACTGTACCCAGTCACACTGTACCCAGCCTTTTTTCTATACCCACCCTCCCCTGACTCAGGACTGGGGGAGGCACCAGCAGTGTCTGTGCCCTGTGTGGCATTTTCAGCTGCCCTGGTTGGAACCAGGCACAGGTCCCTCAACAGTCCTCAGCGAGGGAGGAGGTGACTCTGACCCAGAGGCAGGTGAGCATGAGAAGGGCTGGGCTGAGCACGTGGGGATGGGTGAGGTTGTGTGGTGACAGCGCCCCATTCTTGCCTTGTCAGACAATGCGAATTCTTTCATTCTCGGATTTGGGAGGCCCCTCCTCCTTGGGTCATTTGTTCATCCGCAGTGGGTGGGAGGAGCAGATATTTACGGGGACCCGCTCCTGCCTGGGTACTATTTTACACACTGGGGATGCAGTAGGGGACAAAAACCAAATTCCCTGCCGCTTACGGTCTAGTGGAAAGAGGGGAAAGGACCCAGTGGGTGCCTCTCTAGTCTAGGAGCTCTGGGCCGGCTCCTCGAGGCCTTCCTGGCCCTGCCTCTGTTTCCCCTCCTGACCACCATCCTCATCCCCGGCGAGTTCACGGCGCCTCTGGCTGGCTGCTACTTGCTGAGCACGGTGCTGACTGGGCTATCCCGCTCCAACCTGGGCCTGGGTGTGGTCAAGCACAGACTCCCGAGGCTCCAAGCCAGAGGCCTGGGGAACAAGCTGGTGGCCAAGAGCCAGCCCAGCCCGTGCACCCTGGACACCTTCTACCCTATGGTGCTGCCGAAGGCTGGGGCCACAGTCTGTGTGGACCTGGTCACAGGGCAGCGGCACACTCAGGGCAGCCACTCACCATCTTCAGTGGAGCCCTGCTGTACAGGGACCCCCAGCTTCAATAGGTAGCCCGCCCGGCCAGGTGTCTACACTGGCCAAAGAAACAGCAGGGGCAATGGGCTCCCTGGTGTCCCTACTGGGACAGGGCCGTCAGGGCACCCAGCCCTGGGTGAGCTGCTGCAACCCGGACCCGCCATGGTACAGGTGCCCAGGGTGGCTTCTCCCCACACCTGGCGTGTGCTGGTTTGTGGATTCCCAGGTCCGCTCGTCCAGACTTTTGGTGTAACCTCCACCCCCTTCAGAGTCCCCTCAGGACCCAGACTGTGGAGGGCCCGATCCTCACATCCTCTGCTCCCTCAGCCTGCCCTTTGGGAGTCAAGACACTTAGTTTTTTCTAACAACAACAACAACAACAAACAACCCATCCTGCTCCAGTGTGTGGTCAGGGGTAGACAGGAGTCCAGGGGCGTGGGCCGGGAGAGAAGGTGGCCTATGGAGGAGACCCCAGCCTCCACACTGCGCTCACCCCTTTGCTTGGCTTGGCTCCAGGTGGCTCTGCTCTTGCTCAGGGGGCGTGGGCTGGGAGCTGCACCTCTTCCTGGGACATCATACTTTTGAACTTAGGGGCCATCGACTGAGACAACAAGAAACGTCCAAGGGAGGCATTTTTGGGCCAGTTGAACCAAGACAGCCTGGACACAGATCCAGCAATTTAGTACAATAGAGACCCCAAGAACTCAGGAGGGAGGGGAGGGGACAGACAGAGGGCACAGGGACCTTACCGATTAGCTTCCCATACCTCTTACAAAACAGACACACCAGGCCTCACAAAGCCAGAATACCGGTCCAAGGTCAAACAAAGTGGCGGCAGAGACCCTGTTCCCAAAGAACACTCCTGCCCTGGCTGTGCTGCGCCACTTGCCATCACTGGCAGCCAGGCTGCCAACCAAGCTCTAGGCCTGGGTCTGCTGCTGCCAGCTCGGTGCCTGGAGGAAAGTCCCTGCTGGCCGCCGCTGACCATCTGCACGCCTGCATCGCCAGGAAAGGGAAAGCCCGGCTCAAGGTCACAGCCCTTCAGTGATCACGCAGGCTCGTCCGGCGTCGGCTCTCCCCGCCCCAGGTGGTAAACAACTCCAAGGCCAAGACCTCACTCTGCAGGGCTCAGGATGGAGAATCCAAGCTGTCCTTCCCCTGGAGACACGGCTTTGCAATCACCTGTTGAATGTCCTGTCCCACCAGACTGAGCCTGGGACCACATATGTGTGTGCCCACTGCCATCTGTCCCTGTCCACACGGGGCCTGGCTAGCTGTGAAATTAATGACCCCGTACGTGGGTGTGAGAAGCACCCCCGTGCCCTCGGGCAGCTATGTGGACAGATCAAAGGAAGGCAGGATCCCAGAACCAGTAACGTCCCAAGGCAGCTGGTGAACAAGAGCCCAGAGAGCAGCAGGGCCGTCCCCTGGTAACCTAGGCTGCACTGTTATCTCTAGCCCCAACAGTCTCATCTGTCAAATGGAAAGGCCGAGACAATGAGCTGGCATCCTGAACCATGTTCGGGTCACACATCCCCTTCAACAATGTGATGAAAATGACTGGTCTCTCCTTAAATTAAAAAGACTGAATTTTGTGAGCTATTACAGGGAGTTAATGCGGACCCTGGAGCCACAGGTCCTTTGGTCCTGACCCTCTGGCTTGAGACGGAGCCAGCTCTAGCACCCCTTCCAGCACAAAAGCCATAGGACAGGGCCTGTGGACACCAGCTGGACGGGGTCGACTCCAGATAGGCAGGGAGGAGGGAGTCACAGAGACGGGGAGAAACCAGGCAAGAGCGACTCTTGAAGGTGGGGGTGGGCTACAGGTAGGAGACAGAACAGGCAGCGCAAGCCTTTTCTTCTGCCTCCTGAAACCCTGGCCCATCTCCCCTGTGAAGCCCTCTTCCTCGCGCCTTCCTTGCTGGGGTTTGTGCACTTCAAGCTCAGCTTTGCTCTGTCTTCAGAGAACTTCATTTGCACCCACGTACGCAGGGACTCAAGCCCCGGCTTGCCACTCCCTAGCGGTGTGACCCTGGGCAGGCTGTATCACCTCTGAGAAGCTGTTTCCTTCTCTGTAAAATGGAGATGTATTATAATACCATCTTCCTCAAAGGAAGATCAGTGGTGGGAATCAAGTGCCTCGTGGAGAGCCGGGCCCAGCCTAGGCAGGCACACAGGCCATGGGCGGTGCGGTTGCTGCTGCTGTTCATTTCTGAATCTCCCACGTGTCACCTTGAGTGTGGGAGGAAAATAACTGGCAAATAATCACAAACGTCTCTATTTTGCGAGTACATTTTCAGCAGTGTTCAATATTGTGAAATTCTGGAGCTAACAAAACCATTTGCTAGTGACCTTGATATTTGTTGTGATGGGATTTGAAACTGGTTCCAAGGCCTGAACATATAGAGACACAATTGCTCTCAGGGATTAAGTAGAAAGAACTGGTCAAGTTGATGTAGCCATGGAAACCCCAGCCAGTCTGGGAAGAGCTACTTTGGGGCACAATCATCTTTTTTCCATAATATCCCTTAACACTACTAACTTTTGCACTGCCTGGTATCTGCGGCTCAGTTGAACCTGGCCCTGCAACATCCACAGCCCAGCTTTTCAGTCAACTGCTATGGCCGGGAGAGGTGCCATGTCAGCAAGATCTTCTCCTCTCCCACCCGCTTCGGTCAGGTTCAAGACAACGGAGCCCCCGCTGAGTACCGTCGGGGACAGGAAACACACAATGGGAAGAGGAAGTGGGAAACCTCCACCCTTTCCCAGGCTGCTGCAGTAGCAGCGGCCAGAAGCCACCTCCTGAGCAGTGGAAGCTGGGTGAGAGCTGCTGTGGGAAGGGTGGCTGATTCCCTATCAATAGCACCTCCCGTTCCTGCCGGCCCCACAACCCTACACAAAAAGGTGCTGTGTCAGCAGTTCCCGCAGAAACAATGGGGTTCTGCCGGGTGGCAGGATTTCACGCACCTCTAGATGGCGCCAAGTCAAGACAAATGCAGACAGGAATTCCCGGCTTCCAGCAAACTGGGTATCAGTCTACGCCTTCCTCTTTTCCTAACTTCCACTGTGAGACAAGCTTCCGTGGAAAGAAAGCTGGCTCCAGAATAGAGATTTCCCATGCGACTTCACATCTGTGCCTGCCTGGAGCCTGCTGGAGAAGTGACTGCTGGGAAAGCCTCTATCTTCAGACAGCAGGATCAGGGGAGAAGCCTGCAACTGTCCCCACCCACTAACTCCCCTGGAGAAACCCTGACTCCCGTCTTCAGAAAGCAGGCTACTCTATGACCCTCCCAGGAGTACCACGCTCTCCTGCCCCATCCCTGTGGGCTTAGATAGGGTCAGGAGCTGTGAACAATTCCAGTCAGCTAAGAGAGTGTGGACAGAATAAGGTGAAGGTGGCATCCAGATTGTGAAAACAGACACCATAGGAAGTGCAGACCCTGGAAGGATGAGCTTGGAGGCCCCGCAGCCCTGTCACTATTGAGGCTCTGACAGTTCAGGGGTGGGCTTCTTGCACACCTGTCTCCTTCAGATGCTACTAAGAGTCAGTGACCCAGGACTCGGGGCCATGCTGATCCATCACCTCCCTCAAATTTCTGCCTACACCATCAGGCTTGTGAATAAATTGTGCTTGTTTAAAGCTCCCTCTTTAGAGGTGGGCAGTGACAAGATGAGACTAATGTCTTGCCCCTGAGGAACACGTCTCCTTTCCTCTTCCCCACCCTCTGGTTGCTGGATCACAGGTGGCTGTGATCTCTGGGCAGCTAGCAGAGACACTCCCTTCTGCAGCTGCACAGCAAGGGCTGCTGCTGGGTCTTGGCCTGCCAGAGGCACAAAGCAGGAAGGCTGCTGATGACTTAAAAGGTAGTGAGGGCCACATGGTGGGACGCTCTGAGAGGTCAGGCATCCTCTGTGGTACTACACAAAGTCCAGGGAAAGGCTGGCCAGTGAGAAGGCTCGCCCATCTGGACAAACACCTCTACAGAGAGGCAGGCTGGGGCAGGAACAACTGATGAGGCAAGGTGGCATGGCACACAGGATACCATTAAAACCAGAGGTGCTAATTTGCTACAGCATCAAATGATTACTTGGCCAGGGCCACTGGAGTCATCTCTTTCCCTCCAGAGGCCGGCTTCCTAAGAGGCTGTAGGACCCTAGACCCATGTTAACTTCATTACATGAGAGGTAGGAGAAGACAGGTAAGAAGAGGGGAAAGAAAAATAAGACCTACTATTAAATAGGCTATTCACAGCCTCACTTCTAGGCCTTTCCGAATAGAATTTCATCCGCAGGAGTAGGGATGGTAACAACGGCAGGACACAAGGGGCAGGGAAGGTTAAGTCGGCCACAAGCGAAGGAGCCAAGTCTGACACCGAAACCATGCTCTTAACTAATGAGAGTTTGGGGGAAACCTGCAACTCTCTTGGTGTAACCCTCAGATAAGCACCTAAGGTCTACAAGGGCAGGAGCCCGATTTGCAAGTCCCATTGCTGTCATCTGGTTAATTCCCTTGCCCTCTGTCCTTCAAACCTCAGCTCTAACAGCCAGCATCCATTCTGAGGGCAGGACCTATTCTTCCAGTGCCAAGCCCTTTCTCCCTCAATCCGCCCAACACTGGGCTGCCGGTACTCACTGTGTGCTTCCACCAAGTCGATCTGCATGTTATACGGGACCAGGGGGTCAGGCAGTTCTGAGAAAAAGCTCTTCATGGCACCAGCCACGGTATTCACCGTAAAGTCTTTCTCTGCCAGGTCCAGGTTGTGGTCTGAAAGGAAGTCAGGAGAGTGAGGCCAAACCATTCTAAGCCAGGCAGAAGCATCAGGACAACTCGGGGCTCAGGAGAGGCTAGAGAAACCTCAAGGAGCCAGAGACGGCCTCAGGACTGGCAAGGATTGGAGGGGTGGGACTTGTGAGCGCTAACGCGAGTTCTGAGGTTCAGGCATGGGCTGGCCCCAGCACCTCTTTCCGAGACTGCTGAACTGCCCCTTCTACCACTCTCGGGGCAGGGGTGCTACCCCCACATGCTGGTTTTTGGTGCCAGGAGCTTGCCTTCATCTGGCTTTGATATGCTGTTGCCTCTTCCTTACTCCCTTCCCATCACAGAAGAAGGAGGCGGCTTTCCTAAAGGGTGGCTCGCTTTCCAGGTAGGTCACAAAGATGTTAGCAACCACTGTGACTGCTGCCTCCATCCTTGTCCCCTATGGTGGGAGGGCAAATAGGCTCATTTTTTCTCTCTCTGGCCCTTCCCAGCCACAGGCACCGCTGACCCATGTCATGCTTTCCTTCTCATTGCATACATACTTCAGTGCGTTCCTGATGACGAAGAAATCTCTACAGATGGACAGTACCAGGTTCCACTATGGGGGAGGTAAGCTGGTACAGGATCTCCCATATATACAAATGCATCCCACACTGGGGGCTCTACCCTCACTTTGGCCTCGTGTCTCCCACAGATTAGCAGGCGTTTCCCTGTCCTGCGGTCCCCTCTGCCTGCTGCCGGCCAGCTGAGCCCGACTGCGGTGCTGCAAGGCGCAAGGGCCGCCCACCTGGGAAGTGGGTGTGGTGTCCACTCTGGGTGGTGCCTCCTGCCCTGGCTGCTGATAGATGGGAATGTGCCCTGCTCTGGTGCTTTTGCTTCTGGCACTGGGGGACGTGGCTTCTCATCCCACAGTGTGGGCAATTCCAAGAGGTAGTTTGGCTGCCTGACTTTAGGCCTCTTGAAGCTGGCTCAGCTTAGGAGAAGGGAGTCCCTGCCAAGAGCTATGTAACTTGGGTCTCTGTCCCAAGGGCTCAGCTCCTCACACGATGGTCCCTCACTTTCTCTGGTGCTGGGACTTTGTGAGGAGGGTAGATCTGAGGCCCTGGCAAAACAGGATCACATCTCAACCCGACTTGTATATCATGTGCCTGCAACTAGCTCTGCATGGGAAAACAGGCAAAGCTCTTCAGTGTGGTGAGGGAGGCATGTGCCCGGGCAACCTGGAAGAGCATCTGTGAGTGGCAGTGTGGGGAGTGGCCTACATGACCCAGCTTGGGCAGGGATGGTGCTTCGGTTCACTGACAGGACCCGGTCCCCTCCTCCCCGCTGCAGCCACACATGGTCTCTTTCTCAGTCTCAGCACCTCGTGGCTTTGGGTCTGTGCTGGCAGGAGTGCTCCGAAGCCCCACAGACAGTTCACCGAGGCAGCTGTGTCTGCCTTGACCAGCTCTGGCCTCGGATGCCTGGCCAGGCTGCACTTTACCTTGATCAAACTGTCTCTGCAGACTCTCCATCTCAGACTTGTTCCCGCTGACCCGGTAGATGCCTTCCGTGCTCAGTCCTGAGGAGAAACAGGCAGGGTCTTAGGAGCAGGAACTGGAGAGCAGAGAATGAGGAGGGCTGGGCTCGAAGACAAGGAGAAAGCCAGGGAAAGTCCATGAGGTGCCCACCACAAGAGAGGAGCAGGCCTCAGCACACTCTCGTTTGATTTTTCTAGATGCTTCAACCCATCTGACCTCCATTTTCTTTTTCACTTAAAAATTTTAAAGTATTTGTTTTTTGGTAAAAATGGAAAGACTATAGAAGCACAGCAGCTAAAGATAACTTCTGTTCATATTTTGATGTATACTCTTGAGTTTTTCATTTTCATTTAAAAAACAGAGGTAGTATATATTTTAACCCAATTACTTTCACTTACAAAGTATGTTGTGAATTTATTTTAATCACTTCAAGTTCTTATTCTTTTACATGATTTTAAAGACACCAAAGTATATGATCACTGTAAGAATAGTCATGCTGTTAATCATACAGGGTTGGCTGGGAGCGGTGGCTCACGCCTGTAATCCCAGCACTTTGGAAGGCTGAGGCAGGAGGATCACTTGAGGTCAGGAGTTCGAGACCAGCCTGGCCAACATAGTGAAACCCCATCTCTACTAAAAATACAAAATCAGCTGGGTGTGGTGGTGCGCGCCTGTAATCTAAGCTACTTGGGAGGCTGAGGCAGGAGAATTGCTTGAACCCAGGAAGCGGAGGTTGCAGTGAGCTGAGATTGCGTCACTGCACTCCAGCCTGGGTGACAGGTGAGACTCTCTCAAAAAAAAAAAAAAAAAAGAAAAAAAAGAAAAAAAAAAGTGATACAGGGTTTTCCAAGTTTTTACTGTTAGAAAATTAACTTGCGCAGGGTGTGGTGGCTCACGCCTGTAATCCCAGCACTTGGCTCATGCTTGTAATCCCAGCACTTTGGGAGGTCGAGGTGGGTGGATAGCCTGAGGTCAGGAGTTCGAGACCAGCCTGACCAACATGGAGAAACCCCATCTCTACTAAAAGTACAAAATTAGGTGGGTGTGGTGGCACATGCCTATAATCCCAGCTACTCGGGAGGCTGAGGCAGAAGAATTGCTTGAACCCAGGAGGTGGAGGTTGTGGTGAGCCAAGATCGTGCCACTGCACTCCAGCCTGGGCAACAAGAGCAAAACTCTGTCTGAAAATAAATAAATAAATAAATAAAATTAACTCACAAGTATGTTTTTTTGACAACTAGTAAAAGCTTAACAGATTACTGGAAATAGGTATTTCTTACTTTGTGAATATCGTATTCATGTTCTTGTTAATTTTCCTAGTGTTCTTATTTTGAACTTGAGAAAGTCTATGAATATTAAGTAATTATATCAACGTTATATATGTTTACATTTTTCCTTTTTGTTATCTGTCTTCTAATTTTGTTTACTGAATTTGTTGAAGTATATAATTCAAAAATTTTAGGCTTTCAAGACCAGCCATTTCCTTTATGATGTCTTCCTTGGTTTTTATGCTTAGAATAGGTTTTTCCTATTCCTGTATCAGCTATTGTTTTTTTTCCTTCTAGTTCTTTTTATCAGTTAAAAAAATCATTTCATTCTGTGATCATTCTGGAACTTATTTGGTGTATAGTGTGATACAAGAAAAAAAGTAGTAAAAGTCAATTAAATACGTAAGTTAGAATAAAATATCAAGGGAAGGATGGGCTCCCACTCCCTCCCCATCCTACCGTGGGCAGAGGAGCACTGTTCAGCTTAGAGTGGATTCCAAGCTGTCTACTGAGTCCACTCACCCTGTCCTGGGAACGAAGTCCACTGTGAGCCATCAAGATCTCAAGGACTTTGTCGAAAGGACAGTGAAGTCACTGTGAAAACTGACATGGGGTCTCATGGCTAAAGCAACCCTGGGTCCCTTCTGAAGACTGGCTTTGAGCGACTCTGTCTTGCTGAAGGTGCACAGAGGAAGCACTGTGGGTGCTGCCCCTGGACAACAGAAACAGTGCCGACAGTAGAGAGCACCGGGCCCTGGAGTCAGTCAGGCTTCCGAGAGCCACGTGTTGGTTGTTATTGTCACTGCTACCTCTGGAGAGACAGCCATCAGGCAAGATAAAAGCAACTGGCCTGCCTGTTTTCTGGGGGTCCCAGACTTCTTGAGGCTTCAAGAACACTGGAGCAAGAGGCATCAATTCTCTGGCTTAAAAGCTGTTAATTGCACCAAGGCCCTTTCCCCGAGAGAAAAGGAGGTTAATGGACCAACCCCAGGGACATCCTACCAAGCAACGCCTAGTTACAAAGGAGCTGCCACTGCTGTACTCGCCTGGGAGAGTGCTGGCACTTTCCATATCAGAGTGGTCACACGCTGTGCACTGAGCTAGGTGCTTTGTCCCCATCCACCATTTGCTTGTTTATTAAATAAACGATGATGCCATTTAATCTCCCACACCTCATGGGAAGAGCTATTGGGTAGGTAGAGAATACACACATGAGGAAACTAAGATTCAGAAAGGTGAAGTCCTTGCCCCAGATCATAGCTGCTAAGAGGCAGAGTGGTCTGAGTCCGGGGACTCTGCCACTGTCCTGCCTCCTTAGTGTTCCAGAAGACACCTGGCTCAAGCTTCTGCTGCTTCCTATTAATCCACCAGGCTGGGGTACAGACCACAGCACCCCCGTTTCTCAGAAGCAGCACCACACTTGGGTGAAGCCCTCTGGCCTAAGCACCAGGGCAGCTTTTGAGATGGCACACCCGTACCCCCTGTGCTGTCGAGACCCTGCTCACCAGCACTAGTTAGTAATTTTTCCACTGACTCTTTTCTCAACTGCTCTCAAGACATATTTAAACTTCTACCTATTTCACATATGAGCAAGCCTTGGGTATGTGTCAGCAGGCTCAAGTCTTCATCTCCTAATTTGAAAAAAACAAATAAAACTAAATCTAAGTTATTTTCCCTTTCCCTGAATATCAGCCCTACATAATACAAAGAAAATGACAGGACAAATAGCACCAGTCTCAAGAGTCCGGAATAATGCAGCAATGTCACCGTTCCTGAGTCTCAGTGTAGAGAGGCAGTCTCCGAGCTGCAGAAGACCTGGCCAGCCGAGGGCCGCACATCACCTTCTGGTGACCCTGACCTTCAGCGGGACTGAGGACTGCTCTGCATTGCCTCATAATGGCCACCGGCCCCGGCATGAGAGGGCAGGAGACGAACTGCAAATTAGCGATCTGGCAATTATCAGTGGTGTGGACCTGCTGAAACTTCACTAGATGGATCGTCACACAAATGGAAGCACTGGAAAGCACGAGGCCGTACCAGAGCATCAATTAATCATCAACTTAGTACTTCCTGTCATCTGGGCACATGTTTATTTTACGCAATCCCATTTTAAAATAGCAACCCTGCTGCTGTCGTACACAATACCACGGCGTAATTTAGGAAAGGTAGCATTTGCTTGGCTAGTGCAATTTATCGTAACTACTAATTAGACATCAATTAAAAAAAGATTAAAAAAACTGAGAGCAGGCTGCAAACACCACCAAGGCTGCAGGGAGCTGGCAACCCAGGTGAGAAACAGGACGCTGGAAAGAGCACGGGCAGCTTGCCAAAGGCCTGAGACCACAGCAGGAAAAGGGCTGGGGTCCTGGAGCAGACCCCCTGGCAAAGATGCTGGATATTAAGGCATTTGTGTCTAGAACACCCCACTGTTCCTACATGGAAACACCCTAGGGGTGACTCTGGCCCACACCCGCCAGTGGCAGAAGGCAGAATTCTTACCAACAGTGACCTCCACCCACCATGTCTACTGCAGGCTCCCAAGTCCATCTGAGAAAGCCTCAACCTTAAACTCACAGGCATCCTTACCTACCAGAAATCTCCAAAGACCCATGTCACCAAAGCATAGCCTTGGCTGCAGGCCTTTTCTGTTTCTCTCCTTCTTTTTTAAAAGCCCTCCCTACTGGCTGCAATTATCTTCTATGTTTAAGTTAATCTTTGGAAATAGAACAAGAAAAAGCTCAGAACAGCCAAGATCACTATGTTCAAATATCTGAACAAGGCCATGTAGAAAAGTCTTGTTCCAATGGTTCTAGGGGACAGAGCTACAATCAAGAATGGGAATTACAAGGCTGGGTGCAGTGGCTCATGTCTGTAATCCCCGCACTTTGGGAGGCCGAGGCGGGCGAATCACGAGGTCAGGAGATCGAGTCCATCCTGGTTAACATTGTGAAACCCCGTCTCTACTAAAAATACAAAAAAAATTAGCCAGGCATGGTGGCGGGTGCCTGTAGTCCCAGCTACTCGGGAGGCTGAGGCAGGAGAATGGCGTGAACCTGGGAGGCGGAGCTTGCGGTGAGCTGAGATCGTGCCACTGCACTCCAGCCTGGGTGACAAAGCGAGACTCTGTCTCAAAAAAAAAAAAAAAAAAAAAAAAAGAATGGACATTACAGAATGGCAAATATTCTCTCAATATATAACTATTAACAGCCATAGCTGTTATTCATTGAAATAGACCAGAATTTTTGAATCTCCTCTCACCAGACAACCATCTGACTGGGGTACTGTTTAAAAAGATGAATACCTGGTCTAGGAAGCTAGCTAATAACAATAATGATAAGCCATTTATCAAATGCTTACTCTGTATGAGGCACACGGTGCTAAGTGCTTTCGTGCCTTTTCATAGCAGTTCTCACAATAACCCCTCCAGACTGGTGATTATTATCCCATTCTACAGACAGGAACGCTGAGACCAGGAGGTAAAGGAACATGTAGAGAATGAGTGAGTCGCACAGATGGGATTTGAATCCTACCTGAGTTCTTCTTCTATGATGCTCAAAATCACTATTTCTCAAGAGTGAGCATGCAGCAGAGTCACCTGGAGGGCCTGTTACGGTGCAGGTGCGGGGGCTCCAGCCACAGAGTTTTGGATTCAGTCAGTTTGGAGGGGAGCCCAAGAATTTTTTTTTTTTTTTTTTTTTTTTTTTTTTGTACACAAGGTCTTGCTTTGTCACTCAGGCTGGAGTGCAGTAGCACCATCTTGGCTCACTGTAGCCTCAACCTCCCAGGCTCAAGCGATCCTCTCACCTCAGCCTCCTGAGTAGCTGCGAGGGACTATAGGTGTGCACCACCACACCTGGCTAATTTTTAAATTTTTTTTTCGTAGAGATGGGGGTCTCACTTTGTTGCCCAGGTTGGTGTCAAACTCCTGGGCTCCAGCGATCCTCTTGCCATTGCCTCCCAAAATGCTGGGATTCTGGGTGTGGGCCATTGCGCCTGGCCTCAAAATCTGCATTTCTAATGCATTCCCAGATGATGCTGCTGCTGCTGGCCAGCGAACCACACTTGGAGAACTGCCATTCTAGAAGATGTGCCAGAGCTCTAAGGCTCCAGAGAAGTCTTAGTCAGAACTCTTGAATTCTATGATTCAATAAAATCAGGGGTAATATACCAGGCAAAATAGATACCACATACTTTAGGAACAAAGCACTTCCAAACAGCATGAAAACTGCTGCTTTTTATACGAAAACAAGCCCTTAGGCATTGCTTAATCTTTTTTTTTTTTTTTGAGACAAAGTCTCACTCTGTTGCCCAGGCTGGAGTGCAGTGGCTCAATCTCGGCTCACTGCAACCTCCGCCTCCTGGGTTCAAGCGATTCTCATGGCTCAGCCTCCCGAGTAGCTGGGATTACAGGCGCCTGCCACTGCACCTGGCCAAGTTTTGTATTTTTAGTAGAGATGGGGTTTTGCCATGTTGGCTAGACTGGTCTCAAACTTTTGAACTCAAGTGATCCGCCCGCCTTGGCCTCCCAAAGTGCTGGGATTACAGGCATGAGCCACCGCACCCGGCTCCTTTACACAGTTTTCAGTCTTGGTCTTCCACAAAAATACTTTGGCAGGGCAGGCGTGATGGTTCCCGCCTATAATCCCAGCACTTTGGGAGGCCAAGGCGGGAGGATTGCTTGAGCCCAGTTCGAGACCAACCTGGGCAAAACAGCAAGACTCCATCTCTACAAGAAATAAAAAATTAGCCAGGCATGGTGTCATGCTTGTAGTCTCAGCTACTTGGGAGGCTGAGGTGGGTGGATCATTTGAGCCTGGGAGGTTGAGGCTGCAGTGAGCCATGTCCATAACACTGCACTTCAGCTTGGGAGACAGAGTGAGACCCTATCTCAAAACAAAACAAAACAAAACAAAACAAAACAAAACAAAACAAAACACCAAAAAATACTTTGGTGACATAGGAAGACTAGACGGCCCTCCGGTGAGAGCTGGTGGGGACTTCCCCATGGACTAGGAACTGGTATTTCAGCCCTTCGACTGCCCTGTCAGAGCTGTGGTGGCTGGCCCTGCTCCTGGGAGGTGTCTGTGGCAGGACGGACACTAAAAAAATGGAGAGATGCCCCTCAGGAGCTTGGAAATCAATGGGGAAAATCACCTCCTTTCCTGGTATCCTGATTTTCTGAAATATCCAAACAGGTTTTGATCCTGGACCCCAGGCAGGCCCTTCTTAGCAGCAGTGCTGTCGGCCAGCGTCAGGCTTCGCCTCTGCTCCTTCACACCAGGACTCAGTTCCTCCAAAGTTTCCTTTCTAGCAACACATCAATACTTCCTCCAAGACGAACTCAGACTTGCTTATTTTTTACTTTCTATATTTAGATATAGAAACTCAGCACTTAGTCCTTTAAAAAAATTTAATTGGCACTGCTAGTACTCTAAAACACCCCATGCCAGGCAGGACTTAACTAACAACTTTTGTCGACTTTTCTGGAGTCTGGAAGCATCTAATAAACCATTCCCTTTTTCTTTTACACATGCAAGACTAAGTCTAAGGCAGGCTAAACTGCAAGGCCGGAGGGGTGCTGAGCACTCAGGGAGAGAAGGAAACTCTTTGAGCATTAAATTCAAATGGTCTTGAAGAGGACCGACCTCTGTGGAAAGGTATGAAGCCCTTCTTTTTCATCCAATGCTAACAGTGTATCTATGGTGTGTCTTCTGAGGACCACACTGCGGCACTCCCCCAATCTCACCTCAATGGAAGATCAAAGGGTGAGGGGGCAGGAGAGCATTTAGGTCAAAATCAAAGCAATCATGTCTCCATTTCCTTCTATGTGTAACAGAGATAACAGTTCTCACCTCATCCCCTGGTGGTATGTATTTAATGAGATCTTAGCACTTAGTGCTGAGAGAGTAGCTATTATCCTAATGATCTAAGTGGAAAGCTGGTTGGCAAGTGGATGAGCACCTGAGTTCTGCTGTCAGGGAGACATGGGTTCGAATCCTGCCCCTGACCTCAGCTAATCTGACCGTACAATGGAATAAATGAGATCGTCTATGCACAGTCCACTGCACAATGCCTGCCAGTATTCTTTTTTCTCTACACTCTTAACAAGCCTCAACAATGGCACCTGCCTGTAGGCATGACCTATTCTGAGAGCGTGGCCAAAACAAGACAGTTTGTAGAAAAACATTTTAAAACATGCATGGCTTTGACACCAAAATGACCTTGGTTCTGATCCTGGTTCTGTCTTATAGCTAGGCTGGGTGTCTGAGAGTAAATCGCCTCTCCTCTCAGGGGCTTGGAATCCTCATCCAAAATGGGGTAATGACATCATTAATGAGTCTGTCAAGATGCTGTAAATATTATTATTATTTTTGAGATGACAAGAGTTTCACTCTTGTTGCCCAGGCCAGAGTGCAATGTGCAATCTCGGCTCACTGCAACCTCCGCTTCCCGGGTTCCAGCGATTCTCCTGCTTCAGCCTCCCGAGTAGCTGGGATTATAGGAACCCACCATCACGCTTGGCTAATTTTTGTGTTTTTAGTAGAGACGAGGTTTCACCATGTTGGCCAGGCTGGTCTTGAACTCCTGACCTCAGGTGGTCCGCCCACCTTTGCCTCCCAAAGTGCTGGGATTACAGGCATGAGACACCGCGCCCGGCCCTCAATTTTCTCTTCTATGAACTGGAGGGCAAGGATGTCTGGCCTGAGAAGAACGACGGCCTCCTCTCCATAGAGAAGGTTTCCTCGCTGTGTCTCTCCGCAGAAGCGCTACTATTGAAATCACACGAGTCCCCGCAGCTCCCCCTGCTGCCTTCCTGCTCGGGAGGTGCCTGGGTGGTTTTCTGGCTGCTCTCCTCCTTGAACACTCGGGTCCTCTGTCCCTCCCCTGCCCCTTCGTTAGCTGTCTTCCCAGGTAATTCCCCTGTCAGTCAAGACCTGCTTCTTCCTGTGCCAGACTTTCCCCCCATGATAGAAGGCCACTAACACTCTATTACGATGACTTGACTGGGTGTGAGTGCCACAAGCAGGCACTGTGGCTTTATACATTCCCGATGCCAGCGATGCGCACACGGCCATGTCATAAATCTCAGGGCTGAGGAGGAGGGAGGAGGTGCAACATCGCACCAGGTCTGGGGGATCAGATGGCTCTAGCATCTGGCTGATCCTTCAGAAGCTGCCTATGCATTTGCTGCCATGAACCGTCAAGTAGGACTTCTGGACCTGCTCTGAGCCCAACAGGGGGCTCCATTCTTTTCCCTGACTTTCAAGAAAATGCATATCCCAACAGCTGGGCTTAAGAAACCACGCTGGCAAAGAACTTGAGGCCAGCCTAGAGCTGACACCCTGCCCATTCTGGAGGAAGAGTGTGGTCCATAATCGAGGTGAGCCGACTGCGCTCTGCAAAACGGGAGTGAACATTCAAAGCCAGGAGCAGCTGGGAGAGCCGTCCTGCCAAGAACGTGAGACGTCTTCATGCTCTGAAGTGTGACTTTGCTGGCATGCCCACGCAGGCCCAGTGGCACTGGAGTGATGGCAGTGTGACTCCGAGGAGAGCTGGTGCCACCACTGTGAGGGATCTTACAGGCTAAAGATCCACCAACAAAGAAACAGACCGCGAGCACAATACAGGTGTACTACATCCACCACATACACACCCCCCTACAAACACACACACATCCCACCACACACACCCCACCACACACACACATCCCACCACACACCACACCCCCCCACACCTGCCCCACCACACACACACACACGTCCCACCACACAAGCCCCACCACACACACACTTTCCACCAAACCCCACCACACACACACAGCCCACCACACAAACCCCACCACACACACACCCCACCACACACACCCCCACACCACACACACAATCCCACCAAACCCCACCATACACACACCCCACCACACAAATCCCCCACCACACAAACCCCCTACCACACACACACATCCCACCACACACACCAGACACATTCCACCACACACATGCCCCACCACACACACACACCACACAGACTCCACCACACACACATCCCACCACACACATGCCCCACCACACACACATCCCACCACACAAACCCCACCACACACACCCACCACACACACATACCCCACCGCACACACAGCCCTACCACACACACCACACCACACCCCCCCCACACGCCCCACCACACACACATCCCACCACACACACACCTCACCACACACACACATCCCACCACACACACACATCCCATCACACACGCCACCACCACACACACACATATCCTACCCCCCACACACAGACCCCACTACACACACACACAAAACACCCGCTTCCTTTCCACGGCAGGCCCAAGTAGAAAAGCCCCTTGGGGTTACAAGCAGATTCCTCCCAAGCATTAAGGAGGGCAGAGGTTAACTTCCTTCAGGTTCCTGATTCCCAATGACCCATGAAAGGAGGCAAACATGTCACCAATCACAGCCCAGTGTCCCTTCCTTTCCTGGCCTCTCTTCCCTAAGAAAGAATACTTTTCAGAGTCAGAAGCCTGTAAGCCTCAGGCAGGAAGGCTGATCCCAGTCCCTGCAATCTAGGATAAAAATCTAGGGTACAACACAAACTTCTCAACATGTGGCCTCGGGGGCTCCTGTCACCAGGCTCAAGCCTGCCACCCTCCCCTTATACTTCACTGCAGTCCTGATGAACTTGCAGGGCCTCCCTACAGTTGTTCCTTCCACTTTTACCTCTGTTCTGTGACTAAACAATGCTCCCTCCGAGGTCTCCCCTGACTCCTAGACTAAATTAAGTTCCTGTTATAGGATCCCAACAATTGCTTACATTTACGCAGTGCCGGCACTCTGGGCCAAGGCCAGCCATAAGCCTTTTACATGCACTGTCTCACCCAGTCCTCACACCAGCTCTGTGAGTTGTATTCTACCATTCTTCTTCCCATTTTATAACTGAACAAACTGAGCCACGTGGCAAACAGATGGCAGGGCTGGGATTCACACCCGGGCAGTCCGATTCCAGAGTCTGTGTTTAATCAATCACCACAAGGCACTGTCTCCATGCTCTTCCTGGACAGCCCTGGGCACCATGTGAAAGTCGCTGGATAGCTGTGTGATTAGCTGCTTAATGCTGGTCCCCTGGTAGACCCCTGAGTTCACAGGAGCAGGCAGAGTCCTCTCATCACCCGTCTGTGTATTGGGCTTGCACAGTAACTAGTACCAGGGAAGGCATTCAGTAGCTGTCTTCAGAAAGGAGGGAAGGAGGAAGAAAAGTGCAGCGTTTCTCCAGCTGAAGAGAGGGAGGAAGGCGACTCAAGTGTTTGTTCTCAAGGGGCCTGTGCCTTACTGGGGCCAGCATGGAGGAGCTGCTCCCTAAGCGGCTGGAGCATCCAACTCCTACTTTCCTTTCCAGATGTATTGAGGTTCTACATTCACCAAGAAGCCTTCTCCCTCCCCTTCTTCCCGGTAACTTCACTAGGAACGTAGTGGGTTCATTATTTCGCCACAGCCAGTCATGTGCTGCTGTTAAGTCTGGTCTCCAGACCTGGCTGTTAACTTTTACAGGGCAGAGCCATGGTTTGGCTGTGGCTGGGAGTCCCCACAGGGCCACGCCCCCTGCAGAAGCTGGCCACATTCTTGCTAATGGGCTGCTCTGTCGCCTTTTATCAGGGCTCAGCCTTCCCAGACTGACCTTATGCGGGTCTTAGATGTTTTTACAGTGAGTGTAACACGGAGGAGAAGAGGTTAGTTCATCTGTGCTTCACTGGCTTTGGTGAAATGAACAGGAAAAAAGCAGAGGTCAAGGAAACTGACAGGGGTTATAGAGGCATGGGGATTTGCTGGGTGTGAAACCTCATGAGCAAGGCAGCACAGAAGGTGTGCGTGTGAGTGAGATGAACAGACAGACACAGAGCAAGAGCAAGGGCCACCGGAGCCCCCAGGTGATAATTCAATGGCACAGTCAGGCCAGCTCCACCAAGGGCCCGAGAAGGTCCTGCAGCCGAGAGTGGGTACTGCTCCTTGGGACCACTCTCACAGGACAGCCTGCTGTACCGTCCTGTTTGTACTGCCTTGGCAAATATGGCAGGACAGGCCATGGGCCTGGTTGGCACGCTCAGGCCAGAGCAACCTGTCTGCCCGAGCTCCCCACCATGGAGAAGGCGAGTGCAGCCGGGACAGCCAGGCAAAGCAGCCGGCTGGAACCGTCTCGGGGCCTTGGGCCGCCACCCAGACTATTTCTGTCTTGGATGGAAGGCCAGGGTTACTTTGTGAAACAAGCTCTACTTCTCCTTGGCTGCTGGGCTCTCCAGGCGGTGTGCCAGGGCACACTGTTCTGATCAGGGCACTGGGGCCTGAGGAAATCCGCTAGCAATGCCGAGTCACAAGCTAAATGAACCCTGCTTATCTGGAACAGGCAAGAGCTGGCGAGCTGACTGCCTGCCTTTATGGCAATGGGGAATTTCTGGAATGCAAGTGACTTGTGCTTAACTTATAAGCAAGCAGAAAAACGGGAGGGTGGTGAGGAATGGTAGCAAAAAAAAAAAAAAAAAAAAGGAGAAAGCTTTGTTTTAAAACTATTTGGACTGTGGGAAAGCAATTTGTTAGTAAAACTAGAATTACAGGGGGAGGGAGAGAGATTAAGTAACAGACAGCCCCCATAAAAATCACAGCATATGAAACAGTATACCTCATATTTTAGCACTTTATCAATTCAAAGCAGTGCAAATACGGCAATTACTCACATAAAGCCTGTTGGTGTATTCAAGCTATAACCGTACCTATTAAACTGTTACAGTGATAGATGGGAGTATCTATACTGAAATTAGCTGCCTTCTCTGAAAGACAGAATTACATAGATCTAGGCTGACTGCAGGGAAATAGTAACTAACTGAATTTAACAGCTCTCGTCCCGCCAACTCTCCTTCATGATAGCTCTAGGAACTGGTGGCTATGATGAATGTGGAGGGAAACACGGAGGTTTTTTGCAGGGTGGCTGTTTTCCAAGTGGGAAGGTATTTGGTAAAATTCTGAATCTGCTCAGTCCAATGCTATAAAACTCACAGCTTCATCAGCCTAAAGCAGAGAAGACAGGAAAAGGGCTGGAACGTAGGCCTTTTCCATTCTGATGGGCTGTGAACGGCCTCTGCCAGAGGACTTGGGGATTTCTGTTTCCTCTTGTAAAAAGGGATTAGCATTACTTTGAGATTAATACTGTCCTCTGGCTCACGGGAGATTAACTAATAAACCATGTATGGGGTGTAAAGTGAAGAACAAGCCCCACACAGGCCCAGGATTCTCACTGTGCTGCCGCGGCACACTGGCCCCTGAGCTCCCAGCCCCAGGCTGGGCCCTCCCTGGTGCTCCTTCCAGATGTAGAGGCTGGCAGCCTCCTCTCCTGCGCACCCTCAGAAGGGTGCAGGAAGCCCACTAGCAAGGTCTTAAATTTAGGACCCCTGCAGGAGGGGATGGGGCAGTGTAGTAGAAGAAATATATATTTGGTTTTTGTCCCCGGCTCCTAGCACAGAGTTCCCCAAAGTCTTGGAATTTCCTGAGTGATAGAAGTATCTTTTGTTACTCATTAACAAGCCCCTTCTGGCCAGGCATGGTGGCTCATGCCTGTAATCTCAGCACTTTGGGAGGCCGAGGCAGGCCGATCACGAGGTCAGGAGTTCGAGACCAGTCTGGCCAACATAGTGAAACCCTGTCTCTACTAAAAATACAAAAAATTACCCGGGTGTGGTGGCATGCGCCTGTAATCCTAGCTACTCAGGAGGCTGAGGCAGGAGAACTGTGTGAACCCGGGAGGCGGAGGTTGCAGTGAGCCGAGATCGTGCCATTGCACTCAGCCCAGGCAACAGTGAGAGACTCCGTCTCAGAACAAACAAGCCCCTTCCAACCAAACCTGAGTTTCATGATAATGAGGTTACTCTTGTGGGCCCCTAGATAGTGCAGGATATGGGGGCTGGTCTCCAGAAAGACCAAACCTTTATTAGAGGGTTGGAACTGTCAGCCCCACCCACGACCTCTGGGGGTGAGGGGAGAGGGGCTGGAGATTGAGCTCAATCACCAATGGCCAATGAGTTAATCAATCAAGCGGACATCACAGAAACGCCATAAACACCCTCAGTGACAGGGTCTGTAGAGCTTCTGGGTTGGTAAACACATCGAGGTGCTGGGAGAGTGTGTATCCAGAGAGGGCACAGAAGCTCCTGGTGAATCGCCGCCCTTGCATACATCCTGTCCCTTGCATCTCTTCCATTTGGTTGTTCCTGAGTTATATCCTTTATAATAAATCAGCAAATGTATGTTAAGCGTTTTCTTGAATTCTGTGAGTCATCTTAGCAAATTATGGAACCCAGGGAGGAATGGGATGGTAACGCCAGACTTTGAAGGCAAGTAGGACAGAAGTGTGGGTAAGCTTACTTCTGGTTAGTCACCCAGTACTTGCAACTGGCATCTGAAGGGCAGTCTTGTGGGACTGAGCCCTTGAACTTATGGAGTCTAATGCTAACTTTGGGAGTTAGTGTCAGAATTAAATGAATTGCTAGACAGACACCCAGTGGTGTCAGAAAACTGAAGAAGTGGTGTTAGAAAAGATACACTTAGCTAGGTGTGGTGATGCACACCTGTAGTCCCAGCTACTTGGGAAGCTGAGGTGGGAGGATTGCTTGAGCCTGGAGGTTGAGGCTGTTGTGAGGTGAGCTGTAACTGTGCTATTACACTCTAGCCTGGGCAACAGAGCGAGATTCTGTCTCAATTTTTTTTTTTGAGATGGAGTCTCGCTCTGTCACCCAGGCTGGAGTGCAGTGGCGCAATCTTGGCTCACTGCAGCCTCCGCCTCCTGGGTTCAAAAGATTATCCTGCCTCCTGAGTAGCTGGGAATACAGGTGTCCGCTATCATGCTCGGCTAATTTTTGTATTTTTAGTAGAGATGGGGTTTAGTAGAGATGGGGTTTCACCATATTGGCCAGGCTGGTCTCGAACTCCTGACCTTGTGATCCACCTGCATCGGCCTCCCAAAGTGCTGGGATTACAGACATAAGCCATTGTGCCTGGCCCTCAATTTTTTTTTTGAGATGGAGTCTCGCTCTGTTGCCCAGGCTGGATTGCAGTGGTGCGATCTCTGCTCACTGCAAGCTCTGCCTCCTGGGTTCACGCCATTCTCCTGCCTCAGCCTCCCGAGTAGCTGGGACTACAGGCGCCCCGCCACCACACCCGGCTAAGTTTTTGGTATTTTTAGTAGAGAGGGGGTTTCACTGTGTTAGCCAGGATAGTCTCGATCTCCTGATCTCGGATCCACCCGCCTTGGCCTCCCAAAGTGCTGGGATTACAGGGATTACAGGCGTGAGCCACTGCGCCCGGCCAATTTTTCATTTTAATTTATTTATGTATTTATTTTTGAGACGGAGTCTCGCTCTGTCATCCAGGCTGGAGTGCAGCGGCACGATCTCGACTCACTGCAACCTCCGCCTCCCAGGTTCAAGCAGATTCTCCTGCCTCAGCCTCCTGAGTAGCTGGAATTACAGGTGCCCACCACCACGCCCAGCTAATTTTTGTATTTTTAGAAGAGACAGAGTTTCACCATGTTGGCCAGGCTGGTCTTGAATTCCTGACCTCAGGTGATCTGCCTGCCTCGGCCTCCCGAAGTGTTGGGATTACAGGCGTGAGCCACTGCAGCCGACCTGTCTCAATTTTTTTAAAAAAGAAAAGAAAATGTACAGATTTGTCAGGAAGAAAAAAAATCCTCAGGTAGTTAAGAGAGGTTTGGAAGTAAATCTTCAGTGCAGGGGAACAGGGTTGAATACTATCTGCCTGTTTCCATTGCTCTGTGAGTAGCCAGGACTCCACCTGATCTGTCTTCTGTGGGCTTCAATTCACTCCAGTAAAGGAAGGCAGTGTGGCTAGCAGGCAATGGCTCTGGGTTTGAATCCCAGATTCTGTCTTCATCCTTCTGAATCCCATTTTTCTTAAGAGAAAATTGGAAATCACAGCTATCTAATATGGTTGCTATGAGGCTTAAATGAGACTCATGGAAACACTTAGCACAGGGCCTGGCAATGTGAGCTCCAGCCTGGCACTTGGTACATATTATCTCTTTTAATATGTGCAAGTACTTTGCAAGGAAGCTACTTTTGTCTTCATTTTTCAATCAAGGACAGGGAGACTCAGGAGTGAAGGAACTCGCTCAGGGCCACATCTGTCATGCTGCCCGCAGACACTGCTTTCGTACCTCTCACGAAAGGCTGTGCGCCGCACGCCTAAGTCTAAAGAAAGAGCACTTCCCAGTTAGATTAAGCAATCTGGGAGTTAGTTCACCAGCAGCTGTAGGAAATCAGCTCAAGAAATAGTTGGCCTTTTGTCCTGCTGTGTCCCATCAGGACAACACTGCAATTTGTTCTCAGTTAGTTATAAAGCTGAAAATATATGCATATTACTTATTCTAAACACTTAGCTGGCCGGGAGCGGTGGCTCACGCCTGTAATCCCAGCACTTTGGGAGGCTGAGGTGGGTGATCACCTGAGGTCAGGATTTTGAGACCAGCCTGGCCAACATGGCGAAACCTCATCTCTACTACAAAAATACAAAAAGTAGCCTGGCGTGCTGATGCACGCCTGTAGGCCCAGCTACTCAGGAGGCTGAGGTGGGGGATCGCTTGAACCCGGGAGGCGGAGGTTGCAGTGAGCTGAGATTGTGCCACTGCACTCCAGCCTGGGTGACAGAGCGAGACTCCATCTCAAAAAACAAACAAACAAACAACACTTATTAGCCATTTCCATTTACAAGCTTGGTGGGTTTTTTTGGACAGCAGTTCTAGGAAAAACTGGGCTGATATTTTCTGAAGAACTGTGCACCACTCATCAGTGTTCTTAACATTGGGAGTTATTTCTGCAATCACATAAAAACATAAGTGAGATGGATGTATGTGAGGCCACCTCTCTGTAGGGAAGGATAAAACTGAGGGAGCCGGCCAGGTGCGGTGGCTCACACCTGTAATCCCAGCACTTTGGGAGGCCAAGGCAGGCAGATCACAAGGTCAGGAGTTTGAGACCAGCCTGACCAACTTGGTGAAACCCCGTCTCTACTAAAAATACAAAAATTAGCCAGGTGTGGTGGCGTGCGCCTGTAATCCCAGCTGCTCAGGAGGCTGAGGCAGGAGAATCGTTTGAACCTGGGAGGGGGAAGTTGCAGTGAGCCGAGATCACACCATTGCACTCCAGCCTGGGTGACAGAGCAAGACTCCGTCTCAAAAAAAAAAACCCCAAAAAAGAGAAACAAAACAAAAAAAACCCAAAAAACCAAGGGAGTCATTACACCCTGATACCCCCCAGAAGTTTGTCTATTTTTTTTGTGTGTGTGTGAGATGGAGTCTGGCTCTGTCGCCCGGGCTGGAGTACAGCGGCGTGAGCTCAGTTCACTGCAACCTCTGCCTCCCGGGTTCAAGCGATTCTCCTGCCTCCACCTCCCGAGTAGCTGGGACTACAGACGCACGCCACCACGCCCGGCTAATTTTTGTATTTTTAGTAGAGATGGGGTTTCACCATATTGGCCAGGCTGGTCTTGAACTCCTGACCTCGTGATCTGCCTGCCTCGGCCTCCCAAAGTGCTGGCATTATAGGCGTCAGTCACCGCGCCCAGCCAAGTTTGCCTATTTTTAGTTCATACACATGGAGGTGAGACACTGGAAATGGAGCCAGGTTCTACCACTCTAACACATGGAAACAGTTTGTTGGTTGCTATTTTCCCTGTGTGTCGTGTGAGTATACGTGACAATGACTGTCTGTTTTGGAGAGGATCCAATGGCAGGGGATGGGCACAGTCAAGCTAGAGGTCAGTTATAATCACTTTGGGGCCCATGGACTCACAGGGAAGCTATGCAGTCTCCTGTCACGGAGAGCTGTGAAGAGAAAATGATTTGATCTAGGCTCAATCATTCCACTTCGAGTCATCCTTTAAGTCCCAACAACTCTACCTCCCAGCCCTCCCTGGCCTCCCTGACCTCCTTTTGTAGGCTCTACATGGTTTAGGGTGAAATCTTCACCCTTACTAGATTATAAATCCCTTGAGAACAAGGCTGCATCATCGTCCTGGCTTGCTCTCGATCAGTGGTATAGTTTCCACAAACGCTGTGAATGAACAGTGATCTCTAACTTTTTCAGGGGAGGAGACGCCCCTCACTCTGATCTCCTGATGAAGGGTATAGACTCTGCACCATCCACAGGGCAAGTGTACACCTGGGTGTGTGTGCACACACACAAAATTTCCGCAGTAATGTTGAGGAGTTCAGACTTCCATAGCCTATCCACAGACCTTAGGTTAAGCACCCCTACGTAAGGAACATGCCTGCTTGCACAGTCCTTCAAGTTAGAGACTGCAGGGGTGTGAGTTTGCTCTCCCCCACATTACCTGCTCTACACTGCACTGGGTTCCTCAAATCACAAATATTTCTGCAAACACCAAGGATGGCTCTTGTAGCAGCAATATCCCATAGCATTAAGAAGTGAAACACAGCTTGTGTGCAATATATTGCCAATGGAAATAGCTTAGGGCTGGGTAAGGAAAAAGAAAAATGTTGACAGACTTAAGCCAAGATGAGATCTTGAAGTGATCAAGCCCCAAGAATTCACCCTGCACCCCATGACTTTCTTTCTTTGTCCCAATCTAATTCAATCCGTGGAAAGAAAAATTCACTAATTCCTTCAATAGATACCCGAGTGCCTACTATGGGTCACAGGTAATGGAAAGAAGAGGCAGTCTTTGCCCCAATTCCTCACAGTTCAGTAGGGGAAACAGAGAAGCCAGGCAGCGGAGCAAAGGCAGCGTGGTGGCAGTGGTGGTGTGTGCAGGGGTCCAGCTCTCCTGGTGCTGCTGCCTCACTTGCCTTGGCAGGTGGGAGGGGGGTATTCACAGAAGCATTCCTAGGAAAATACAGAGGGCAGATGGAAAAACAAAGTCCTCGAATCCAGCCCAGTAACACTTGTAGCAGACAGATCCAACAATGGCATGAGTAGATCTCCTTCAGAGAACCTAGGAAAGACGTGTTGCTTCTCTGAGCTGATGACACCCCACAGAAAACAAGTCGCTGAGTGGTTATTGAGGGCAGGACTGGTCCAACCCTCTGCCCCTAGACCTCTGCAGGAGGCAAGTGCTCTCTAAGGGTCTGTGTGTCGCAGCTCACGCGGGCTGGATGCAGACGTTCACCGAAGACACTAGTGCTGTCTCCCATCCCTGGTTGCTCCTGAGAGTGGAGCAGTGCCTCAAGCAGTCCGACAGAGTGTATGTGCCAGACAGGAGAAACCACCAGGCAGTGAGGAAGCTTTGTCAGAGCAGGTCTCTTCTCCAAGGACCCACCTCAAAAAGAACACAGGCCACTGCAGACTCAGTGAAAAATTTTAAGTAGCAAACCTGGAGTAAAACATCTATCCACCTATCCTCCGTTTATTATGATTATTATTTCACAACCGTTTTATTGAGATATAATTCACACAACATACAATTCACCCACTGTGAGAGTGTCCAATTCGATGGCTGTGAGCACATTCAGAGTTGCACAAGTATCACCACAATTTTAGAGCACTGTCATCAACACCCAAAAAACTGTATCCATGAGCAGCCACTCCAAATTTCTCCCTTCTCGCAGCCCCTGGCAACCACTCATCTACTTCTTTCTATTTTTTTTTTGAGACAGTCCTGCTCTCTGGCCCAGGCTGGAGTGCAGTGGTGCAACCTTGGCTCACTGCAACCTCTGCCTTCCAGGTTCAAGAGATTCTTCCGCCTCAGTCTCCTGAATAGCTGGGATTACAGGCACACACCACTACGCCCGGCTAATTTTTGTATTTTTAGTAGAGACAGGGTTTCATCATGTTGGCCAGGATGGTCTTGAACTCCCGACCTGAGATGATCTGCCTGCCTTGGCCTCCCAAAGTGCTGGGATTACAGGTGTGAGCCACTGCACCCGGCCCACTAATCTACTTTCTATCTTTATAGATTAGCCTATTCTAGATAATTCTGTGTAAATGAGATCATGGGCCATGTGATCTTGTGTGACTAGTTTACCTCACTTAGCGTAATGTTTTCAAGGTTCATCCATCTGTAGCACGTCACTACTTTGTTCCTTTTTACGGCCGAATAATATTCTACTGTATGAATATATTATATCTCGTTATCCATTCACTCATCAGTGGGATATTTGGGTTCTTACCATTTTGGGGCTATTATGAATAATGTGGCCTCCATATTATTTTGAACCCAAATTCTGAAGTGACCTACAGATATTTCCCCAAACTCAGGAAGGATGTGTGTGACACTTTGTGGCTGGCCTCCAGCCGAGGGACAGCAGGCTTCCCATTAGCCTTGCCGGTGGATTCCCTTGCTTTCTTCCCTCCTGCTCTGCTGACCCACAGCTCCTTCTGTCCAAGCCCATTTATTTAGATATCCCACCTAAATGTTTCACACGCATGCCCTATCAGCAACACACATGCTGTGCCCCTACACTAAACACTGGGCATTTGCTCCTGCCCAGATACTGCCACCTTGCTCAAGACCTTAGTGTTATATGAATCTTCTTCCTCCTCCCTTTCTATGTATACAATTCCACGTTTCCACCACTGAATGAAGCTTTTGAGGGGAGAGGTCTCTGGAGTGTTTCTGTGCCATTCAGTCATTCATCATCATTTACTAGAGCCCTGTATGCTTGGCTTGGAGGAGACAATGAAGATGACCCGGTCCCTTCCCTCAAGGAACTTAGGATCCATTGAGGAAGGAAGACAATCAGAGTACAGTGTGCTACGTGTTCACTGGGAAAGCACAGGGCGTGACAGACATGGCAGGGAGCCCTGGCTCACAGAGCAGGTCAGAGAAGGACTCCGGGCGTGACAGACACGGCAGGGAGCCCTGGCTCACAGAGCAGATCAGAGAAGGACTCTGGGAGGGAGTCTCGAAGTGGAACAGCAAGGAAAGGCAGTGCGGGTGAGAAATATAATGGCAGCTTAAGGAACTGTGCGTAGTTTTAATCTGTGGGCTGAAGTTTAGAGTGAATGAAGGAAATGGCAAGAGGCAGAGCTAGACAGTGGGCAGGGACCACATCCTGCTGGTAAGTAGTAGGATGAAACTTCATCCTAGAGTGATACAGAACCACTGATGAGTTTTAAGCAGGTGAAGATGAAGTGATCCCATTTATTTTGGAAAGATATTTGCAGCAGTGTGCATAAGGGACTGAAAGGACATGAGACCAGAAACAGGAAGGTCAATTACAAAGAGGCTACCACAGTAAACCAAGAAGAGGGTGAGAGACTAAACGCAGGGGCAGGGGCCAGGCTGAAAACACGCTTAGGTGGTAAAAACAATGGGACTGACTGATGAGGTTGACTGGTGTGGGAAGGTAACAAGGGAGAGACCCCCTCCCCATGGAGGACATGCTGTTGACTCAGGTCAGCAGATTCTCTGGGATGAAAACCTTCAAACCCTACCTTCCCGCAAATGGTAACGGTGAGGGCTGACAAGCTTTCTCAGGAGTGAGAAAATCCTTCTTCCAAATGAAATCTTAAACTGAACCTTAAGGCTGAAGGATCCAGAGTCCTGGTGGCCTGACCTTTCCCGTCCCCATGCAGAAGGACTCCCTTACAATTCTAGGGATCTGAGAAAAAAAAAAAAAATCTGAAAAGCCCAGGCCAAGTCCAATTGCTGGAGGCTGACGTTCAAAGGATTTTAGGGCAATATGGCTACGTGGTCAGCACGGCCTCTCACCTCTACACCTGACTCTCATTCAGTTGACTTTCCACACCTAGACTATTCCTCCCATCCTGTTAGAGAATCCAGTGTATCTTTAAGGACAAGCCTCCATCCCAGACTCCAAGCAAGCAAGCTCCCTGACTTCTGCAGCACTAACCCCTGCAGCCTCATGGGCACTGGGCAAACTGACTGTGGAGAGATATTAATTTTCTCTTTGATGTGTGTAGTCATCTCCAATGGGGGCTGGCCTCAGGCTTCCTCAGGATCTTCTTGGCTTCAAAAATGCCTTGTACTTGATAGGCCAGAAATATTATTATAGACTAACTTATTACACTCACTCCATCCCATCAACCCTAGAAAGTAAGACAAACAACTGTAATGACTACACAAGAAAAAAGAGAAGAGGAAAAAAAGCAGAGAGGTGTCATGACTTTGAAATGAAGGACCATACATTACAAAGATGTTCAATTGCATTTTTTGGGGGTGGGGGACAGGGTCTTGCTTTGTTACTCAGGCTGGAGTACAGTGGTGCAACCATGGCTCACCATGGCTTCAACCTCCCACGCTCAAGTGATTCTCCTGCCTCAGTCTCCCAATCAGCCAGGACTACAGGTATGCACCAGCACACCTGATTAATTTTCTAATTTTTTGTAGAGACAGAGTCTCGATATGTTGCTGGGGCTGGTCTTGAATTCCTGGGTTCAAGCAATCCTCCTGCTTCAGCTTCCCAAAGTGTTGGGATTACAGGCATGAGCCACTGCGCCTGGCCTCAATTGCATTTTGTATATAAATAAAATAAAAATCTCAATGGAATGGTTAAAATGCACTAAATAAAATAATACCAAAAATCGTATAAATATTTTGCAAAGAAAGAAAAAAATACCAAAAATATCTTTAAAAGATCCAATAGAAAATATCACATATGGCAAACTGGAAGGTTGCAAAGTAGACCCCAGGGGCTGCTGGATGTACAAGTGAAGCTAGGTATTGAGGCTGGGGAGACTGAGGGTTTCCAACTAATACTTCCTTTATTGACTTGGTTTTGACCAGAGAAGACTAAGAGTCCTTCTAGGGGGCAATATGAACTATCTTATTCATATTTTAGCCTCCAGCATCTAATGGAACTGACACATAACAGGTGTTCAATTATTCTTTTAGGATTGTAAAAACTAAACATTGTGAGGCTAAAGAATATTCTGGCAAAGACAGCAATTATGGGAATGAAACATGGAGTTGAAAAAGATTAATCCAGGCCGAGTGCAGCAGTTCACGCCTGTAATCCCAGCACTTTGGGAGGCTGAGGCAGGAGAGTCACTTGAGCGCAGGAGTTGGAGATCAGCCTGGGCAACATGGCGAAACCCCATCTCTACAAAAAATACAAGAATTAGCTGAGCATGGTGGTGTGCACCTGAAGTTCCAGCTACTTGGGAGGCTGAGGTGGGAGGATTACTTGAGCCTGGGAGATCGAGGCTGCAATGAGCCATGACTGTGCCACGGCACACCAGCCTAGGTGACAAAGTGAGACCCTGTCTCAAAACAAACAAACAAACAAACAAACAAACAAACAAAAAACCCAAGAAAAAGACCCAGAGAAAAAGTTGAATTTTACCAGCTATTAAAGCACTTTTGAGAGTAAAAATTTAGGAAACATGATTTTGGTATAAAAACAAGAAAGTAAAATCAGTAAAACAAAAGAAATCTTAGAAAAGACTCTTTTTTTTTGAGATGAAGTCTCGCTCTTGTCCTCCAGGCTGGAGTGCAATGGCGCAATCTCGGCTCACTGCAACCTCTGCCTCCTGGGTTCCAGCGATTCTCCTGCTTCAGCCTCCTGAGTAGCTGGGATTACAGGCACCTGTCACCACGCCCGGCTAATTTTTGTATTTTTAGTAGAGACGGGGTTTCACCATGTTGGCCAGGCTGGTCTCAAACTCCTGACCTCAGGTGATCCGCCCGCCTCGGCCTCCCAAAGCGCTGGGATTACAGGCGTGAGCCACCGCGCCTGGCCTAAAAAGACTCAATTTTAAGAACTGAATATTTGATAAAGTAATTGTCACAAAATATAGGGGAAGGCTATCAAAAGGTAGTACTATGATAACTGAATAAACATATGAAGGGAAAGAAATCACTTTAGATCCATGCTCTGTATTTGGACAGGCTACCAAAGACCTACCAGGACTGTTCATTTCTGCAAGTTTTTAAGACTTTTATTCTCTCTCTGGGTCCATGTTGGCTTGTGCCCATTTCTTTTTTATCAAAGGATTCACATATTGACCTTATTACCCTGGTAGAACCCCCTTCCATAAGCTCCAATGAGCCACACCAGCCCTTCTGCTGAACTGAAACTGCCCTATCAAGCAAATATTATCCCACATTCAGAGGGTCAGCTGAAACCAGTTGAAAGTTGAGAATTATTTTTGTCAGTTTTTCAATGGGAGATTGGCTTATGGAGTAAAAGTAGACTTAAAGAATGATGCCACTGGCTGCGCATGCTGGCTCACACCTGTAATCCCACCACTTTAGGAGGCTGATGTGGGAGGATCACTTGAGCTCAGGAGTTCAAGACCAGCTTGGGCAACATGGTGAGACCCCATCTCTACGAAACATATTTTAAAAAGTTGCCAAGCTTGGTGGTGCATGCCTGTGGTCCCAGCTACTCGGGAGGATCACTTGAGCCCAAGCAGTCAAGGCTGCAGTGAGCCATGATCACGCCACTGCAGCGCTCCAGCCTGGGTGATAGAGCAAGATCCTGTCTCAAAAAGAAAAGAAAAGAAAAAAAAAAGTCACCTGCTCAGGTTCACAAAATAAATTACAAATTTAAATTTAAATTTATAATAATCTTGTCTGGGCATATAATAATGACTCATATAATAATGAGTCCGGTGGCTCATGCCTGTAATCCCAGCACTTCAGGAGGCTGAGGCGGGTGGATCACCTGAGGTCAGGAGTTCAAGACCAGCTTGGCCAACATGGTGAAACCCCGTCTCTACTAAAAATATAAAAATTAGCTGGGGGTAGTAGCACTCACCTGTAATCCCAGCTACTCGGGAGGCTGAGGCAGGAGAATTGCTTGAACCTGGGAGGCGGACATTGCAGTGAGCCGAGATTGCGCCACTGCACTCCAGCCTGGGTGACAGAGCAAGATTCCATCTCAAAAAATAAAAAAATTAAAAATAAATAAATAAAATAATCTCATCTCTGATGATACAGCATGGCATCTGCTGGCATTTGTGAAGCAGTATCACAGCAATAAACCATTATTAAAGCATACTACGTGGAGGACACCGATTAAGTCCCATGGGAGATAGAAAAATTAACAGCACTGTCGTGTCCTCTTTCGAGGTGACAGGGAGACAAGATAAAGGTGAAAAGTTAGATCACACTTAGATATAATAAAAGATAAGCTAAAAGTTAGGACCAGATGACTGCTAAACAGATGACACAGACAACTGGCATGGATGTCCACAGGAGGGACGGCAAAGTCAGCTCCAACAAGGATGGTCATCAGAGAAGAGGCACGCTTTCAGATGGGGCTTGGAAAATAGATGGGATTTGCTGAGGCCAGTGTGGAGGAGTGAAGGCACAGAGGAAGGGAAGCAAAAGAGAAGAAAGTGATGAAAGTGAGGAGGGGCTTGAACTGAGGTCCCACATGGGAATTTTCTGCTGAGAGAGTGCCCACTTTTAAGGCACCCCACGCAGATGTGCTACCAGAACAAGCAGTCAACAGTGTGTGCGTGCCAGCAAGCACTCAGAACACAGCATAATTTCCAATCAAAGACAACAGTTTTTGACCACAGGAAGTGCTCAAAATCATACTATGCCCTGAGTCACATAAGGTTTCCAGATAGAACCCCCACAGAAAAGTAAAGGAATCCTGGACGCTGAGAATCTCCCATCAGGGTAGCACACCATGCAAACAATTCCTTGGAGTTCACCACTCACCACCCTCCCAAAGCAGGCCCAGGAAGAATGAAACAGAAATCTGCTTTATTTTTATTCTGAGCAAATAATTTTACTAAAAAAGATAAAATTTTCTGAAATAGGCTAGCCTGAAAAGGAGTAGGAAGCAGCAGCAAAACGGGAAGGATGAGGATGCAGTGAGAAAAAGGACTAAGAATGAGAGGTTGAGGCCGGGCGCAGTGGCTCATGCCTGCGATCCCAGCACTTTGGCCAAGTGCGGGCGGATCACCTGAGGTCAGGAGTTCGAGACCAGCCTGGCCAACATGGTAAAACCTCATCTCTACTAAAAATACAAAAATTAGCTGGGTGTGGTGGTGCATGCCTGTAATCCCATCTACGTGGGAGGCTGAGGCAGGAGGCAGGAGAATCACTGGAACCTGGGAGGTGGAGGTTGCAATGAGCCAAGATCGCACCACTGCACTCCAGCCTGGGCGACAAAGCGAGACTCCATTTCAAAAACAAAAACAAAAGAATGAGAGGTTGGCCAGAGTAACAGAGAACCGAACTTTTCTCCATCAGAAACTTCCCCACCCTTGTCTACTGCCTGGGTGTGAGGCCTTGTGCTAGAATTTCTGCCCTAAACACAAGAGCATAAGCTATAAAACCAGAAATTCCATTTGACACATGAGCTGGCTCTGAGACTCTCCATTATTCTTCAGGGGCCTCAAGGTGAGAGACATTGTCACACATTCACGGCCTTTCCAAGTGCCAACAACATCACTAGCCAGTCTTGGCAAGGCAGGCCAGGGCTCTGGCTTCTTGCACAGGCTCTCAGAAACCCTGAGCTGCTCATATGGCAAGACAGTGGGGAATCTCTTCAACTCCTGGGTTCTTATCTTTAAAATGGAAGAGTTGGGACTAGAGGCTTTTTTAAAAAACAAACTCTTATTGAAAGATAATACACATTCAGAAGTTTACAGAGAAGTGTACGGTGATGGATTTTCACACAATGACCACACTTGTGTAAACAGCACCCACAGATCAAGACACAAAACATCCCAGCATTCCAGAAGCCTTTTGTGCCCTCTACCAGCCTCTACTCCCTCCCCAAGGATATCCACTATCCCAATCCTTTCCTTCCCTTCCCTTCCTTCCTTCCTTTCTCTCTTTCTCTTTCTCTCTTTTTCTTTCTTTCTCTCTCTCTTTTTTGAGGCAGGATCTCACTCTGTCACACAGGCTGGAGGGCAGTGGCGCAATCTCGGCTCACTGCAACTTCTGCCTCCCCGATTCAAGCAATTCTCCTGCCTCAGCCTCCCGAGTAGTTGGGACTACAGGTGTGCGCCACCACGCCCGGCTAATTTTTGTATTTTTAGTAGAGATGGGGTTTCACCATATTAGCCAGGCTGGTCTTGAACTCCTGACCTCAGGTGATCCACCTGCCTCGGCCTCCTAAAGTTCTGGGATTACAGGCATGAGCCACCGCACCTGGCCACTATCCTGATTTCTAATAGCATGGGTAGGTTTTCTGGTTTTCTACTTTATAGAAATAAAATATACAGTATACATTCTTTTATTTCTGGCTTCTTTTATTCAACGCGTCCATGAGATTCACCCATGTTGTGGAGAGGTGGACTGGATGACTGTAAGGCAGCTGCAATTCTAACATATTACCATTTTACCACTACCCTAATATACAGCTGATGGAGGTGCTATACTGGAGAGCATTTTGGCAATATTGTTTAAAATATAAAATGTACCTATCCTTCCATCTGCCTATTCCATTCTGAGGTATCTATCCTATAGATGTATTTGCATGCACATGTATGTGTGTGTATACATGTGTCTACACATGTATAGATAGCCAATGCAGTATTATCTATATTAACAAAAGACTGAGATGATGTCTTTTAACAGGAGACTGATTAAACAAATTATTATACAGTTGGCTGGGCGCGGCAGCTCATGCCTGTAATCCCAGCACTTTGGGAGGCTGAGGCGGGCGGATCACCTGAGGTCAGGAGTTCGAGACCAGCCTGGCCAACATGGTGAAACCCCATCTCTACTAAAAATACAAAAATTAGCTGGGCGTGGTGGCAGGCGCCGGTAATCCCAGCTACTCAGGAGGCTGGGGCAGGAGAATCGCTTGAACTCGGGAGGTGGAGGTTGCAGTGAGCCGAGATTGCGCCACTGCACTCCAGCCTAGGGGACAGGAGTGAGACTTCGTCTCTGAAAAAAAAAAAAAAAAGCCAAAGAAATACTCTCCAGTCAAGTTTTTCAAAGGCTGATTTATGCCCATCATTATAGGAAAATGTATGCAATACATTTTTAGGTGGGAAAAAGCAAAGCATAGAACAGCACATTCAGCATGGCTCCATCTGTATAAAAAGCAGCCCAGCACATTATATCTATTATGTGTAGACACATATACAGAAAGCTCTGGAAGGTACAATTTAAACTCTTAATAGCAGGTAACTTTGAGAATGAGAAAATGACTTTACTTTTTACTTCTAACGATTCTACAATTTTTTTTAACAAAATACGTGTTCATTGCTAAATTACTTTTCACACAATACAGAAATACGTGGAATAAACAGTAAAAGCCCTATTTTTTTCTCCAATCTGTTCTCTAATAAGAAACTCTCTTCTCTGCATGTAGACCAAAGAATGAAAACCTATGAAATTCTTCATATACAAAAGACCTGAGGAAGCCACAGGAATCTAGGGGTCTATCACCTACCGTCTCATACATAAGCTTCCTGCCTGAATGACTATATTGGTCTACATTGGCTCCTGTGGCACCCACTGCCTAGTCATGGAGGAGACATGTATTCCTTTTGTTTCTTAGCAGAGTGATACGTATACCCAAGAAGATGGGTACCTAATGACAGATCTGACTGAAATGCTAATAAAATTACAGGCAGACAGAAACAGCCAGGGCTAATGGAGAGAAGGCGGAAAAGGGCATAAGCACACATTCCTCAACAAGATCGGGTTACTTTTTTCTTTCTTTCTTTTTTTTTTTTTTTTTGTGAGACAGGTCTTGCTCTGTTGCCCAGGCTGGAGTACAGTGGTGCAATCATAGCTCACTCTAACCTTGAATTCCTGGGATCAAGCAATCCTCCCACCTTAGCCTCCTGAGTAGCTGGGACTATAGACATGTGCCACAATGCATGGCTAACTAAAAAAAAAAAAAAAATTTTTTTTGTAGAGGCAAGGTCTTGCTATGTTGCCCAGGCTGGTCTCGAACTCCTAGGCTCAAGCGATCCTCTAGCCCCTCTGCCTCCCAGCATGCTGGGATTACAGGCTGGAGCCACCACACTCGCACCTGGCTTCGAGTTACCTTTAAATGGCACAAAAGGAGCAGTTTCTAAAACAATGGTAGTGAGGAAGTCATCATCAGTAGACAAAATATAAAGACCATTTAAAAAAGGAGGTTTTTGGGTGGGTGCAGTGGCTCACGCCTGTAATCCCAGCACTTTGGGAGGCTGAGGCGGGTGGATCACCCGAGGTCAGGAGTTTGAGACCAGCCTGGCCAACATGGTGAAACCCTGTCTTTACTAAAAATACAAAAATCAGCTGGGCGTAGTAGCGGGTGCCTGTAATCCCAGCTACTTGGGAGGCTGAAGGAGGAGAATTGCTTGAACCCAGGAGGCCAAGGTTGCAAGTGAGCAGAGATCCTGTCATTGCACTCCAGCCTGGGTGACAAGAGTGAAACTCTTGTCTCAAAAAAATAAAAATAAAAATAATAAAATAAAATAAAAATAAATAAAAAAAGGAGATTTTTGGCTAGGTGTGGTGGCTCACACCTGTAATCCCAGCACTTTGGGAGGCCGAATCACTTGAGCACAGGAGTTTGAGACCAGCCTGGCAACATGGCAAAACCCCATCCTACAAAAAATACAAAAAAGTAGCCAGGTGTGGTGGTGCATGCCTGTAGCCCCTACCTGGGAGAATCACCCGAGCCCAGGAAGTCAAGGTTGCAGTGAGCTGTGAGATTGTGCCACTGCACTCTAGTCTGGGCAGTGAAGTAAAACCTTGTCTCAAATAAATAAATAAATTTTTTTTTAAAAAAGGAGATTTTCCAGAATGCTAAATTTATTTTACTTAACTGTACTTCGTTTAAAAACAGCAGAATAAAGATTTTACCCTTTTTCCTCTGGAGAATCACACAAAAGCAACCAGGAGAATGAGAAACAGAAATATCACCTATTTGACAAAACTGGAGACATCTGTGACCTCAATCCCCAATATATGAGTAAAAACGGCCAAATGCTGTAAAGGTCAAATGAGGGCGTGGGAAAGTGATGAAAGAGAATGCCTGTTGTTACAGATGTCAGAGAAGGCATGCAATTGCAGTTCTCAAAAGCAAATGCTTCACTACCAGGGTGCAAAACCATTGTTTCAAACAGTGGGAACTGGTTCAGGGACTCCTGACTGAGCCTTCCTCAGATCCCATCTGGTGTGCAGGATCATACATACAGGTCCAATGTGCAGGAAGCGGTCAATCAACGAGGTAGAGCAACAGAGAGCAACTGCCTGGAGCAGCTCTCCGATGGCCAGTTCCAGATGTCTGAGGAAAAAGCCTCGCAGTGTCATCCACACATAAAATATTTAAGGAAAACTCCTGCTAAGCTAGGCCCTCCTCCCATAGTAGTTTTCTACAAATTTGTTAGACTAGGAAGGAATCTTCAAAGAGAAATAATTTAAAAAGGATCTGGCACACACTAAACCATACACTTTTTTTTTTTTTTTTTGAGACGGAGTCTTGCTCTGTCGCCCAGGCTGGAGTGCAGTGGTGCGATCTCGGCTCACTGCCAAGCTCCGCCTCCTGGGTTGACGCCATTCTCCTGCCTCAGCCTCCGGAGTAGCTGGGACTACAGGCGCCCGCCACCATGCCCGGCTAATTGTTTTGTATTTTTAGTAGAGACGGGGTTTCACCGTGTAAGCCAGGATGGTCTCGATCTCCTGACCTCGTGATCCGCCCGCCTCGGCCTCCCAAAGTGCTGGGATTACAGGCTTGGGCCACCGTGCCTGGCCTTAAACCATGCACTTAAAAATGATTAAGATGGTGGCCAGGCATGATGGCTTGGGCCTGTAGTCCCAGCTACTCAAGAGGCTGAGGCAGGAGGATCGCTTAAACCCAGGTGTTTCAGGCTGCAGTGAGCTATGATCGCACCACTGCACTCCAGCTCCCTCCTCAGTGTTCTCACAGTATTTTGAACATAAGAAATCTCCCTCCTTCTATACCTATTCCCCCATTCTCATTTCCTAACTCCTAATAGCAGAGACCATGCCCTATGCATTATCTTCTGGCCTGCTGGAGAGGCTCATTAAACATCCTCATTGCACGAATGCGAGAAGCACAGATCCTGAACTAACAGTCAGGTGTGTTCTGATGCCAGCACCAATCACCTTGCCACTGTACCAAAATAGTTACTGTGCCCAATCTCACAAATTTATTCATCCTATTTAGAGGAATAAATCATCTAAGCCACACATTTAACAGTTTAGTTATTTATTTATTTTTGAGATAGGGTTTAACTCTATTGCCGGTCTGGAATGCAGTAGCGTGATCGCAGCTCACTGAAGCCTTGAGCTCCCAGGCTCAAGTGATCTTCCTACCTTAGCCTCCCAAGTAGCTGGGACTGCAGGCACATACTACCATGCCTGGCAAATTTTTTATTTTTTGTACAGGCAGGGTTTCCCTATATTGCTCAGGCTGGTCTCAAACTCCTGGGCTCTAGTGATCCTCCTGCCTCGGCCTCCAGAAGCACTGGGATGGTCACTGTGCCCAGCCCTACTTAACAGTTTAAATCACACTTTTTAAAAATGATGAAGGATGGTACCATTTGAATAGCAGTGTTAGAAAGTCTGCTTTGGCCGGGCGCAGTGGCTCACGCCTGTAATCCCAGCACTTTGGGAGGCCGAGGCGGGTGGATCACGAGGTCAGGAGTTTGAGACCATTCTGGCTAACATGGTGAAACCCCGTCTCTATTAAAAATACAAAAAATTAGTTGGGCGTGGTGGTGTGTGCCTGTAGTCCCAGCTACTCAGGAGGCTGAGACAGGAGAATGGTGTGAACCCGGGAGGCGGAGGTTGCAGTGAGCCGAGAGATGGCACCACTGTGCTCCACCCTGGGCGACAGAGCGAGACTCCGTCTCAAAAAAAAAAAAAAAAAAAAAGTCTGCTTTAAGAACAGCTAATGATAATTTGTAATTAGTAAGATGAGAGCTATACATATGCCTCAAATGTTTAGAAACCACTGGTTAAACGTAGGAAGATATATGCATACATAAAATACTGCTTATCATCATCATGCCTGTTTAACAGATGAGGAAACTGAGGCTTAGACAGGGTAAGTCACTTGCCCCAGATCACACAGCTACTGGGTAGCAGAGCTAGGCCTGGCATCCAAAGAGACTGACTCCATGTGGCTGCTCTTAATCACACTGATGTATTACAGTCTGAGCAGCCCTCAACCAAAATAGTTGGGACCAGAAGTGTTTCAGAATTTGGAATATTTGCATATAAGTAATGAGGTATCTTGAGGATGCGGTTGGGTGTGGTTGCTCACGCCTGTAATCCCAGCACTTTGGGAGGCCGAGGCAGGAGAATTGCTTGAACATGGGAGGCGGAGGTTGCAATGAGCTGAGACCGTGCCATTGCACTCCAGCCTGGGTGACAGAGTGAGACTCCCTCTCCAAAAAAAAAAAAAAAAAGATATCTTGGGGATGGGACCCAAACCTAAACACAAAATTTATTATGTTTCACATATACCTTATACACACAGCATAGAAGGTAATTTCATAAATTTTTTTTTTGAGACAGGGTCTTGCTCTATCACCCAGGTTGCAGTGCAATGGTGCAATCTCAGCTTACTGTGGCCTCTGCCTCCCAGGCTCAAGTGATTCTCTCACCTTAGCCTCCCAAGTAGCTGGGACTACAGGTGCACGCCACCACACGTGGCTAATTTTTGTATTTTTAGTAGAGATGGCGTTTCTCCATCTTGCCCATGCTGGTCTCAAACTCCTGGGCTCAAGTGATCTGCCCGCACTGGTCTCTCTAAGTGTTGAGATTACAGGCATGAGCCACTGTGCCCTGGCCTCGTGCATGAAACAAAGTTTTGACTGTGACCACATGGGGTCAGGTGGGGAATCATGTTGGTGCTGAAAAATGTTCAGATTTGGGGCATTTTGGATTTCAGATTAGGGATGCGTGACCTGCATTTACCCTGTCTTGTTATATGATGGTCATACATGGGTGTAGTATGCAGGCTCATTTTTACTTAAAAAATACTTTCAAGAGGAAAAATTTGACAATCATACAGCAATTACCATTTTTTAAAAAGGAAATCATTTTTTTCTTAAATGGTTTAAAGGGTTGCTCTGTAATCTAGCTTGTGTTATTTAAATGCTGAGTAAGTCCTTCCCTTCAAAGATCACTCTGATGATAAAGCATAAAGCTTCCTGCCACAAATACAGGAAGTATGAAATACTGCACTCCAGCCCGGGTGATGGAAAGAAACCCTGTCACAAAACAAAACAAAAAACATCGTATGAAATTACCTTCATGCTATGTGAATAAGGTATATATGAAACATAAATGAATTTTGTGAGGCTAAAATTAGGAAGGTACTGTTGGTCTGACATAGCTGCTGCCAAGAAGGCTGCTGAAAGGCTGGCTGTGTGGGGGCAATGGCGACTCCTCTCAGGCTCTGTCTGTCACGGAGAGGGTGACATGAAATAATGCTTATCAATGTTAGCTATCCTCATCATTATTGTTATTCAAACAGCTACTACCACATCCTTGCCATCTGATTATGTTCATCTCTGCCCATTTAAAAGTTTTCCAAACTAGACGAACTTATCATTAATACCTATACTTAATATAATGCCCCACTATCCCTCCCCCGCTAGGAGTTGTATCACATGGACGGGGGCGGCTTAGAATCAAGGACTGTTACATTGAGTTCTGCTCAGGCTGGGTCTTTTGCCTTCTTCTTCTTCTTCACCTCGTGTTAGTGATATTGAAACGACAATAATAAATACACAACCTACTTTTTCAAGTCAGACCCTGCCAGAACTATGCCTAAGACTATCCAAGGCTCAGAAGAATTTTGAATTTACCCAGATTCAGGGTCCTTCACTGGCTTCATGGGTTACGGAGAAGTAAGTGCTCTCCACAGATAGCCCAGCCCCAGGAAGTGAAACACCTCATTATTGATTAAGCCCAAACGGCTCCTGACAGCCGTAACAGAAGAAAAGGTTTTCTGTTGTGGCTTTTAAAACAAAAAACAGATCACAGAACAGAAACACTGATTGTAGTTTCAGTTATCAGGAGCTTTGGACTATGTACTAGAAAGGTCTTGTTTCAACCAAATTGCAGCTTACATGAAAAGATAAATTGTGTGAGTTTGTTTGTTTTTTAAAAACTGTTGGGAGGCTACGAATTTAAATAGCCAAAGGATGCCAGCCAAGAGTGAAAGAACGCAAACTGGGGTGAAATCACAAGGCCTTGCACCATCTTTGTTTGAAAAAGTGGGATTCAGTTGTCTGATACCCAGTCAGCTTACATTTCAAACAGTAAACCACCTGGGAGCCGGGCACTACACAAAGGCGTGAGCTCATCTCTTCAGACCACGGCTCTCAAGTGGCATTTGTCCACGTCTTCGTCCACCTGTCTCAGCCCTTCTGACTTTCAGTTGCCTCAATTCCCATTTCTGCTGACCCAATTGCTGTGTTCTGGTCATGTGGACACAAAGATCCCTGATGGAGGACTCTGGAGAGCCAGGTCCCATGGGGACACATGAATCAGGAAAGAAGGGGCCCCTGCCTTAAGGCTCTCAGGTGTTCTGATGCCTGAGTTGGTCACCTTGCCATCTGTCTTAGCTGCTTGGGTTGCCATAACAAAATACCACAGACTGGGTGGCTTCAACAATAGCTCTCTTTTTCTCATGGTTCTGAGGGCTGGGAAGTCCAAGATCGAGGGGCCAGCCTATTTGGTTTCTGGCAGGGCCCTCCTGCTGGCTTACATACAGACAGCTGCCTTCTCGTGTCCTCACATGGCAGAGGGAGGAGAGCAAGCTCCCTCCTGTCTCTTCTTCTAAGGAGTGACAGACAGAAACAGTATCCCTAACACAAGGGGACAGCTACTATAATCGAGGCATGTCTAGAGTGTGAAGGCTTCGGAAAGGATGGGAATGTGTTAGATGGGAGAGGAAACAACATATTAGGCAGCAGGAACAGTGTTTAACAACGACGCAGAGGCACGACACCGTGTGAAGGTGCTAAGGAGTCCAGTGTGAAGGAAGATGGGCTTGGAAAGACAGGGTTGGACGGGAAGTGACCCGTCTGCTTACTGTGCTGAATTCTTCCAGCTGGGCTCCAACCTGGGCTGCCCCCACACTGGAGTGTGCTACTCTACCCTTTCAAGTATGAAGGAGGGGTTTGGTTGAACCCATGCCGGCAATATGGGGGACTGGGTATACATCCAGAGAAAGGAATAGCAGAATGGAGAAAGATTTGCAGAAAGGCAGCTAGAACAAGAACACACAAGTCCTCAAGGGCGAGGACTGTTCTCTACAGAGCAGCCAGTTATTTTATTAAGCAAAGGCCAAGTCCTGTCCCTCCACTCCAAACCCCTCAATGGCTTCTTACCTCACTCAGAGTAAAAACCAAGCTCTTTCCCAGGAATGTCCTGGCCTCTGGACGTTTGCACTTGCTGTTCTCTCTGTCTGAAAGGTTCTTCCCCAGGAAATGGCATGGTTCTCTCCCCCATTTCCTTCAGGACCTTCTCAAAAGCCACTCTTCCCCAGCCCTCCTTATCTAAAATGTTAATGTTCACCCCGGACATTTCATACCCCACCTTTCCTGCTTCATTTTTTTCCTTCCCAAACACTAATCACTAAGGTTCTTTACATTTTACTTCTTATTATCTGTCTCCCCCCGGGTTATAATGTATGCCACACGAGGGTGAGGATTTTGTCTGTCTGGTCCAATGCTGTATCACCAGCATCTTAAACAGTGCATGGCACATAGTATAAGATGCTCAATATATACTTGCTGAATATGCGAAAAAAGGAGTGTCTTCACAGTCCTCCAGCTCTCTGGAGCCAGGCAGAGAAATAAATGCACAAAGGACCACTTAAAGAGTGATGTAGGGCCAGGCATGGTGGCTCATGCCTGTAATCCCAGCACTCTGGGATCACTCAAGGTGGGCAGATCACTCAAGGCCATGAGTTCAAGACCAGCCTGGGCAACACGGCGAATCCCCATCTCTACAAAAAATACAAAAACTGCTGGGCGTGGTGGCACACACCTGTGGTCCCAGCTACTCTGGAGGCTGAATTAGGAGGATCACCTGAGACCCAGGAGGTCGAGGCTGCACGCTGCGAGCTGAGATCGCACCACTGCACTCCAACCTGGGCAACAGAGGGAGACCCTGTCTCAAACAAAACAAAACACAACACAACAAAACAAAAACAATCCTCATAGTCCTAATAAGGTGGGCATTATTATTAGCTGCATTTTGCAGAGGAAGAACAGAGGCTCAGCAATGTGAAAGAGTTTAGCCAAGTGGCAGAGCTGGGATTTTTGTTTGTTTCGTTTTAGATAGTTTTCTTGTTAAGCACGTGGAAATACTTTGCACATTTGAGAATTACTGACTTCTTAAATGCTCTTTTGGAGAAACAGCGAATCATTCATGTAATATAAACACAATTACAGATTATTTTGCAGGAACTTTTTTAGTTATGGGGCTTACTTTTCATAAGATAAATAATAGTTCCTGCTTTCAAATCATTTTGACAATTTATTTGGAGGATCATAAATTTAAATTGAACAGCACAATTAATGTAATAAATGACACACTCATTCAGAACTTTGAGTATTCATAGTTTTAATATTCTATTCTAAAAATAATGTATTTTAAAAATGGATACATAATTATACCTATTTACAGGATACATGTGATATTTTGATACAAGGATACAATGTGTAATGATCAAATCAGGATGATTAGGATATCCATCACCTCAAATATATATCGTTTCTTTGTGTTGGCAACATTTCACATCTTGCAGTTATTTTGAAATATACAATAAATTACTGTTAACTATAGTCATCCTACTGGGCTATCAAACACTAGAACTTATTCCTTCTAACTGCATTTTTATATCCATTTAAGCATCCTCTCTTAATCCCCCATCCCCCTTCAGTTGGGATTTTAAACCAATTGTACCAATTCCAAAGTCCATGCTCTGACCCGCCCTGCTATGACATGAGGAATGCAGAAGGGAGAACAAGTCACGTGGGCTACTCTCCCTGGGGAGACACCCATACTGGGTCTTGAAGACCAGGAGCCTCTGCATGGGGGACTTGGCAAATGAAGGGGATGGCCAGCACAGGGGCCTGCCTAGAGTGGAAGATGCATCTTAGATCATTTCAATAATAACACCAACAACAGTAGCAAATTGACTACTTACAACCTGCCAGGTACTGTTATGAGGTCTCTAACATACTGAATCATCTCATGACTCAAAGTACCATCATTATCCCCATTTTATGGTCAAGGAAACTAACAATGGAGAAGTTAAATATTTGCTTGTAAGCAGCAGAGCTGGGATTTGATTCCAGACAGTTTGGCTCCAAGTTTGTCCTGTACATACTATACACTAGCAAGAAAAAAAAAGGCCATCAAAACACACATGGCACAACCATGCACATGCGCAGTCCCCAAGGGCATGCCTCAAAAGTACTCAGTTGGTTTCTCTGGGCACGTCCCACAGTTCCTTTCGGTACAGCTGCATTCTGTACTTTCCCCATCCCCGCCCCCTGTCCTGGATGTATTTGTTATGAGGCTGTCTCCCAAAGGCCTGTGATCTAATGGCAAGCATTTTCCCCTGAAGACGCTAGCATCAATTAGTGGTGAAATTTAAATCTGCCACGCAGAAAGCACTCTACTCATTTACCCAGGCAAATGAGCTGCATAGGGGGAAGGTCACAGCCTAAGTATTCTGGCAAAGGCCGTTTGATAGAGGGCTTCCATTTGCAGCTGAGGAGCTGAGGGTAACCTCTGACCTGCAAATGATGGAGACAAACTGGTCCACAGCTGCCGGGCTCCACATTCGCCCTGTAAAGGGACTGGGGTAAGAGCCTCATTTCTTGACTTGCTCTCTTTCCTCTCCTCACAAACTGCCCACAAGGCTGAACCTTTCATTTTGGAGTCTTGGTGAAGACTTGTCTCACTGCTAGGTGTTCTTGTTGACACCTACTTCTCTGTGCCACAAATGGCCAGCATTTCATCAGAGAGCACTGTCCTATGATGGCCCGGCAGGTAAAAACCATGGGGTCATCAAGATGTGTGCAAACCACAGACTCAATGCAAAACCACAGAGAGAGCCACAGCGAGGTAATGGAGGGCCAGCCAGGCCTCAGTAGATGGCAACGATCCAGCTGGGGCAAGAATGTGGTGATAGCTTTGGGGAACCCACACTCACCCTGCCAGAATCACTCCTTCAGCCCCGAAGATACAAAAACACACCACCACAAGCTCAGTAACACAGAGAGATCCCCTGACTGCCTCTGCCATCAGCCTCAGAGATTATTACCCCTTCAGGGACTGATACGTGCTTGGAGACATCATTTAAATCATTGTGTCCAACATGCTAAACTGAATTATTCAAAACTGCCTCCCTTCTAGGTATACACACCAATGTAAGTGCACACATATGTACACCAAAATTCATGTACAGGAATGTTCACAGCAGCACTATTCATAACTGCCCCAAACTGGAAAGTACCCAAATGTCCAGGAAGAGTGGAAGAAAGAAAGAAATTGTGGAATATTCACATGATGAAAGTCTACATAGCAATGAGAACGAACCATTTACAATCATACACAACCATGGATGAATTTACGGATTTAATCATGTAGCTGAATCTCATAATGTTAAGTGAAAGAAGCCAGGTACAAAAATGTGCATTTGGTATGATTCCATTTTTAAAATACAAAAGCAGGCAAAAGTATTCCATACCATTGGATGCCAGGATACTGGTTATCCTTTGTTGAGGGATGAAATGACGAGGGGCCTTTGGGGGTGGCCGTCTTCTGTTTTCCTGACCTATGCAACCAGTGCCCAGATGGGTGTGCTTTTCTTAGTGTGTGTTATATTTCAAGGAGAAGTTTTAAAAACTGCCTACAGACACTGCCCAGTCTCATCCATTACTGTTTTGGGGAAACGTCCCATTGGGATTTCCACACCACAGCAGGTCAGTGACAGGAGCTACCAAAATAATGGCTAACATTGACCGAATGATCACTATGTGCCAGGCACTACTCCAAGAACATTACAAACAGGATTTAATTGTCAAAAACTCCCTTTGAAAGAGTTGTTATTTTAATTCCCAATTTGAAGGAACAGAAAAATGAGGCTTAGAAAGTTTAGGTGTCTTGCCTATGGTTGGCCAGCTACTCCTGCCTGGCAAAGGTGGGGTGTCAGCTGTGACTCCAAGTTTCATGGGTTTCACATCTGACTAGGCTAGTGGAAAACGAGTTCACGGTACAAATGGAGAAGTCACATGAGACCCCTTTTTTGTTGAGTTCAGGCCACTTGTTTTATAAATGTATCATATTCTGGGTTTGTCTGATTGCTTCTCCCTGATAAAATTCAGGTGAAATATTTTTGGCCAGGAGGCACAACACAATGTCGGGTTCATCCAGTAGAGATGCTGAGTGTAACTACTTTGGTAAGGTGGTAATACCCAGATCTTTAAATTATAAAGGTGTGGTCCCCCTTTGTAACTAGTAGTTAATGCGCTAGATGATATTTTGAAATTATATAAACAGCAAGTTTCTTCAAAACTGTTCCCCAATGACTTCTTTTTTGTTTTGTTTTTAAAAATCAACTTTATTGAGGTATAATTTATATACAGTAAACTGTATCCATTTAAAGTATACCATCTGATAATTTTTTTTTTTTTTTTGAGACGCAGTCTTGCTCTGTTGCCCAGGCTGGAGTGCAGTGGCACGATCTTGGCTGGCTACAAGCTCCGCCTCCCGGGTTCACGCCATTCTTCTACCTCAGCCTCCCGAGTAGCTGGGACTACAAGCGCCCGCCACCACTCCTGGCTAATTTTTTGTATTTTTAGTAAGGACGGGGTTTCACTGTGTTAGCCAGGATGGTCTTGATCTCCTGACCTTGTGATCCACCTGCCTCGGCCTCCCAAAGTTTTGGGATTACAGGCGTGAGCCACCGCGCCTGGCCCGATAATTTTGAAATATGTAATACATGAGTGAAATGATCACAATTAAAATATGGAATACTTCCACCACCCACAAAAGTTTTCTATTGTCTCTTTGCAATCGATTCTTCTTGCCATCCCAGCTTCCAGGCTACCACTGGTTGGCTTCACATTAGTAGGTTAGTGTGCATTTTCCAGAACTTTCTAGAAAGGGAACCGCGGTTCATGGTCTTGTGTGTCTGGCTTCCATCACTCTCAGAAGCATAATTTTGAGATCCCACTGTTGTTACACACAGCGTACTTATTCCCTTTAATGAATGAGAAGTATTCCATCAGATGGATGGACCTACTGGTCTATTCACCTGGTGGTGGACATCTGGGTGGCTCCTAGTTTGGGGCTGTCATGAACAAAGCTGCTAGAAACAGCTGAGTACAAGTCTTAGTGTGAACGTATGTTTTCATTTTTCTTGGGCAAATACCTAGAAGTGGGATGGTAAGTGTATGTTTAGCTTTTTTTCCTTGCATGTAAGATAATGTGTCAGAACAAGGTTTGAAAGAGGCACTTCTCACACATGAGCATGAAAACCCAATGTGATATGATACATAGGTTTTTGTCTACAGTTCTTGTTTCCTAACTCCCACAGCCCTTGTTATAGTTTTTTGTTATAATGTTGGGTGTGTTAGGCCCCAAGGGCAGGTATCGGGAAACACAATCTCTCTCCTGTCCTCCTTTCACCTGCCACAAGGCAGGACTCTAATCTTCCCCCACCTTCCAACTGTGAGTCTTAAGACCCTCCCCTGCGAGGGTCCCACCCTATACCCTGGGGGAAGGAATGCTGATGTCATAAAACTTCCATAAAACCCAAGAGGACAGGGTTCAGAGAGCTTCCAGATAACTGAACACTGGAGGTTCCTGGTGCCCAGGGAGGGCATGGAAGCTGCACGACCTTCCCCTGTACCTCGCCCTACCCACATCTCTTCATCTGTATCCCATGTAATATTCTTTATAATAAACCAGTAAATATAAGCAAGTGTTTCCCTAAGTTCTGTGAACTGCTCCAGAAATTAACTGAACCCAAAGAGGGGGTCATGGGAACCCCAGCTTGAAGCCGGTCAGTCAGAAGTTCCAGAGGCCTGCACTTGCAACTGGTGTCTGGGGATGTGGAGGGCAGTCTTGGGTGCTGAGCCCCCAACCTGCAGGATCTGACACTATCTCTAGGTAGACGGTTTTGGAATTGAACCGGAGGACACCCAGCTGGTGTCTGGTGCCTGGTGTGTGGGGAAAGCACCCCACACATTTGGTCACATAAGTCTTCTGTGTTGGTGATTGTTGTGGTGGTGTGAGGCTAGAGGAAAAATGGGGTTGGAGTTTTTCCCTGTACACCCCATCATCACACTTATGAACTATAAAAGGATCTATTTAACTTTTTAATAAACTGCCAAAGAGTTTTCCAAAGTGACTCTGCCCTTTTACACTCCCTTCGGCAATGTGAGGATTCTAATTGCTCCATATCCTCACCAACACTGGGTCCTGTGTGTTATTTTATTCCCCAATAATTTTAAAATCCAATAACATTCCTTGTCTGAAGAATTATGCATTCATGTGATTATATCTATCTCCCCCACGCCCAGACACATGGGGGCTATCTGAGTTCAAAACAGTGCCTAGCATATAGTAGGTGCTTAATTAATATAAAGTCAATAAATACTCATTTAATGAACAAGATCTGCCATCCACCCCCACAAAAAAGATGGTAAGTGAATTAAGCTTAAAGCTATTAAAGAGTTATCTGGAAGTTTGTCTTCCTACAACCACGTGATCCTCTCTCTGGGATTTCCCCACTCAACCAGGGACAAGAGGTCAAAGTTGACCTGATTATGTGTCCATCAAGGAAGTGCCCCTGGAAGGCAAATAAAGAAGGCACCATTTACATTACAGTCTCCTAAGTGCAGGCAATGATACCCCAAGGTGGGGCTCTGCAGACCCTCCAGCAAAGAGCTTTTGAAAATAAATGTGAAGCTGGGCTTAGGAGCTCATGCCTGCAATCCCAGAGACTAGGGAGGCTGAGAAGGGAGGATCGCTTGAGGTCAGGAGTTAGAGACCAGCCTGGGCAACACAGCAAGACCCCATCTCAAACACACACACACACACACACAAAACAAAAACAAAAACAAAACAAAACAAAACAAAAAAACCAAGCCAGGCATGGTGGCATACTTCTGTAGTCCCAGCTACTTGGGAGGCTGAGGCGGGAGGATCGCTTGAACCCAGGAGTTCAAGGCTGCAGTGAGCTGTGATTGCACCACTGCACTGCAGCCTGGGTGACAGGGTAACCCCATTTCTGAAAAAAAGTAAAAAATAAGAAAAAGAAAATAAATGTGAACTTCAGCTAAATTACTATGACAGGTAGGTGCTGCCCTGAGAGGCAGAGCCTGGGTTCTGCCACCGGATTTTATGCAGGACTCCTCTCAAGGTTTTATATACAGGGAAGGGAATATCAATGCTGCCACCTTTTTTCCAGCCAGACTAACCCTGAACTTTACTGACACTGAGGTCCTCCCCACAGTGACAGAGGACTGAGATGTACCCTGACCCCTCCCAAGGGCTAGCTTCCTACCACACCCATGTTCTTAGAGCAAAACACCATCTCTTATGGGATCATATATGACGGAGTGCCCAGAGCCAGGCCTAGGCCATATCAACGCTCAAGAAACATGTATGGAACAGAAAGCGGGGTGAGGGAACACCTGCCAGGCCTTCCTTGACTTCAGACAGCTTTTCATTCCAGAGGGACTAACTGAAAGTCAGCTGCACTAACAAAACTGTGTCCTGGCAGTTATTTATATAGAATAGTTTGAATACATCATAACTCAAGAGAGAAGATGGGTGCCTTCTGCCCCAGTAAAACTGTTTCTCCCTAGGCACAATTCCTCTTCTCGGCCTCTACAGCACTGGCTAGAGATGTGGAGGGTTGGTCATCTCAGTAAGCAAACCAATTAAGAAAGGACTGGGGCCAGGGAAATCATTTCCTCACTGTTGCCATGCCTCCTCTCACACTGCCAAAAGCAGAGGTTAAAAATCACAGAAACAGGGAACGAAGTCTGGCCTCACATATTATTCAAAGAAAGCATGCGTAGAGAATGCTATTTCTAGTTAAATAGCAAGTGAGGCTGAGGAGAGGCTGGGGACCCGGGAACACACACAGCAGAGCCAAGGCAAGTGGGGCACTAGGATTCTGTCTCCAGAACGCTGAGACCGTCCCGGGTGGGCAGGTGTGACGACACTTGGAAGCTGCCTCAGGGGGTTCCTATGCTGTCAGATTTCTTGAATCCTAGGAAGGCTTGACTCAAATTTGGCCCTGAGACCCAGGATTTAAAACCTCAGTCTTGTGACCACCATGAGCTATCAAGAGTGTACTTTACCCTGAGAAATTATTCTCAGGAGGATTGTGAGCCAGCTCTAAAAGTAACCTCTTGCCCCATTCCAGAGAGGTACACTGAATTGAATAATTCTACTTCCTGCTGTGCATCAGAGAGCTCAGATGAGCTTGGCCAATGTTCTCTGTCATTAGGAGCCACACTGCTGCAGAAGGGAGCAGTGACTCCATTGCCTCAACCAATTTTCCACAAAGATGAAAACTGGAGGAAAAAAAGCATTCAAGCTAGAAATAGAAAGTTAGTCTGACTCTTAAGCTCCCCCTCAACCCCGCCTCCTAAGCTCCCCCTCAACCCCGCCTCCTTCCCACTCTCAGTGGCGGTCCCAGAGCAGCTGTGGCAGTGACATGCCCTCATCCAGCCTTTCCATGTAACCGGAGCTGAGAGAGTGAAAGTCGAATATCCTATTAGCACAGCAAGCACAGAGGGTGTCCGGGGCTGGGCTGTCCTAAAAGCATCTGCAGATCAATCTGAAAGCTGTTCTACTCTCTGGTCATTTCTTGACCACATTCTGATTTTCAGAAGTATGAACAAGGGTAAATGAACTGGTCAGAAAGCTCAGGAAAGAAGACAGGTGCAAATCAGAACCAATTTCCCTCACAATGTAGGAGCTAACCTGAGAAGGGAAAATATCGGGGAGGAGTCTCAACACAGCGCCCTGCTTGTAAACATCAGGAGCAGTAAATTGAGGTAAGAAAGTGATGATCTTTTTTCTTGTGATCTGTGTTTAGAAGGATTTGGCACTTTACTCACAAACTAAGGGGCTGGGAGATGCCAGTCACAGGAAACTGCCACGTGCCACCTCTGCAAACAAGGCTTCTCTTCCCACACTTCCAGAGACCCTCCTCTCATACCAGCTCTTGCATCCTCTCCTCACATCAAAAACCAAAATCCAATTGGCCTGGAGGTGGAATTCAGAAGTGACGCCCAAGATATCATGTTCTGCTAAAACAGACAATGAGCTGCGGAACAGCACAGAGATGATCTCATACTCAGACTTCAATGTTTTGGGGGACTAGCATTAGCAGGAAGCATAATCTGTACATTAATGAGATGACTCCTGGAGACTGGGATTATAAAGAATTTTTACTTTCTGTCCTACATATCTATAATGATTAATTTGTTTTACAGTGAGCAAGTATATTACTTTTTTTTTTTTTTTTTTGAGACAGGGTCTTACTCTGTCGCCCATGCTGGAGTGCAGTGGCATGATCTCAGCTTACTGTAACCTCAACCTTCTGGGCTCAAGCGATCCTCCTACCTCAGCCTCTGAGTAGCTGGGACTACAGGCATGGACCATCATGTATGGCTAATTTTTGTATTTTTGGTAGAGACAGGATTTTACCATGTTGCCAGGGTTGGTCTTAAACTAATGGGCTTGAATGCTACTCCTGCCTTGCTGTCTCAAAGTGCTGGGATTACAGGCATGAGCCATCATGCCTGGCCATCTATTACTTTTGTAATCAGATAAAAAATATTTTTAGAGTGATGGGATAGTTCAAGTCCCGATTTATCAATGGCTATGCCACCCTCCTCCCCACGGCAAGGTTTTGGTCTCGCTCATCTTCTCCACTCCCGCTGGCCGTGCCCTGGCTGTGCAGACAGGTGAGTGGGCAGCATCAAAGGCCCTGCGGCATAAATTTCTTTCCTATCCTCATCTTAGCAGTGCAAACTCCCAAGCTCTGCCTTCACAAGTGATGATGCAATGTTTTATTTTGCAGGACAAGCCTTAAAGTGCCAAGGTACATGAAATGGACACAAAAACAGGGACACAAAGACTTCTGACTTTGGACTGCTTTGACCAGGCCTGGCAAACAAGTTTCATTGGGAATGTCATCTCTAATCAGCTAGGACTCCCTGCCTGGAATACTACATGGAAACTGTGTGGTCATATGGCCATTCCAACCATGAGCAAGAGAGAGAGATGGGGTGAGAGGGCAGGTGGCAGCACCAGCTTTCCCTAAGCAAAGTGCAAGCCCACTATCTGTCAGTCAAAGTTGGGGAAAACACTAGCTCACAATTCGTTCAATTATTCAATACAACCCTATGGAGCCCGTAAGCCCAATTCATACGTGTGCCCTGTCCAGAAAGGGAGGCAGCAGTCCCGCGTCCACCACCTGCAGGGTGCTCAACCCCCTGCTCAGTCAGAGGCCACACTTGGTCCTGGAAGGCAGCTGAGGATGCTGAAGAGGTCCAAAGAGCACATTACATGAAGAGGACATTCTGCAAGACAACTGACTAGGCTTTTCAAAAAAGGTCATCATTGGCTGAGTGTGGTGGAGCATGCCTGTAGCACTCAGGAAGAAAAGGAGGAAGGATCACTTGAGCCTAGGAGTTAGAGGCTGCCGTGAGCTACGACTGCACCATTGTACTCCAGCCTCAGTGACAGAGTGAGACTCTGTCTCTTTAAAAAAAAAAAAAAAATCACATTATTAAAACAAGCCAGAGAGGACTGTTCTGGACGGCAAGGGCCTAAAGAGGCAAAGCCAAGTGCAGTGTGACTATTGATTGAATCCTAGTACAAAAAGCTCAGCTATAACATATAGTTTTACGTCAAATGAATAAATTTTAAAATGAACTGTATGTGAAATGATACTACTGAATTAATGGTAATTTTTTCTTTTCCTTTTTTTTTTTTTTTTTTTTCTGAGACAGGGTCTTGCTCTGTTGCCCAGGCTGGATTGCAGTGGTGCGATCAGAGCTCAGTGCAGCCTTGGAACTCCTGGGCTCAAACAATCCTCCTGCTTCAGCCTCCCAAATAGCTGGGATCACAGGTGCACACCACTATGCCTGGCATGCATGCATGCTTTATTTATTTATTTATTTGGAGACAGAGTCTTACTTTGTCGCCCAGGCTGGAGTGCAGTGGTGCGATCTCGGCTCACTGCAACCTCCGCCTCGTGGGTTCAAGTAATTCTCCCACCTCAGCCTCCCGAATAGCTGGGATTACAGGCATGTACCACCAAGCCCAGCTAATTTTTGTATTTTTAGTAGAGATGGATGGGGTTTTGCCATGTTGGTCAGGCTGGTCTGGAACTCCTGACATCAAGTGATCACCCACCTCGGCCTCCCAAAGTGCTGGGATTACAGGTGTGAGCCACTGCACCCGGCCTCTTCTGCCTCATCTAAGAGGGCTATGTTAAAAAAATGTTGAAAGCTAGCTTACCTCATACTCTGAATTATGTGAAAATAAATATATGTGTATATGCAGAGAAATAAGACTACAAGAAACATCTCAAATCATTAACGGTGGTTTTCACTAAGTAGCAGATCACGAATCTTTGAGTTCCTCTTCACAGTTCTTGCCATTTGTCCAATTTCTACAATGAACTTGCTTTAATTTTATAAAAGGGAGAAAAAGTTTTCTTAGGAAATAAGGGTACACAAAGACATCCCTCCAATGCACACTAAGCTCACAGATACCAGGTTTAATTTTTCTTCTGAAATTCCATAAAAGTACAAACTAATGCCAACAAGGGGAAATATATGGTCATTTTTTTCTTGAAGAAAGACGAAAATGGAATTAAGGTGTTCCAGATTGAAAACCACTCATTCAATCTATCTTTTTTTTTTTTTTTTTTTTTTTTAAAGAGACAGGGTCTCTGGCTGGGTCCAGTGGCACATGCTTATAATCCCAGCACTTTGGGAGGCCAAGGTGGGAGGATGGCTTAAGGCCAGGTGTTTGAGACCTGCCTGGGCAACATAGTGAGACTTTGTCTCCACAAAAAATACAAAAATTAGCCAGACATGGTGGCACATGCCTGTAGTCCCAGTTACTCAAGAGGCTTGAGGCCAGAAAGGTGAGGCTGCAAGTGAGCTATGACTGCACCACTGCACTCCAGACTGGGCAACAGAGCGAGACCCTGTCTCTTTCTCTCTCTCTTTTGTTTTTTAAGAGACAGGGTCTCGCTCTGTTGCCCAGGCTGGAGTGCAGTGGTATGATCACAGCTCACTTGCAGCCTTGAACCTTTGGCCTCAAGCAATTCTCCCACCTCGGCCTCCAGGGTAGCTGGGACCACAGATGCGTGCCACCATGCCTGGCTAATTTACAATAATCAATTAATGTATATGCTGTATCGGGCTCTAGGGAGACAAGGAGAACAGAGAATCCTGTTTTCAGGAAGGTGAAATTTGGCTGAGAAGAACTACCAGGGAGGTTAAATTCAAAGTGCTATTAGGAGTAGGAGTCTCTTGAAGAATAAGGATAAGTTCCACAGGCAAAAAGGAATGGGGGACAAATTTTAAACCACACAAGGGGAATGCCCTAAGGCAAAGAAATACTAAGAAATTCTGCTTGGTTCACATCCTTCTGATAAATCGCATTCTTGTAGAACAATTTTAAAATTAATACTTGAAGCAGCATAAAACAGAAAGAAAGGGGTGAAAGAAGGGAGTGGGAGAGGGAAAAAAAAGGAGGGTGGGAAGGAGGGCAGGGGACAATGGCATAGTAACAGTCTTGCTGTTCCTGAGTCCGGGAAGGAGGATTATGAGTGCGACCTGCATCTGGTAGGCAACAAAGAAGCAAGGATGGGTTTTCAGCAGATAAACTGTCATACCCATAGACTGGACTGAGAAGGTGGGTGATGGTGGGCAGCAGAGATGAAGTGGAGGGGACAGAGCAAAGGCATTGCTGCCCTGTGGTATCTGCCAGAAGTGCAAACCCAGAACTTGATCACGATGAAATATCCAAAAAACTAAAACAAAGCCAAGGCCGGGCACAGTGGCTCACGCCTGTAATGCCAGCACTTTGGGAGGTCGAGGCTTGTGGATAGCTTGAGCTCAGGAGTTTGAGACCAGCCTGGGAAACACAGAAACCCCATCTCTACCAAAAATACAAAAAATTAAAAAAAAAAAAAAAAGGGAAAACAAAGCTAAGCTGAGGAACACCCTACAAAATAACTGATTGGTGATTTTATTTTTTTGGTTTTTTGGTTTTTGAGATGGAGTCTAGCTCTGTCGCCAGGCTGGAGTGCAGTGGCGTGATCTCGGCTCATTCCAACCACTGCCTTCTGGGTTCAAACGATTCTCCTGCCTCAGCTTCCCGAGTAGCTGGGACTACAGGTGCGTGCCACCATGCCCAGCTAATTTTTTTTTTTTTTTTTTTGAGACACAGTTTTGCTCTTGTTGGCCAGGCTGGAGTGCAATGGTGCGATCTTGGCTCACCGCAACCTCCGCCTCCCAGGTTCAAGCGATTCTCCTGCTTCAGCCTCCCGACTAGCTAGGATTACAGGCATGCACCACCAAGCCTGGCTAATTTTATATTTTTAGTAGAGACTGGGTTTCTCCATGTTGGTCAGGCTGGTATCGAATTCCTGATCTTCCGCCTCAGCCTCTCAAAGTACTGGAACTACAAGCGTGAGCCACCGCCCCGGCCTAATTTTTTGTATTTTTAGTAGAGACGGGGTTTCACCATGTTGGCCAGGATGGTCTCGATCTCTTGACCTCATGATCTGCTTGCCTCGGCCTCCCAAAGTGCTGGGACTACAGTCGTGAGCCACTGTGCTGGGCCAGATTTGACCACTAAATGTAACGTGTGGTCCAGGATAAGGTCCTGGACCAAAACAGTGTTTTGTCTGTTGCTATAAAGGAAGGTAGTGGGAAAACTGATGAAATGAGAATGTCTATAGATTAGATTACAGACAGATTAGTACTAGATCAATGTTGATTTCCTAATTTTGATAAATGCACAGTGGTTCTATAAGAGAATGTTTTTGGGAAATACCCACTGAAGTATTTAAAAGTAAAGGTGCAGGCCGGGCATGGTGGCTCACGCCTGTAATCCCAGCACTTTGGGAGGCCAAGGCGGGTGGATTGCTTGAGGTCAGGAGTTTGAGACGAGCCTGGCCAACATGGTGAAACTCCATCTCTACTAAAAATACAAAAAAAATTAGCCAGGTGTGGTGGTGCATGCCGGTAATCCTAGCTACTCAGGAGCCTGAGGTGGGAGGATTGCTTGAACCCAGGAGGCAGAGGTTGCAGTGAGTCTAGATCGTGCCACTGCACTCCAGCCTGGGTGACAGAGTTAGACTCCATCTAAAAAAATTAAATAATAAATAAATAAATAAATAAATAAATAAATAAATAAATAAATGTAAAGGTGCATATCACACCTGCAACTTTCAAACATTTTATAGAGACAGATAAAGGAGGAAATTAATATAAAACGAGTGTCAAAAAGATGGACACTGAAGCCAGGCATGGTAGCTCACGCCTGTAATCCCAGGACTTTAGGAGGCCAAGGTAGGAGGATCATTTGAAGCTAGGATTGTGAGACTAGCCTGGGCAATAAGTGAGACCCCTGTGTCTACAGCAGGAAAAAAAAAAGATGGACAATGAGAAACCGCTTTGGGTACAGAATGGACTAAACAAAGCTATAGATCTGTAATGATTATGCCAAGTGCTTATTACTGAGATTCAAGCCTGGGGGGAATTATTTCTCTGGTTTCCACAGAAAACCTAGGAAATAAATACAAAGTCTTTGGTGGGCTCCAACTTAAAAACTATCTTCAGGCCAGGCGCAGTGGCTCATGCCTGTAATCCCAGCACTTTGGCAGGCTGAGGTGGGCGGATCACGAGGTCAGGAGTTTGAGACAGCCTGACCAATGTGGTGAAACCCTATCTCTATTAAAAATACAAAAATTAGCCGGGCATGGTGGTGTGCACCTGTAATCCCAGCTACTCAGGAGGCTGAGGCAGGAGAATCACTTGAACCTGGGAGGCAGAGGTTGCAGTGAGCCAAGATCATGCCACTGCACTCCAGCTTGGCAACAGAGAGAGACTCCATCTCAAAAAAAAAAAAAATGCTATCTTCGGCTGGGCACCGTAACTCATGCCTGTAATCCCAGCACTTTGGGAGGCCGAGGCGGGCAGATCACCTGAGGTCAGGAGTTCAAGAACAGCCTGGCCAACATGGCAAAAACCCGTCTCTACTAAAAATACAAAAATTAGTTGGGCGTCATGGCGGGCGCCTGTAATCCCAGCTACTCAGAGGCTGAAGCAGGAGAATCGCTTGAACCTGGGAGGCGGAGGTTGCAGTGAGTTGAGATCGTGTCACTGCACTCCAGCCTGGGCAACAGAGTGAGACTCTATTTCAAAAAATAAAAATAAAAATAAAAATAAAATAATAAATAAAGCCATCTTCCCTGCTTTACAACATCCTAAGTAAATATGAACACTGTCACTCAGCTTCACACGATGCTGCTGAAATTATCAGCAGAGCCTAGTAGGCTGTCCACACCACACAATACTTAATACCACTGTAGATAATATCAGAGTTAGAAAGAACAGATTGGAAGGCTGTAATCCCTACCTTAGTTTCAAATTAGTTTAAGCCTGTGTTCCTGAGCCCAACTCCGAATGCTCAAGAACCCACCTTAGTGAAACTGGAAGGCCAAAGGGACACATGAGAGCTCAAATGAATAAAGCAAATGGTTTCAACACAAGTAAAACTTAATTATTTCAAGAACAATGCAAAAAAATTTCCCAAGACAGTCTACCTTTGTGATAGCATCAAGTTGTCAGAGGAGCGGCATAACCAGAAGATATCCCAAACATCCTAATCATTTTCTTACCTCAGAAAAAAATCCTATCAATACATGGGTCTCAGGCATCCGAACAATG